>NC_000012.12:106248006-106551037 GCF_000001405.40 Homo sapiens | reverse complement strand
CAAAGATGGTGATAAACCAGAACAGAAAAGCTGAAAATTCTAAAAACCAGAGCACCTCTTCTTCTCCAAAGGATCGCAGCTCCTCACCAGCAACAGAACAAAGTTGGACGGAGAATGTCTTTGACAAGTTGACAGAAGTAGACTTCAGAAGATCGGTAATAACAAACTTCTCCAAGCTAAAGGAGGATGTTCAAAACCCATCGCAAGGAAGCTAAAAACCTTGAAAAAAGATTAGAAGAATGGCTAACTCGAATAAACAGTGTAGAGATGACCTTAAATGACCTGATGGAGCTGAAAACCATGGCACAAGAACTACATGACTCATGCACAAGCTTCAGTAGCCGATTCAATCAAGTGGAAGAAAGGGTATCAGTGATTGAAGATCAAATGAACGAAATGAAGTGAGAAGTTTAGAGAAAAAAGAGTAAAAAGAAATGAACAAAGCCTCCAAGAAATATGGGACTATATGAAAAGACCAAATATATGTTTGACTGGTGCACCTGAAAGTGACGGGGAGAATGGAACCAAGTTAGAAAACACTCTTCAGGATATTATCCAGGAGAACTTCCCCAACCTAGCAAGGCAGGCTAACATTCAAATTCAGGAAATACAGAGAACTCCACAAAGATACTCCTCGAGAAGAGCAACCCCAAGACACATAATTGTCAGATTCACCAAGGTTGAAATGAAGGAAAAAATGTTAAGGGCAGCCAGAGAGAAAGGTCGGGTTACCCACAAAGGGAAGCCCATCAGACTAACAGCAGATCTCTTGGCAGAAACTCTACAAGCCAGAAGAGAGTGGGGACAAATATTCAACATTCTTAAAGAAAAGAATTTTCAACCCAGAATTTCATATCCAGCCAAACTAAGCTTCATAAGTGAAGGAGAAATAAAATTCTTTACAGACAAGCAAATGCTGAGAGATTTTGTCACCACCAGGCCTGCCTTACAAGAGCTCCTAAAGGAAGCACTAAACATGGAAAGGAACAGCCAGTACCAGCCACTGTAAAAACATGCCAAATTGTAAAGACCATCGATGCTATGAAGAAAATGCATCAACTAAGGAGCAAAATAACCAGATAACATCATAATGACAGGATAAAATTCACACATAACAATATTAACCTTAAATGTAAATGGGCTAAGTGCCCCAGTTAAAAGACACAGACTGGCAAATTGGATAAGGAGTCAAGACCCATCAGTGTGCTGCATTCAGGAAACCCATCTCACGTGCAGAGACACACATAGGCATAAAATAAAGGGATGGAGGAAGATCTACCAAGCAAATGGAAAACAAAAAAAAGCAGGGGTTGAAATCCTAGTCTCTGATAAAACAGACTTTAAACCAACAAAGATCAAAAGAGACAAAGAAGGCCATTACATAATGGTAAAGGGATCAATTCAACAAGAAGAGCTAACTATCCTAAATATATATGCACCCAATATAGGAGCACCCAGATTCATAAAGCAAGTTCTTAGAGACCTACAAAGAGACTTAGGCTCCCACACAATAATAATGGGAGACTTACCCTCCCACTGTCAACATTAGACAGATCAAAGAGACAGAAAGTTAACAAGGATATCCAGGACTTGAACTCAGCTCTGGACCCAGCAGACCTAATAGACATTTACAGAACTCTCCACCCCAAATCAATAAAATATACATTCTTCTCAGCACCACATCACATTTACTCCAAAACTGACCACATAGTTGGAAGTAAAGCATTCCTCAGCAAATGTAAAAGAACAGAAATGATAACAAACTGTCTCTCAGACCACAGTGCAATCAAATTAGAACTCAGGATTAAGAAACTCACTCAAAACCGCACAACTACATGGAAACTAAACAACCTGCTCCTGAATGACTACTGGGTACATAACGAAATGAAGGCAGAAATAAAGATGTTTTTTGAAACCAATGAGAACAAAGACACAACGTACCAGAATCTCTGGGACACATTTAAAGCAGTGTGTAGAGGGAAATTTATAGCACTAAATGCCCACAGGAGAAAGTAGGAAAGATCTAAAATTGACACCCTAACATCACAATTGAAAGGACTAGAGAAGCAAGAGCAAACATATTCAATAGCTAGCAGAAGGCAAGAAATGACTAAGATTAGAGCAGAACTGAAGGAGATAGAGATACAAAAAACCCATCAAAAAAATCAATGAATCCAGCATCTGGTTTTTTGAAAAGACCAACAAAATAGATAGACCACTAGCAAGACTAATAAAGAAGAAAAGAGAGAAGAATCAAATAGACGCAATAAAAAATGATAAAGGGGATATCACCACCGATCCCACAGAAATACAAACTACCATCAGAGAATACTACAAACGCCTCTAAGCAATAAACTAGAAAACATAAAAGAAATGGATAAATTCCTGGACACATACACCCTCCCAAGACTAAACAAAGAAGAAATTGAATCCCTGAATAGACCAATATCAGGCTCTGACATTGAGGAATAGCCTACCAACCAAAAAAAGTCCAGGACCAGATGGATTCACAGCTGAATTCTACCAGAGGTACAAAGAGGAGCTGGTAACATTTCTTCTGAAACTATTCCAATCAAAAGAAAAAAGAAGGAATCCTCCCTCACTCATTTTATGAGGCTAGCGTCATCCTGATACCAAAGCCTGGCAGAGGCAAAACAAAAAAAGAGAATTTTAGACCAATATCCCTGATGAAGATCAATGTAAAAATCCTCAATAAAATACTGGCAAACCGAATCCAGCAGCACATCAAAAAGCTTATCCACCATGATCAAGTGGGCTTCATCCCTGGGATGCAAGGCTGGTTCAACATATGCAAATCAATAAATGTAATCCATCATATAAACAGAACCAAAGACAAAATCCACATGATTATCACAATAGATGCAGAAAAGGCCTTCAACAAAATTCAACAGCCCTTCATGCTAAAAACTCTCAATAAACTAGGTATTGATGGGATGTATCTCAAAATAGTAAGAGCTATTTATGACAATCCCACAGCCAATATCATACTGAATGGGCAACAACTGGAAGCATTCCCTTTGAAAACTGGCACAAGACAAGGATGCCCTCTCTCACCACTCCTATTCAACATAGTGTTGAAAGTTCTGGCCAGGGCAATCAGGCAGGAGAAAGAAATAAAGGGTATTCAGTTAGGAAAAGGGGAAGTAAAATTGTCCCTGTTTGCAGATGACATGATTGTATATTTAGAAAACCCCATTGTCTCAGCCCCAAATCTCCTTAAGCTGATAAGCAACTTCAGCAAAGTCTCAGGATACAAAATCAATGTGCAAAAATCACAAGCATTCCTATACACCAATAACAGACAAACAGAGAACCAAATCATGAGTGAACTCCCATTCACAATTGCTTCAAAGAGAATAAAATATCTAGGAGTCCAACTTACAAGGGATGTGAAGGATCTCTTCAAGGAGAACTACAAACCAGTGCTCAACAAAATAAAAAAGGACCCAAACAAATGGAAGAACATTCCATGCTCATGGATAGGAAGAATCAATATCATTAAAATGGCCATACTGCCCAAGGTAATTTATAGATTCAATGCCATCCCCATCAAGCTACCAACGACTTTCCACACAGAATTGGAAAAAACTACTTTAAAGTTCATATGGAACGAAAAAAGAGCCTGCACTGCCAAGACAATCCTAAGCCAAAAGAACAAAGCTGAAGGCATCACACTATCTGACTTCAAACTATACTACAAGGCTACAGTAACTACAACAGCATAGTACTGGTACCCAAAACAGAGATATAGACCAATGGAACAGAACAGAGCCCTCAGAAATAATACCACACACCTACAACCATCTGATCTTTGACAAACCTGACAAAAACAAGAAGTGGGGAAAGGATTCCCTATTTAATAAATGGTGCTGGGAAAACTGGCTAGCCATACGTAGAAAGCTGAAACGGATCCCTTCCTTACACCTTGTACAAAAATTGATTCAAGATGGGTTAAAGACTTAAATGTTAAACCTAAAACCATAAAAGCCCTAGAAGAAAACCTAGGCAATACCATTCAGGACATAGGCATGGGAAGGACTTCATGACTAAAACAAAAGCAATGGCAACAAAAGCCAAAATAGACAAATGGGATCTAATTAAACTAAAGAGCTTCTGCACAGCAAAAGAAACTACTGTCAGAGTGAATAGGCCACCTACAGAATGGGAGAAAATTTTTGCAATCTACTCATCTGACAAAGGGCTGATATCCAGAATCTACAAAGAACCTAAACAAATTTCCAAGAAAAAAATCAAACAACCTTATCAAAAAGTGGGCAAAGGATATGAACAGACACTGCTCAAAAGAAGATATTTACATGAAAGACACATGAAAAAATGCTCATCATCACCGACCATCAGAGAAATGCAAATCAAAACCACAATGAGCTACTATGTCACACCAGTTAGAATGGTAATCATTAAAAAGTCAGGAAACAACAGGTCCTGGAGAGGATGTGGAGAAACAGGAACACTTTTACACTGTTGGTGGGACTGTAAACTAGTTCAACCATTGTGGAAGTCAGTGTGGTGATTCCTCAAGGATTTAGAACTAGAAATACCATTTGACCCAGTAATCCCATTACTGGGTATATACCCAAAGGATTATAAATCATGCTACTATAAAGACACATGCATATGTATGTTTATTGCCCCACTATTCACAATAGCAAAGACTTGGAACCAACCCAAATGTCCATCAGTGATAGACTGGATTAAGAAAATGTGGCACATATACACCATGGAACACCACGCAGCCATAAACAAGGATGAGTTCATGTCCTTTGCAGGGACATGGATGAAGCTGGAAACCATCATTCTCAGCAAACTATCGCAAGGACAGAAAACCAAACATCGCATATTCTCACTCATAGGTGGGAATTGAACAATGAGAACACATGGACACAGTGTGGGGAACATCACACACAAGGGCCTGTCGTGCGGTTGGGGGAGGGGGGAGGGATAGCATTAGGAGAAATACCTAGTGTAAATGACGAGTTAATGGGTGCAGCACACCAACATGGCACATGTATACATATGTAACAAACCTGCACGTTGTGCACATGTACCCTAGAACTTGAAATATAATAAAAAAAAAAAAAACAAGTGTAAAGTGACATCTTGAATTTCTCTGATGATTCATGATGTTTCGTACTTTTCCATATACCTGTTAGCATTTGTATGTGTTCTCTGGAAAAATGTCTATTCAGATCTTTTTCTTTTTTTTTCTTTTTCCTTTTTTTTTTTTGAGAAGTAGTCTCATTCTGTCGCCAGACTGGAGCGTAGTGGTGCAGTCTCAGCTCACTGCAGCCTCTGCCTCCCAGGTTCAAGCGATTCTCCTGCCTCAGCCTCCTGAGTAGCTGGGACTACAGGCACATGCCACCACGCCCAGCTAATTTTTTTGTATTTTAGTAGAGATGGGGTTTCACCATGTTGGCCAGGATGGTCTTGATCTCTTGACCTTGTGATTCACCCACCTCAGCCTCCCAAAGTGCTGGGATTACAGGCATGAGCCACCGTGCCTGGCCCCTTTGCCTGTATTTAAATCAGAATGGTGTGGGTTTGTTTTGTTTTTTTGTTTTTTTTTGGCTATTGAGTTGTTTGCATTTCTAACATATTCTGGATATTAGTCCCTTGTGAGATGCATAGTTTGCAAATATTTTTCTCTTATTCTGTAGATTGTCTCTTCACTTTGTTGATGATTTCCTTTGATGTGAAGGAACTTTTTAGTTTGATGTAATTCCATTTGTCTATATTTGCTTTTGTTACCTATGCATTTGGAGTCTTATAAAAAAAGTATTTGCCCATACCAATGTCATGAAACATTTACTCTATGTTTTCTTCTAGTAGTTTTATAGTTTGCCATCTTACATTTAAGTCTTTAATCCATTTTGAGTTGATTTGGATAGGTGGTGAGAAACAGGAGTCTAGTTTCATTCTTCTGCATACGGCTATCCAGTTTACCCAGCATCATTTACTGAAGAAACTATCTCATCTCCAGTATTTGTTCTTGGTGTCTTTGCCAGAAATCATTTGGCTATAAATGTATGGATTTATTTCTGGGTTCTCTATTCCATTCTATTTGTCTATGTGCCTGTTTTTTTTTTTTTTTTTGAGACGGAGTCTCGCTCTGTCGCCCGGCTGGAGTGCAGTGGCGCGATCGCGGCTCACTGCAAGCTCCGCATCCCAGGTTTGCGCCATTCTCCTGCCTCAGCCTCCTGAGTAGCTGGGACTACAGGCGCCCGCCACCATGCCCGGCTAATTTTATTCTATTTTTTAGTAGAGACGGGGTTTCACCGTGTTAGCCAGGATGGTCTCGATCTCCTGACCTCGTGATCTGCCCGCCTCGGCCTCCCAAAGTGCTGGGATTACAGGCGTGAGCCACCGCGCCCGGCCTATGTGCCTGTTTTTATGCCAGTTCCATGATCTTTTGGTTACTATTGCTTTGTGGTATATTTTGAAGTCAAGTAGTGTGATGCCTCTAGCTTTGCTTTTTTTTTTCTCAAGATTGTTTTGACCATTTGAGGTCATTCATACAAATTTTAGGATGTCTTGATATTTATGTGAAGAATGTCATCAGTATTTTGATAGGGACTGCATGGAATCTGTAGATCACTCTGAATACTGTGGATATTTTCACAATAGTAATTATTCCAATCAACAAACATGGGATAGCTTTCCATTTATTTGTATTCTCTTCAAATTTTTTAAATTAATGCTTTAGAGTTTTCATTGTAGAGCTCTTTCACCTCCTTGGTTAAATTTATTCCTGGGAGTTTTTTAGCTAATATAAATGGAGTTGCTTTTTAAATTTCTTTTACAGATAGTTTGATACTGGTATATAAAAATGCCACAGGTTTTTGTACATTGATCTTATATCCTGTAACTTTACTGAATTTGTTTATTAGTTCTAAGATTTTTGGTGATGTCTGTAGAGTTTTCTATAAGATTATGTTATCTACAAACAAAGTCAGTTTGACTTCCTCCTTTCCAGTTTGGATATCCTGTATTTCTTTCTGTCACCTAATTGCCCTAAGACTTCTGGTACTATGTTGAATAAAAGTGGTGAAAGTGGGCATCCTTGTCTTGTTCCAGATTTTAGAGGAAAAGCTTTTTTTTTGCCACTTAAAACATAAGATTCATATAATTTTTTAGTTTACCCTCAGATTATTTTTATCATCTCTATGACTTTGTGTTTTTATGCTTTTTCATTTTCTTGATTAGGTTCTTATTTTTATCTAGAAAATTCCTCTTATTTTTTAGACCAATTTAACATTTTAGTACATTAAATTCTGTCTTTACATTAGTTTTTCTTTCTGTTTTTGTTTTCTATCTTGTTAATTTATTTTAATCCTTAATTATTTATTACTATTAATGTCTTTGGCTATGAATTTTTCTCTATACAACTTTGGTCCTATCTCATAAGTTCAAGGAAATATTTTTATTATTGTCATTTTCTAATTATTCTGGCTTTTTGTTTTGATTTCCTCTTTGGTTGAATAGTTGTGGTAGTTTTTTGTTTTCTGTTTTCTAGTTTTATCATTTGACCTTTCTTGCATTGTGACTGGATACTGTTGTGTTTTGCATGGCTTCTGAGAAGATACTGACTACTTGCTTTGGTTGTGTAGAGTTCAATACATTAAACTTTCCTAAAGTATTTTATTTAGGCCTTCAATGAGCTTATTTATTTTTAAATGATATCTACATAGACTGAGAGATATTAAGTATCCTACTTCTATTTCTTTTTTTTTTCTTTTTTGAGATGGAGTTTCCCTCTTGTTGCCCAGGCTGGAGTGCAGTGGTGCAATCAGCTCGCTGCAACCTCCACCTCCCGAGTTCAAGCGATTCTCCTGCCTCAGCCTCCCGAGTAGCTGGGATTACAGGGGCACACCACCATGCCCAGCTAATTTTTTGTATTTTTAGTAGAGATGAGGTTTCATCATGTTGGCCAGGCTGGTGTCAAACTCCTGACCTCAGGTGATCCACCCGCCTCAGCCTCCCAAAGTGCTGGGATTACAGGCCTGAGCCACTGCGCCTGGCCCCTACTTCTATTTCTACCTCTTCTTTTATTTCCTTATATTTTTGCTTTATGAATTTAGATGATATGTATTTGGTGTATGAATAAGTATAAATGCAAGGCCTTTATTTCACAGTTTACCTATTATTAAAAATTGCCTTTACTCATCCCATATGCTTTTTGCTCTAAGTTTTATTGAGTGATAATTTTTGCTTTCTTTGTTTATATTTCTCTAAATTTTGCCCTGTATCTCTATGATATGGTTTGGATGTCTATCCCCTCCAAATCTCATGTTAAAATGCAATCACCAGTGTTGGAGGTGGGGCCTGGTGGGAGGTGTTTGGGTCATGCAAACACCTCATGAATTGCTTAGTGCCATCTCCTTGGTTATAAATGAGTTCTTGCTCTGGTAGTTCACACAAGATCTTGTTATTTAAAAGAACATGTCACCTCCCATCTCTTTCTGTCTTGCTCCCACTCTTGCCATGTGATGTATCTGCCCTCACTTTGCCTTCTGCCATGTTTGCAAGCTTCCTGAGGCCCTCACCAGAAGCTGAGCAGATAATGGTGCCATGCTTGTAGAGCCTGCAGAACCATGAGACAATTTAACCTCTCTTCTTTACAAATTACCCAGTCTCAGGTATCCCTTTATCATAATGCAAGAATGGCCTAATACAGAAAATTGGTACTGAGAGTGGGGTGTTACTATAAACATACCTGACAGTGTGGAAGAAACTTTGGAACTGGGTAACAGGCAGAGGTTGGTAGAGTTCTGAGGGGCTCAGAAGAAGACAGGAAGATGAGGGAAACTTTGGAACTTCTTAGAGATTGGTTAAATGGTTGTGACCAAAATACTGATAGAAATATTGACAATGAAGGGCAGGCTGACAAAGTCTCAGATGAGAAAGTTACTGGTAACTGGAGCAAAGGTCACCCTTGTTATGCCTTGACAAAGAGCTCGGCTGTATTATGTTTGGGTCCTAGGGATCTGTGGAATTTTGAACTTAGAAGTGATGACCTAGGATATCTGGCAGAAGAAATTTCTAAACAGCAAAGTGTTCAAGATGTGACCTGGCTGCTTCTAACAGCCTATAATCAGTCATGGGAGTAAAGAAATGACTTAAAGTTGGAACTTTTTTTTTTTTTTTTTTGAGACAGAGTCTTGCTCTGTCACCCAGGCCGGAGTGCAGTGGCATGATATCAGCTTACTGCAATCTCTACCACCTGGGCTCAAGCAATTCTCAAGCCTCAGCATCCTGAGTAGCTGGGATTACACGTGTATACCACAATGCATGGCTAATTTTTTTTTTTTTTTTTTTTAAAGTAGAGATGGGGTTTTGCCATGTTGGCCAGGCTGGTCTCAAACTCCTGACCTCAAGTGATCCACCTGCCTCAGCCTCCTACAGTGCTGGGATAACAAGCATGAGCCACTGTGCCTGGCCCTGGAACTTATATTTAAAAGACAAGCAGAGCATAAAAGTTTAGAAAATTTGCAACCTGGCACTGTGGTAGAGTGAGTCCAAGCAGGTTGCAGAGCAACCACTTGCTAAAGAGATTAGCATGACTAAAAGGGAGCCAAGTGCTAATATTCAAAACAAAGGGGGAAAAAGGCCTGGAAGGAATTTCAGAAATCCTTGAGGCAGCACCCCCCATCTAGGCCCAGAGGCCTAGAAAGAATGGTTTCATAGGCCAGGCCTAGGGCCCCACTGCTCTCCACAGCCTCAAGACACTGCTCCCCACATCCAGGCTGCTCCAGGTCTAGCCTCAGCTTAAAGGTGCCCAGATACAGCTTAGGCCACTGCTCAAGAGGGTGCAAGCCATAAGCCCTGGTGGCTTCCACATGGTGTTAAGCCTGCAGGCATACAGAATGCAAGCATGAACAAGGCTTGGGAGCTCCCACCTAGATTTCAGAGGATGTATGGAAAAGCCTGGGTGCCCATGCAAAAATGTGCCACAGGGGCAGAGCCACCACTAGGTCAGTGCCAAGGGGAAATGTGGGCTGGAACCCCCCCAGAGTGTCCCCACCAGGCCACTGCCTGGTGGTGCTGTGGCAAGTGGGCTGCTGTCCTTCAGACCCAAGAATGGTAGAGCCACTAGCATCTTGCAACCTCAGCCTGGAAAAGCCACAGGCACTTAACTCCAAACTATGGCAGCAGACCTGGGGGCCACACCCTGCAAAGCCACAGGGGAAGACATGCCCAAGGCCTTAGGAGTCCACTGCTTGCACCAGTGTGCCTTGGATGTGGGACATGGGGTCAAAGGAGATTATTTTGGAGCCTTAAGATTTAACGACTGCTTTGCTGGTTTTCAGACGTGTGGGGCCTGAAACCCCTTTCTTTTGGCTGATTTCTCCCTTTTGGAATAGGAATATTTACTCAACGCCTGTACCACCAGTGTATCTTGGAAGCAAATAGCTTGGTTTTGATTTTACAGGCTCAGAGGTGGAAGAAATATGCCTTGAATCTCAGATAAGACTTTGGACTTAACTTGGGACTTTTGAATTAATGCTGGAATGAGTTAACACTTTGGGGAACTGTTGGGAAAGCATGATTGTATTTTGCAATGTTAGGAGAACATGAGATTTGAGAAGCCAAGGGTGGAATGGTGTGCTTTGGATGTTTGTCCCCTCCAAATCTCATGTTGAAATGCAGTCCCCAGTGTTGGAGGTGGGGCCTGGTAAGAGGAATTTTGATCATGGGGCAGATCCCTCATTAATGGCTTAGTGCCATTCCCTTGGTGATGAGTGAGTTTTTGCTCTTGTACTTCACACAAGATCTCGTTGTTTAGAAGAGTATGGCACCTTCACATCCCCCAACCTTACCCCTGCTTTTATCATGGGATGTACCTGTTCTTGCTTTGCCTTCTGCCATGATTGTAAGCTTCCTGAGGCCCAGAAGTTGAACAGATGTTGGTGCCATGCTTACACAGCCTGTAGAACTGTGAGCCAATTAAATGTCTCTTCTTTATAAATTACCCAGTCTCAGGTATTCCTGTATGGTAATACAGAAACAACCTAATACATTATATTTCAAACTTCCTAGGTTTCCATGGTTTTCTGTGTTGGCTCACTAGTGCAAATGGCTCAGATTTGCTTTGTGGTATAGCCTGAATATTTTCTATTTAAAAAGTTAGTTTATCCAGTGAAATCTATGGATACAACAGGTACATTTGGTGTTCAGTTTTTAAATTATATCTTATGCTATACTATGTATTTTTTATTCATTTAAAAAATATTTTTATTATGTTGACATGATTTGACTGTCTCCCCACCCAAGTCTTATCTTGAATTGTAATCCTCGTGATCCCCACATGTCAAGGAGGAACCTGGTGGGAGATGATTGGATCATGGGGGCAGTTCCCTCCTTGCTGTTCTTGTGATAGTGAGTTCTCACGAGATCTGATGATTTTATAAGGGGTTCTTCCCCCTTCACTACACACACTCTTCTCTTGCCTGCTGCCATTTGAGATATGCCCCTTCCCCTTCCGCCATGATTGTAAGGTTCCTGAGGCCTACCCAGCTATGTGGAACTGTGAGTCAATTAAATCTCTTTTCTCTATAAGTTACCCAGTCTCAGGTTGTCTTTATAGCAGTGTGAAAACTGACTAATACACGTGTGATTTGTGTTATCTGTATTTCATTCATTCTGTGAATGCATTTTTCTGATGATTGGGAAGATTTTTGGGGTTATTTTGTTATTTTAGTGGTTCATCCTTTTAAAAGTTATTTTAGTGATTTAATTTTATAAAATTAATTATTAAATATTGTTCTCTTTAAATAGCAATTAATGGCTTTTGACTATGTGCAATACAAAAGTTAGTATGTGTTCACCTCCTCCCACCTCCTTATTGTCTCTTCCTTCTATCACTAACATTTAATTTTATAATGATTTTTAGCTGTTCTAGTATTTCTCTTCATACCTTTAAATATCCTTTATATGGCTTTATACAGCTTTATACCCTTAAATGTCCTTTTACATCTAATTATTTGAATTACAGGTTTAAAAACTCCTTTGAACTCACATTATAAAATAATGTCATTTTTTCTCTAATCCTCTTTAAAAGTCAACCTCACTAGGGAACAATTTATACACAAGAAAATGCACACATTTTAACTGTATAGATGAATGAATCTTGATAAAGATATACATCTGTATAATCACTACCATAATAAAAATATTTTCATTATCCTAAAAAGTTCCTTTTTGCCCCTTCTCAATCAATTGCCCCTGCTCCCAGCCTCACACCACCACTGATCTGCTTTTTATCACTATAGATTAGACATGTCTTTCCTAAAGTTTCATAAAAATTGAATCACATAATACTTACTCTTTTACGCCTGGTCTCTCAGTATAATGCTTTTATTATATTGATCTAGTTTGTTGCATATATATGTAGGTTTGTTCATTTTTTAATTCTAAGTAGTATTCCTTTTTATAAATATACCACAACTTGTTTAGCCATTTTTATCTATTGGGTGGCTACCAGTTTTGGGCTATTACGAGTAAAACTCATATGAATATTTTGGTACAAATCTTTGTGTGTACATATGCTTTCATATCTTTTGGATAAACACCTTGAAGTGAAATTGCTGGGTCATATGGTAATTGCATATATAACTTTATAGGAAACCATCAAACAGCTTTCCAAAGATGGATTTTTACACTCCCTTTTACACTCCCATCAGCAATGTATGAGAGTTCCAATGTCCCTATATCATCACCAACACCATCAATTGTAATTGTCATATTAAAACATTTTAGTTATTCTAATGGTTATATTGATACTTCATTGTGGTTTTTTAATTTTAACATTCAAAATTGTTTCATTTATTATTTTACTGCCATACATGATTAAATTTCAGTTTAAATTATTCACTTCCTGTAATTTTTAAAGATAAACCTTTTATTCTAGAACAGCTTAAATTTACAATACAATTACAAAGATCATACAAAGTTCATATATACCTAATACCCAGTCCCCCTTATTATTAATATCTAACATCAGTATGGTACACTTATTAATGAGCCAACATTGATACATTTATTATTAACTGAAGTCAATTCTTTATCCAGATTTCTTTAATATTTTCCTAATGACCTTTTTCTGTTCCAGAATCCCAGTCAAGGTAACACATTACATGTAGTAGTCATGCCTCCTCAGGGTCCTCTAGGCTTGCTCTTGCCTCTGCCACTCCAACAGCAAGAAACCATATGCCATATGATTGCCACCATATGCCATCATTCACTTAATCGCTCAACCACAGTGTGTAGCGGTATCAGAATTGTTAACCCACAACTCCCTGGGGAAAACTGTATCAACTAGATCAGTGGTCCCCAACCTTTTTGGCACCAGGGATCAGTTGTGTGGAAGACAATTTTTCCATAGATGGGAGTAGGGGGCTGGTTTCAGGATGATTCAAGAGCATTACATTTATCATTAGATTCTCATAAGGAGCATGCAACCTAGATCCCTCACATGTACACTTCACAATATGAGAATCTATGAAATTCTCTCCTACAAGAATCTAATGCTCCCACTGATCTGACAGGAGGTGGAGCTCAGGCAGTGACGTTCACCCACCGCTCACCTCCTGCTGTGTGGCACGGTTCCTAACAGGCCACAGACCAGTACCGGTCTGCAGACCAGGAGTTGGGAAGGACTGAACTAGGATAAATGCTTATATACAGTTTCTTGTGCCTTTAGCCTTACAAACTTGATTCACTTCCAAAGCTACTTAGGTCAGCACCTTTCCCTACCTCCTTTAATGACGCTGCATTATACATTTGTAATACAGGTAGGTTTTTTTTTTTGTTTTTTTGTTTTTTTTGTCGTATTCTACATTCCATCTTGGGATCCCTCAACCTCCCAATTGTTTTTTTTAAAACTTTACATCCATTAAGGTTTATTCTTTGGGCTACAAAGTCCTATGGGTTTTAAACAAATGCATAGTATGTATTTTCCACTACAGTATTATATGGAATAAATTTCTCCACCTGGGATGGAGGAAAAACCTCCCGTGCTTCACTTTTTCAACTTGTCTCCAAACCCCAGCAACCACTGATGTTTTTACCACTTCATTTTTACCAAAAATTGTTGCCTTTTCTAGACTCTTTCACTTAGCAATATATAATTAAGTTTCATCTATGTCTTTTTATGGCTTGATACATCATTTCTTTTTATTGTTGAATAATATTCCATTGCATGAAAGCATCTTAGTTTGAATGTCTATTCACCTATTGAAGGACATCTTGGTTGCTTCCATTTTTTGGCAATCACAAATACAGCTGCTATAAACATTCGCATGTAGAATTTTTGTGTGTGCATGTTTTCAAATCAGGCAAATACCTAGCAGCATGATTGCTGAATTATATGGTAAAACTATGTTTAGTTTTGTAAGAAACTGCAAAACTGTTTTTCAAAGTGGCTATACCATTTTGCATTACCACAGCAATGCATGAGAGCTCCTCTTGCTTTGCATCATCATCAGCAATTTGTATTGTCAGTTTTTTGGACTTTTTTCATTCTATAGATGTGTAGTGGCATCTCACTGTTAATTTTTAATTTCCTATTGGCAAATGATGTCAAGCATCTTTTCATATGCTTATTTGCCACCTGTATGTCTTATTTGCTGAGATGTCTGTTCAGATCTTTTGGCCAGTTTTAACTAGTTCACCTTCACTATATAACTTCATGGTAATGAACATACCTTATAACAGAGTAGAGATTGCAGCTCTGACTCGGACGGACAGAGCAGCGTGCTGAGGCTTGCATCATGAATTTTAGCTCCAGATCAACTGCAAGAACAAACCAGCAATCCCGAGAGGACCCACAGACCCTCTGAAAAAAGCGGACTGCTCCTGCAGGACCAGGGAGACACCACAAATACCGTGAGTGCCCCAACTGCAGAAGTGGGAAAGGGAGAGCCTCCTCTCCCGAACACACACCCCCACTGGAGAAACTGAAGGTCTGTTTGCAGGAGAAGTTTCCAACTGTACCTGGAGCTGAGTCAATTTAGAGAGCTGAGTGAAATACAGGGGTACAGGAAGCAGCAGAAAGGCCCTGGGAGCTTGCTGGATCCCCAAGCAGGCCATTCTTGCCTGGCACCACAGGGATCCGTCAGGAAGGCAGCAGCCAGAGGAGTGGAGTGCAAGGGGAAACACTACAGGGAGAAGGAAATCTCCAGCTAACTTTGTAGCAATTTGAACTGGGTGAGAAGCCTCCTGGCTAGAACTTGGGGGAGGGTATGAATCCGGTGTGCAGACTCCACAGGTGGGGGAAGAACCAAGCCCCTTTCTTTCACAGCTGGGAGGTGGGTAGCCTGGGGCAAGTTCTCAAGCCCGGCTCGCCCACCACCTGGAAACAGATTCAGGGCTGTTAGAGGGGCATGGTGGAAGTGAGACCGGCCCTTCAGTTTGCATGGGAGCTGGGTGAGGGCTGTGACTGCTGGCTTTCCCCCACTTCCCTGATAACCTGCATGACTCAGCAGAGGCAGCCATAATCCTCCTAGGTGCACAACTCCATTGACCTGGGCACCTCACCCCCATCCCCCATAGCAGCCATAGCACCTAACCCTGCCACCACCTGATGGTCCTTCCCTACCCACCCTGGTAGCTGAAGACAAAGGGCATATAATCTTGGGGGTTCTAGGGCCCTACCCTCTGCTGGTTCCTCCCCATACTACCACAGCTGATTCTCTGGAAAGTGCCACCTCCCAGCAGGATGCCAAGCAGCACAAAAACAGAGCATTAAACCACCAAAGCTAAGAACCCTTACAGAGTCCATTGCACCCCCCTGCCACCTCCACCAGAACAGGCACTGGTAACCACAGCTGAGAGACCCATAGATAGTTGTCATCACAGAAGTCTGTGCAGACAACCCCCAGTACCAGCCCAGAATTGGTTAGAATTGCTGGGTGGCTAAACCCAGAAGAGAGACAATAATCACTGCAGTTTGGCTCACAGGAAGCCACATCCACAGGAAAAGGGGGAGAGTACTACATCAAGGGAACACCCTGTAGGACAAAAGAATCTGAACAACAGCCTTCAACCCTAGACCTTCCCTCAAACAGAGCCTACCCAAATGAGAAGGAACCAGAAAACCAACTCTGGTAATATGACCCAACAGTACTCTTTAGCACTCCCCAAAAAATCACACTAGTTCACCAGCAATGGATCCAAACCAAGAAGAAATCCCTGATTTACCTGAAAAAGAATTCAGGAGGGTAGTTATTAGGCTAATCAGGGAGGCACCAGAGAAAGGTGAAGCCCAATGCAAGGAAATCCAAAAAAATGATACAAGAAGTGAAGGGAGAAATAATCAAGGAAATATATAGCTTAAAGAAAAAATAATTAAAATTTCAGGAAATATTGGACACATAGGAATGCAAAATGCTCTGGAAAGTCTCAGCAATAGAACTGAACAAGTAGAAGAAAGAAATTCAGAGCTTGAATACAACATCTTCGAATTAACCCAATCCAACAAAGACAAAGAAAAAAGAATAAGAAAATATGAACAAAGACTCTAAGAAGTCTGGGATTATGTTAAATGACCAAACCTAAGAATAATCTATGTTCCTAAGGAAGAAGAGAATTCTAAAAGCTTGGAAAACATATTTGGGAGAGTAATCAAGGAAAATTTCCAAAGCCTTGTTAGAGACCTAGACATCCGAATACAAGAAGCACAAAGAACACCCGGGAAATTCATCACAAAAAGATCATCACCTAGGCACATTGTCATCAGGTTATCCAAAGTTAAGACAAAGGAAAGAATCTTAAGAGCTGTCAGACAGAAGCACCAGGTAACCTATAAAGGAAAATCTATCAGATTAACAGCAGATTTCTCAGCAGAAACCCTACGAGCTAGAAAAGATTGGGCTCTATCTTCAGCCTCCTCAAACAAAACGATTATCAGCCAAGAATTTTGTATCCAGTGAAATTAAGCATCATATATGAAGGAAAAATACAGTCTTTTTCAGACAAACAAATGCTGAGAGAATTTGCCACTACCAAGCCACCACTACAAGAACTGCTAAAAGGAGCTCTAAATCTGGAAACACATCAAAACAGAACCTCTTTAAAGCATTAATCACACAGGACCTATGAAACAAAAATACAAGTTAAAAAGCAAAAAAAAAAAAAAAAAAAAACCCAAAAAACAAAAAATACCAAAGTACACAGGCAACATAGAGCACAGTGAATGCAATAGTACCTCACATCTCAATACTAACATTGAATGTAAATAGCCTAAATGCTCCACTTAAAAGAAACAGAACCGCAGAATGGATAAGAACTCACCAACCATCTGCTGCCTTCAGGAGACCCACCTAACAAGTAAGAACTTACATAAACTTAAAGTAAAGGAGTGGAAAAGTCATTTCATGCAAATGGACACCAAAAGTGAGCAGGGGTAGCTATTCTTATATCAGACAAAACAAACTTTAAAGCAATAGCAGTTAAAAGAGACAAAGAGGGACATTATATAATGGTAAAATGCCTTGTCCAACAGGAAAATATCACAATCCTAAACCTATATACACCCAACACTGGAGCCCCCAGATTTATAAAACAATTACTAACAGACCTAAGAAATGAGATAGACAGCAACACAATAATAGTGGGGTACTTCAGTACTCCACTGACAGCACTAGACAGGTCATCAAGACAGAAAGTCAATGATGAAACAGTGGATTTAAACTATACCTTGGAACAAATGGACTTAACAGAAATATACAGAACATTTCATCCAACAACCACAGAATACACATTCTATTCAACAGTGCATGGAACTTTCTCCAAGATAGACCATATGATATGCCATAAAATGAGCCTCAATGAATTTAAGAAAACTGAAATTATATCAAGCACTCTCTCAGATCACAGTGGAATAAAACTGGAAATCAACTCCAAAATGAACCTTCAAAACCATGCAAATACATGGAAATTAAATAACCTGCTCCTGAATGAGCACTGGGTCAAAAACGAAATCAAGATGGAAATTGAAAAATTCTTCAAACTGAACGACAGTAATGACACAACCTATCAAAACCTCTGGGATATGGCAAAGGCAGTGCTGAGAGGAAAGTTCATAGCCCTAAACACCTACATCAAAAAAATGATGTAGCATGAGCAATCATTCTAAGGTCATACCTCAAGGAACTACAGAAACAAGAACAAACCAAACCCAAACCCAGCAGAAAAAAGGAAATAACCAAGATTGAGCAAAACTAAATGAAATCGAAACAACAACAACAAAAAATACAAAAGATAAGTGAAACAAAAAGCTGGTTCTTTGAATAGATAAATAAAATTGATAGACGATTAGCAAGATTAACCAAGAAAAGAAAAGAGAAAATCCAAATAACCTCATTAAGAAACAAAACAGGAGATATTACAACCGACACCACTAAAATACAAAAGATTATTTAAGGCTACTATGAACACCTTTATGCATATAAACTAGAAAACCTAGTAAGAGATGGATGGATTCCTGGAAAAAATACAACCCTCTTAGCTTAAATTAGGAAGAATTAGATACCCTGAACAGACCAATAATAAGCAGTGAGATTGAAATGATAATTTAAAAATTACTAAAAAAAAAAAAGTCCAGGACCTGATAGATTCACAGCAGAACTCTACCAAACATTCAAAGAAGAATTGGTACCAATCCTTCTGACACTATTCCACAAGATAGAGAAAGAAGGAACCCTCCCTAATTCATTCTATGAAGCCAGCATCACCCAAATAACCAGGAAAGGACATAACCAAAAAAGAAAACTACAGAATGGTATCCTTGATGAAAATAGATGCTAAAATCCTTAACAAAATACTAGCTAACCAAATCCAACAACATATCAAGAAGATAATCCACCATGATCAAGTGGGTTTCATACCAGAGATGCAGGGATGGTTTAACATATGCAAGTCAATAAATGTGATACACCACATAAACAGAATTAAAAACAAAAATCACATGATCATCTTAATAGGTGCAGAAAAGGCGTTCAACAAAATTCAGCATCGCTTTATGATGAAAACTCTCAGCAAAATCAGCATACAAGGGACATAGCTCAATGTAATAAAAGCCATCTATGACAAACCCACAGCCAACATAATACTGAATGGAGAAAAGTTGAAACCCTTCCCTCTGAGAACTGGAAAAAGACAAGGATGCCCACTCTCACCACTCCTCTTCAACATAGTACTGGAAGTCCTAGTCAAAGCAATCAGACAAGAGAAAGAAATAAAGGGCATCCAGATCAGTAAAGAGGAAGTCAAACTGTCACTGTTTGCTGATGATATGCTCATTTACCTTGAAAACTGTAAGGACTCCAAAAAGCTCCTAGAACTGATAAAAGAATTCAGCAAAGTTTCCAGATACAAGATTAATGTACACAAATCAGTAGCTCCTCTATACATCAACAGCAACAAAGCAGATAATCAAATCAAGAACTCAACCCCTTTTACAATAGCTGCAATAAAATAAAATAAAATACTTAGGAGCATACCTAACCAAGGAGTCAAAAGACCTCTACAGGGAAAACTACAAAACACTGCTGAAAGAAATCACAGATGACACAACCAAATGGAAACACATCCCATGCTCATGGATGGGTAGAATCAATATTGTGAAAACAACCATATTGTCAAAAGCAACCTACAAATTCAATGCAATCCCTACCAAAATACCATCATCATTCTTCACAGAATTAGAAAAAACAATTCAAAAATTCATATGGAATCAAGAAAGAGCTCATATAGCCAAAGCAAGACTAAGCAAAAAGAACAAATCTGGAGGCATCACACTACCTGATTTCAAACTATACTATAAAGTCATGGTCACAAAAACAGTGTGGTACTGGTATAAAAATAGGCACATAGACCAATGGAACAGAATAGATAACCCAGAAATAAACCCGAATACTTACAGCCAATCAATCTTTGACATAGCAAACGAAAACAAAGTGGGGAAACCACACCCTTTTCAACAAATGGTGCTGGGATAATTGGCTAGCCACATGTTGGAGAATGAAACTGTATCCTCATCTCTCACCTTACACAAAAATCAACTCAAGATGGATTAAGGACTTAAATCTATGACGTATAAAAATTCTAGAAGATAACATTGGAAAAACCCTTCTAGTCATTGGCTTAGGCAATGATTTCATGACCAAGAACCCAAAAGCAAATGCAATAAAAACAAAGATAAATAGCTGGGACTTAATTAAACTAAAGAGCTTTTGCACAGCAAAAGGAACAGTCAGCAGAGTAAACAGACAACCCACAGTCTGGGAGAAAATCTTCACAACCTATATATCTGACAAAGGACTAATATCCAAAATCTACAATGAACTCAAACAAATCAGTAAAAAAAAGCAAATAATCCCATCAAAAAGTGGGCTAGGGACACGAATAGACAATTCTCAAAAGAAGATATACAAATGGCCAACAAACATATTTTAAAAATGCTCAACATTGGCCGGGCGCGGTGGCTCACACCTGTAATCCCAGCACTTTGGGAGGCCAAGGCGGGTGGATCACGAGGTCAGGAGATCGAGACCATCCTGGCTAACACGGTGAAACCCTGTCTCTACTAAAATACAAGAAATTAGCCGGGCGTAGTGGTGGGGGCCTGTAGTCCCAGCTACTCGGGAGGCTGAGTCAGGAGAATGGCGTGAACCCAGGAGGCGGAGCTTGCAGTGAGCCCAGATCGCACCACTGCAATCCAGCCTGGGTGACAGTGTGAGACTCTGTCTCAAACAAAAAAAAAAAAAAAAAAAAAAGAAAGAAAGAAAAAAAAATGCTCAACATCACTAATGATCAGGGAAATGCAAATCAAAACCACAGTGCAATACCACCTTACTCCTGCAAGAATGGCCATAATAAAAAAAATCTAAAAACAGTAGATGCTGGCTTGGATGCGGTGATCAGGGAACACTTCTACACTGCTGGTAGGAATGTAAACTAGTACAGCCACTATGGAAAACAGTGTGGAGATTCCTTAAAGAGCTAAAAGTAGAACTACCATTTGATTCAGCAATCCCACTGCTGGGTATCTACCCAGAGGAAAAGAAGTCATTACACAAAAAAGATACTTGCACACACATGTTTATAGCAACACAATTCACAACTGCAAAATCATAGAAACAACCCAAATGCCCATCAATCAACGAGTGGATAAAGAAACTGTGGTGTGTATATGTATGTGTGTATATATGTGTGTGTGTGTATATATATATATATATACACACACACACATACATGTACACACACACACACACAATGGAATACTACTCGGCCATAAAAAGGAATGAATTAACAGTATTTGCAGTGGCCTGGATGAGATTGGAGACTATTATTCTAAGTAAAGTAACTCAGGAATGGAAAACCAAACATTGTATGTTCTCACTGATATGTGGGAGCTAAGCTATGAGGATGCAAAGGCATAAGAATGAGGCAATGGACTGTGGGGACGTGGGGGGAAGAGTGGGAGGGGGCCAGGGATAAAAGACTACAAATATGGTGCAGTGTATACTGCTTGGGTGATGGGTGCACCACTAAAGAACTTACTCATGTAACCAAATACCACCTGTAACCTAATAACTTATGAAAAAAGAACTCTAAAAATAACAGTTTTATTCACAATTCTATCACCCATTCCTTAGGTTGTTGCTGTCATTATTTCACTTGTCTATATACTATAATCAACCAATAAATTATTATTCTTTAAAAAATTACTTTTTAGGTCAATTAAGAAATGTATTTTATTTTACTTTCATTTATTCCTTCTCTAATGCTTTTTTTCTTTGTGTAGATGCAAGCTTCTGAACTATGTCATTTCCTTTCTGAAGAAAATCTTTTAACATTCATATTGGGCAGGTTTCCTGGTGATGAATTTCCTCAAATTTTGTTTGTCTGAGAAAGTCTTTATTTTTCTTCACTATTGAAGGATAGTTTTACTGAATATAGAATTCTAGATCAGTAGTCTTTTTCTTTGAACATCTGAAATATTTCATTCCACTTTCTTCTTGCTTGCATGGTTTCTAATGACAAATCCATTGTAAGTCTTATCCTTGTTCCTTTACAGGGAAGATTCTTTTCCCCCTCTGGATTCTTTCAAGAGTCTCTATTTGTCTTTGTTTTTCTGCAGTCTGACTACAGACTATATGCCTGGGTATAGCTTTTTGGTATTTATTCTAGTTGGTATTCGCCAAGCTTCTTGGATCTGTGGTTTGGTGTCTGTGATTAATTTTGGAAAGCTTTTGGCCATTATCATTTCAAATATTTATTTTGCTCTGTTCTCTCTCTGATATCCCATTATGCATATGTTCAGAAATTCTGAAATTCTTTCACAGTTCTTGGAGGTTCTGCTCTGCTATTTTCTCCTCTCTCCCCACCTCCATCTTTGCATTTCTTTTCTTTTTTTTTTTTGAGACGGAATCTAGCTCTGTTGCCCAGGCTGGAGTGCAATGGTGCAACCTTGGCTCACTGCAACCTCCGCCTCCCAGGTTCAAGTGATTCTCCTGCCTCAGCCTCCGAGTGGCTGGATTACAGGTGCCCACTATCACGTCTGGCTAATTTTTGTATTTTTAGTAGAGACAGGGTTTCACCATGTTGGCCAGGCTGGTCTCCAACTCCTCACCTCAAGTAATCCACCCACCTTGGCCTCCCAAAGTGCTGGGATTGCAGGCATGAGCCACCACATCTGGCCCATCTTTGCATTTCTATTTAGGATGTTTCTACTGATCTATCTTTAAGTTCACTGATTCATTCCTTGGCTGTGCTGAGTCTTCTACGAACCCAGTGAAGGCTTTCTTCATTTATGTTAGTATATTTTTGATCTCTAGAATTTTCTTTTAATTCTTTCTTTGAATTTCCATCTCTTCTTCTTACATTGCCCATTTATTCTTGTATTTTGGCTACTTTTTGCATTACAGCTCTTAACATGTTAATCACAGTTATTTTAAATTCTCTTTGTGATAATTCCAACATCTGTGTCATATCTGAGTCTGGTTCAGATGCTTGCTTTGTTTTTTTTCAGATTGTGTTTTTTTTTTCTTGCTTGTAGCTTTTTGTTGAAGTTGGACAGGACATGTTGTACTGGGTAATAGGAACAGAGCCTTTGGTGTGAGGATTATGTTAATCTGGTTAGGAGTTGGGCTGTGTGTAATGTTTGCTGTAGCTATAGGTGTCAGGGGATTCAAATTCCTCTAGTGTTCTTGTTTTGTCTACTCTCTTGACTTTGGGCTTCCCTAAGTACCCCTCATCAGAGAGTCTGTGTCTTGCAGTTCTTTCAACTATAATCCACTGTGATTGTATTGGAGCCCTGTTGGAGTGGTGGTATGGTGTGGGGGAGGGGAAGCATTCTATAACCTTATGATTAAATCTCAGTGTTCTAGTGGGCTGCGTCCCTGACCTGTGACTGTCACAAGTGTTTCTCTATTGGCATAGATTTTCCCCTCTGAGTCAGAGGAAGTTAGAGGGAGCTAAAGAGGGAGGAATGCTCTTCCGGCCAAGTGGGATAAAGCTCTGGTATAGTCCTTTCCCTTGGAGAAAGGTTCAGGATATCTAATTCTTCCTGATTTAAGCTAGAAGGTTCTTGGTCATGGAGAACACTCTAGGTGTATTTCACAATAACTCTTCCCCTGCCCCTGCCAGAGCCGTAAGGAGATCCTTCTGGCATCTTAAGCGTGGTAATCTGGTGGGCTTACTGGAGGTAGAGCCCACAAAAATGTGAGGGACTCCTAAAACCAAAAGCCCCAGAAACTTCTCACTCTCAGGCTAGTCAACACTTCCCTTCTAGGAAGTCATGAAAATTACCATTTAAATTTTCCCACCACTTTATGGCTCCCTTGGCTTCTGCTCCAGGTAAGCAGATCTCAGATGTGTCTTCTGCATTCCTCTGTGTCTCTAGATTTCAGGGCACCGATTTGCTCTACATACCCAGTTCTCTGATGGGCCCAAGAAAAATTGTTTCTTTTCAGTTTATTCCATTTTTTCTCGTTGCAAGAATAGAAATGACAGACTCTGTATTCTTTACATGTAAGAGGTGAATTTGAAAGACCTGTAATTCTTTTTAACACTTTAGTCACATCTGTGTCATGTACAGGATCCTAGATGAGCCCTCACAAATATAGCCATTATATTGAAGGGACTGGCCTCTACTGAGTACAATTAAAACAACTTTCTCCTGCAGTCTCTTTAGATCTGCTTGTGGGCTAGTTATTTTCCCAGCTCTGGATGAAATGTCAGGCAAGATTAATTGCCTTCTGGCCAGTATTAGATTAAAAATTTTTAAATCTAATTTGTATTTTCAAAGCTTTAAGGAAAGAGGGAAAGAAGCTCCTGGGATATAAGTGAAAAAAGGGAAAACAGTATGTAATATTTGATCCCATTGAAAGAGAGACCCATTTCTCTATATACTGCTATGGTGGAGTCTCATGGATATAATGCTGGGTGAAGAAATCAAGGTGTAGTAGCATATTTCTGTTTTTCAAGGAGGATAATATATGCACGTATTTTAAAAATAATAAAAATATTAACATAAAAATTAAATGGTTACCTATAGGGTAACAAGGACAGGTATAGAAGCCAGAGTTGTTTTAATATGGCTTGCATTATAAATTTAACTTTGAAGCCACATAAATATTTCACCTTAATAAAAAATAAAATTAAATAAAAATCAAATTCCTAAAAATCCAAATCAAATTAAACAAATAAACCTAACTTTACGTACTATTGGTGATAACCTCACAGAGAACAATTCTAAATTACTATACAACCAGTCATTGACTGTGTATCCCTAGTATGATATCCTATAGAAACAGAAAGAATTGTAGCTGGATGTGGTGGCTCCCAGCATATGGTGAAACCCCATCTCTACTAAAAATACATAAATTAGCTGGGTGTGGTGGCACACGCCTGCAATCCCAGCTACTCAGGTGGCTGAGGCAGGAAAACCCCTTGAACCTAAGAGGCGGAGGTTGCAAGTGAGCTGAGATCACACCACTACACTCCAGCCTGGGCAACAAAGCAAGACCCTGTTTAAAAAAAAAAAAAAAAAAAAATTGTAAAGCCACAAATATATTACACTCTCATTAGTAATCATATTGTTGGTGGTAATGTTGGTATTGCTATTCTAAGACAGTTATGCATATATTCTGGGACAGCAACTAAGTAATTATGTTGGTATTGTTGAGAACTTGGTACTGGGAGTTTTAGTGAGAGAGAAAGGGGAAATTTTGATTGTCTGTAAGATGGATGCAATTAAGAAAACCTTGTAGTCCTGAATAAGAATGGGAAATATTGGTATGAACTTGATGTATTCTCTCTCGCTCTCTTTCTTTCCCTCTCTCAGCCAATTTGTGCTGCTACAACAAAATATCTGAGAAATGTACAAGGAACAAAAATGTATTTCTGACAGTTCTGAAGGCTGGGAAGCCCAAGATCAAGGCACCAGCATTTAGTCTGGTGAGGACTTTCTCTCTGTGACTTTGCATGGCAGAATGCAGAAGGGCAAGGTCACCAAAGAAGGCATAAGGCTTCTTTCAAAAAGGCCTTAATCTCAATCATGAGGGAGCCGCCCTCATGGCCTAATCACCTCTCAAGGGAGCCACCTCTTAATACTATCACATTGGCAACACTTGAATTTTGAAGGGGACACTTTCAGACCACAGCTTGCTCTCGCTCTGTCTCATCTATCTATCTTAGTTTTAACCATCAAAAAGGCCTGGAACCAATTACCTGCTCAGCAGTACTGTTTCCCTAACACCTAGATTGTGGTCTTGAAATATTATTTCACACACACACACACACACACACACACACACACACACACACACACACAAACTAGGCTCATTTAGAGAAAAGGTTGGGTTCAGGCCTGGGACAGAAAATGTACAATGGGAGACTGGAACATCATGTCATACTTGGAAGCAAGGAAATTTCCAAGTGTTACTGAGTTTGTATCAAAAGGGCTCAGGAGACATTTTGAACAGCTTGTCTTGGCCAAAGAGGGAGTAATCTGATCATCAGAAGAATAATAACTGCAATGGATTGGGACAATGCAATATGTTTAGTCCATGAGTTCATAAGAATTCCCCCCCAAACTCATTGGCTCCCACTGAAGGATGCTAGGGAACTAACTCATTATTTTGACAACTGGTAAGTAAAGGAAAAGAATAAAACACGTATCCAGCCTTTATTATATGAAATAAACTTCTGGGTAAGCAAATAATTGATGAAAGGAAGTTTCTCTAAACAGGTGTATCCTAGCTAATAAATGAAGAAACGATAGAATGAGCATAGCACCATTTTGCAAACTCTATTAAATTAATGGAGTATTGTGCACGAGTGGCTGCTGACATCACAAAAAGAGGGACAAAACGTGCGTGCCTCCTGTGGGAAGGCGACACCCCCTATGAATGAGTCTTGTCACAAAAGTCAAACTTGATCCAATCGAGCCTTTAGTTCTAACTGCAGACTTACAGAAGACACAGAATACAGAAAAACATGTTGAACTCTACTAAAGGAATGCAACTGGCAAAGTACAAACTATAGGAAACTATATGACAAAGGATCTGGTTTCTTCAAGAAATAAATTGCAAATAAAAGAAGGAGATGGGGACCTGGGAGATAGAAGAGACCAGTGCTGACTGTAAGAGAATTCAAAGATTTATTAACGTTAATTATTTGGATTCCAGTTCTAACATCTGGAAAAAAAATTTATGAGATGATTGGAAAATCTGAATACAAACTGGATATTTGATGACAGTAAGAGACTATTGTTAATTGTTATTATGACAATGGTATTGTGGTTTTTTTTTTAAGAGTGACTTTAGTGGTATATATTGAAATATTTATGGGTGAAATGAATTTGTAAACCTGGGATTTGTTTCAAAATATTCTAGGAGGAGAAAATAGGTGGGGTCATGGATACCAACCTAGCAATGAGTTGATAATCGTTGCAACTGGGTGATGGATAGATGAGGGTCCACTATACCATTCTCTCTAGTTTTGTAAATATTTGGAATTTTTTGTGGTTAAGGTTGAAAAAGTGTGTCTGTGTGTGTATGTGTGTGTGCCTGCATTTATATAACTATATATAGAAAAGTTTTGGATGCCAATTTGCTTTACTTTTATAAATTATTTTACATTATAAAGTAATGCATATGTGATGTCATAAAATACAAAAATAAGTACATGAAATAAACATAACTGAACAAAAAAGAAAACAAGGAAAGTTCTTTTCCTAAGTCCTTCCTCTTCTCCCTCCCTCATCCCACTCTTAACAATTTGTTGTCCAATCGGACATATTTTTGTACCTTGCTAAATCTCTTTCTTTCTCCCCACCTCTCTGTGTCTATCATCTATTTATATATCTACCTACTTATGTATCCATCTACCCATCACTTTTTTTTTTTTTTTTACAAAAATGAGACTTTATATTTCCTAAGTCTCTTTTTTCTTCCAAGTGTGAAACTTAGAGAGCTTTCAGTATTACTAGGTAGGGCTGCGACTGTCTGTCTTCTGTGTAAAGCTGCACAGTACTCCACTGCATGGACTACACTGAAATGTTAACAATTGTTATTTGTGATGAGATTATGAGTAACTTAAGCTACTTTATTGGTGCCTATCTGTAGTTGGTCCACAATGACATGTATTTTTTGTAGAGTACTGTATTTAAAGGACCCCCTGCTATGGGAAGGAATTATGGATCTCCAGCACCCGGGTCTCAGAAGTTTGGGGTTTTCATAAATTGAGGCATTTCTGTATCTAAGTATAAATCCCTAATACAAGAGATCTCCTCAGAATGGGCTTTGGCCATAAAACCCAGATGGTGGCCCCAGCAGTGAGGGATCAGTGGCCTTCCAACTTGGGTCCCAATAAGGTTTATCATTAGAAGCTGCTCCTGAAGTCAGGGAGGTGCAAGGTTCAAGGAAATCTCTTGGCAGCAGCCAGGAGAGTATGAAAGCACACAAACACACACATACATGGACACACACACATACATACAGACATACACACCCAAAAAAACCATACAGACACACATGAACACACATGCACACACACACAGACACACACACAAACACACACACACACACACACACACACACACGAGACTGTCTTCCTAGACCTGCTGTAAAAGGGATGACTCAGCGTTATTTACAGGTTGCTTCTGGTCTAAACTCTGCATTGCTGAAGAAGAATTTGAAGAGTACCTGGATAGCACTGAGGCCATGGGCTGGCGTACCATGTTTGGGTCCTTGAACACATTCTGCAGAACATTCCAGGGCTTTCTGACAAAGGAGGAGAGGTGGTAGAGTAGGCTTAGATCCAAGTCTGGCTCAGGCACTTAGTACTGGGTACCACTGGGCAAATCACTTAGTCTCACAAAACTGAGATAATATTTACCTCACAGGGCTGTGGTATGAGTAAAATGGGATTATGAATGCACACCCTAGATCCTCCATAATCAGATTGATTAATAGATCACCCAGTAACAAAATTTTACCCTGCAGTGGGCCTATAACAAGCTTAGCTCAAAATTGATTTTGCATTTCTTACACATAGGGATTATTTTGTATTAAGACATTTCTCCCAATCACATCAGGTTAGAAGGGAATACAATGGAGGAGAATAACGTCAACCTAGCAGGGTTGGGTAGTGGGATCCTCTACGTAAAGGGATTAGCCCCTAGTACGTGCTCAGTAAGCTTAAGGTTCCTTCTGCAGCAGTATTGGTCAAGTTGGTCAAAGTCCAAACTGTGCAAGTTGTGGGTAGGACAGCATGTTCTTCTGTCACCCTCCCCTCACTGTAATTCCCAAAGCCTCCATTATGCGGGTGGTGGGGTGTGGGGTCTGCTCACTTTGCCTCTCTCTAGCTGCCCTCATCCCGCCCTCCTGATCCTCGTCCATTTCCTCAGGGGCCTGAGAAGACAGGTTAGGGAATCACATTAGTCTTGATAGGAATCAGGTGTTCATGGATGGTCCTCCCAGGTGACTTGCCTGCGGAGTCCAATGTGGGGATTGCAGGCAGGCTGATGGGAGAGAATTCTGGGAAAGGGTGCTGACACCAGCACACTGGAGGCCACACAAAGTCCAGTGGTGTCTCCTAGGTTTGTTTGCCTCTGTTAGACAGTAAGTGGGCAATTAGGAACGCTAAGGCATCATATTAAACAGCCTCCTGCTGCTCCCTCCTCTAGTGCCTTTAACCTCTGCTGACTTCATGCCCTTGAATCAGCTCTCACAGCCTGGTGGGATCCACTGGACTTGCAGACTTCATCTTCCTGGTCCTCTTCACATTCCGACTTGTGACCTCCTTCCTACTTAGAAACCCTCTTCCCTTGGCCTCTGGACTCTGCTGTTTTCTGGCTTTCCTTTGCTGCCCCAACTTGGACTTCTTGGAAGGTGCCTCTCTCCGTGCCCATTCCCCACATGCTGGGGTCCTCAGGGTTCATTCCGACCCTCTTCCCTTCTCTGGAGCGGGTGTGTGTGACATTCATTCTGTGCCCACAATCACTGATGACTTCCCAATCTACCTTGGCAGCCCCTGCCTCTCATTTCCAGATGGGCCACTAACTCAGGGGTCCTGGACACACCCAACTCCATATGTGCCACACAGAACACATCGTAGTGTGTCTGCCACTCGCTCCTTGCCTTGGAGGTTCACTACCCACTTGGCGGTCCAGGCTGTACTTTCACAGTGCCCTTGATTCCTCTCTCACTGCCTGCAAAGTCCTGTCAGCTCTACTTCCTGATGCTCTCACCTCCAGCCCCACCCAGGACCATCTGCCCTTGGCAAATGTCCACTCATTCTTCAAAAGTCAGCTCTGGCAGACACCTCTTCTGGAAAACTTGCCCTGCCTGCACCGGAGCCCCCACTATAGGACACTACGGGCGGCTTCCCCTCCTGTATGATAGAGAAATCTAGTCTGTTATTTTCTACAGCAGGCATTTAAATAGTTTCAAGTGAAAACCCCATAAAGTCAAAATCATCCTTGAAGATAACTTAAACAGCTCATCATTGGGACAGTGGCTATTTGTTTGGTTGAACACCCAGTGGGACAGTACTTTCCATTTAGGGTCTATAAGGTACAAAAAGACTAAAAACTATCCATATCTTTTTAACTCCAGAGATTCACACTGCAGCAGAGATGCTCGTATTGTGAGAGGCATGAGGAGACAGAAGACTACATTCCACTCAACCTGGGCTCAACTATGGCAGGGGTGTGGATGAAGGATGGGAGTGGTATTGTCTGCCTTAAATACTACCCTTCCTTTACCTTTTAAATGCTGAGCATGTAATTGAATTTGCCAAAGTTACATAGGTGAATGGCGGCCTCCTCTCTCTGGTAGCTTCTCTATCTTATCTCCCAGTTCTGAGCATCCAGAGGGCAGGGACATCATCTAACTCATTTCTGTAGCCCCAGAACCTAGTAGAGCATCCGTTCCTAGAAGAGACAGAGAGCGCTGACTGAACAGATAAGTCATAAAACTTTTCCTTGGACTTCTCCAGAGATGTGGAACTCCATAGAAAACGGAACAACCCATTCTGTCATCTGAACAAATAAAGTAGACCTACTGGTTCAAGGTCTCTATTAGCTTACCATGATTCTAACTGGAATTAATGACAGGAAGTAGAGTTCCCAAAGAAGAGCTGGTTGGCAGATAGTAATATTTCTTTGAAGCCTCTCTTGTGGTTGGACCCAACTCATTGATGGGCTTTGGATGGGTTTCAACAGCGGGTAGGCTTGCTCCTCTCTTCCCTAATCCAGGTCTAACAAGATGAGCCCCATTTAAAAAGGCAGGGCAGTTATCCTTTAAGTGAGCACAGTGACTCTTCACAGAAGGACTGATTTTAATAGCCCAGTGCAAGACCCCCTTTAAGGTACAGAATGATTCTGGCACATCAGTAAAGTGTTACACAAAACAGACGTTGAGTATTCAAAATCAAAGGCGTTTTTCATTCACGTGAAAAGGGATCAGTAAGCCGCATGAAAACTGGGGTGTGTAAAAGTCTCCAGGGCCTCTGTCCACAGCAGGAAAAGCTCAGAGCAGATTGGACACAGGGGGAGGCAACCTCAGCCGCCCGTAACTCAAGAGATAGAAGGCAGTGATCTTCCTGCACCGCCTGTTTCATGTGCGGGCTCCTGCTTCTGATCTTATGGCAGTTGCCTAATTGCCAATGACTGTTTCTGTGGACACGAGGGTCTGCTAAATGTGTAAGGCCTGCATTTTTCCAGGGGAGACTTTTTCCTTTGCACATAAGCCAAAGATTCCTTTATATACAAATTCCTTCTTATGTAGGTCATCGGATTCTTACGCGGGGAGCATTAATGCTGTGTTCAATGCACACAGCTGAATATGGACATTATATATAAAATCTGGTAATATGAGGCAGTGTGGATGCCGGATGGGAAGAACAACAATGTCATATGCATGTCTTCAATTTCTTTCACACATGAGACTGTACTCCCTAACTCAGTGCTAGGTAAATACTTTAAGCTGTTTTGTTTCTGAGAGTGGAGATGGCTTTACTTTCAGTCAACCACACCCTTTAACCCAGTCTCCATTGTAATCAAAAGTAAACATTTATAAATTTTTGAACAAAAATTTAAACTTACTACTCCAACAAAGATGAAACCCTACCCTTAGCATGAGAGGCTGCCCCACTTAGGTAACCAATCACATAGCTGGATTGAACTTAATCTAAAAAGAGGAAAAAATGCCACTATACAGGGATGGAAATTAAGTTTCATAAGAAAGCCATTTCCAAGTAATCATGATGATAGCTGGTACTTATTGAGCATTTGTTATGTGCTCAATTGATTGATTCAATTAACCTATGAGTAGGTACTATTATTATTATGGGAGACAGGGTCTTGCTCTATTGCCCAGGCTAGAGTGCAGTGGCATGATCATAGCTCACTGCAGCCTCAAAGTCCTGGACTCAAGTGATCCTCCCACCCTCAGCCTCTTGAGGAGCTGGTACAACAAGCATATACCACCATGCCTGGCTAATTAAAAAACAAAAAATGTGTGGCCGGGCACGGTGGCTCACGCCTGTAATCCCAGCACTTTGGGAGGCCGAGGCGGGCCAATCACGAGGTCAGGAGATCGAGACCATCCAGGCTAACATGGTGAAACCCTGTTTCTACTAAAAATACAAAAAATTAGCTGGGCGTGGTGGCAGGCGCCTGTAGTCCCAGCTACTCGGGAGGCTGAGGCAGGAGAATGGCATGAACCCAGGAGGCAGAGCTTGCAGTGAGCCGAGATCGTGCCACTGCACTCCAGCCTGGGTGACAGAGCAAGACTCTGTCTCAAAAAAAAAAAAAAAAAATTTGTAGATGAAGGGTCTTGCTATGTTGCTCAGGCTGATCTTGAACTCCTGGGTCCAAGTGATCCTCTTACCTTGGCCTCCCAAAGTGCTGGGATTACAGGCATGAGCCACCATACTGGGCCAGTAGGTACGATTACCTCATTTTTACAGACAGGAAACTGAGGCAAAATAATCTGCCAGAGATCATAGAAGTCAGTAGGTTGTGGAGGTAGGATTTGAAGGCAGTCGATTTGATCGCAGAGTTCTTGCTCTCGACCACAGCATGCTCCTGACTCGCAGCTGATGGGTTGTGGCTGTCAGAGCTTGGTGTTCAAGAGTCTGAGATCAAATTCAGGTTTAGCACAATAGACTGGCATGAGCTAGATTAGGGAGCCACCGAGAATGGGAGCACATATATGTGTATTTGCCATCTCTGACTTTATTTAAATGAAAAAGTCCTATGACATCTGTACTATCAGAACTGTGCCTGTCTCATAATCTCTATAAATATTTACTCCTGGATTTTTGTAACATCTGACACTGAATAAGGTAATTAGAATAACTCTCCCTGCAGGCAGAGCAGGTAGTAAATCACAAACAGCCTCCTGTTTCATTGTCTGGACCGATGTTTCCATATTTCAGGTCCTGACAGATTATAGACATCCTTGGGACATGCAAGACCCAGAGTAACGATGAAGGAAACCTACCCGTAACTCACAAAGAGAGTTGTCGATGCTGAGATTTCTGTGCTGGGGACCCAGCCCTATTGCTGTCATATTAAAATGCAAGCAGGACTTTAGCTTGTGTGGAAGAGGGCCCTCCCTAGGACTTTCAAGCCCATTTGCTCCCACAGGGCCATTCAAGGCAGAATTTTCAGCGTTGGGGTGAACTGGGAGCTGAACAGTCCCTGCCACATGGCAGGCGGGCAGATGCAAGGCTGAGGGGTGATTGAGTAAATGATGAAAATCAGCATATGTCCTTGACAAAAACCAAAAATAGGCTAGATCTAGGACAAAATCAAGCTGGGGGCAAATGTGAATGACAACGGAGATTATGATTGATCTTATTTTTATGACTATAACATTACCAACAGATCTATAAAAGTACAGTGTACAACAGGAATGAAACTTATTTAACTTAATGACCAACAAATGATTGACAGCAGCTTGATCTGATGCCATGACAACTGATACATGAAGAAAAAACAAGGGTTTGCATTCATGTTCACATTTGTTAATACAGTCCCTCAATTATCCAGAAGCAGATTGGCTATCAGTTTCCTGAGGACAAAGCTGCAAAAGATTTGCTGAGACTGTTCTCAATTGCTCTGGAATTTAAAACACTTTCATACACATTGTCTAGTTCAGTGGTTCTAAACTGGGGGTGATTTTTCCCGGCAGGGAATGTTGGGCGATGTCTGGAGACATTTTTAATTGTCATGATTAGGGTACATTACTGGCATCTAGTGGGTGGCAGCCAGGCATGTTGCTGAACATCCCACAATGCACAGGACAGCCCCACAACAGAGAATTAGCCAGCCCCAAATGTGAGTAGTGCCAAGCTTGAGAAACTGGCCTAGTTTGAAGTTTACACATACAAAGAAAGAAAAGCGAATCTCTATCAAGTGTGTAGCATGGGGTAGGCCCTGTTCTAAGTGCCTCACTTGAATTAACTCATTTATTAATCACAGCAAACCTATGGGGTAAGTACTATTCTTACTCCTGTGTAAGCCCGCATAGGTCATTAGGTGGGGAGGTATTATATACCCACTGAACAGATTAGAAAGTTGAGACTCAGCTTATTAGTGGAAGCACCTTGGCTCCTTCTTTGTTGATAATACCACTGCCAACTCATTTTTAGGACAGCAGCCCTAAGGCTGGTCATACTCTAAAGCAAGCTTGTCCAACCGGCAGCCCATGGGCCACATGTAGCCCAACACAAATTCATAAACTTTCTCAAAACGTTATGAGATTTTTTTTTTTTTTTGAGATGGAGTCTTGCTTTGTCACCCAGGCTGGAGTGCAGTGGCCCAATATCAGCTCACTACAACCTCCACCTCCTGGGTTCAAGAGATTCTCCTGCCTCAGCCTCCTGAGTAGCTAGGATTACAGGCACGTGCCGCCATGCCCGGCTAAGTTTTGTATTTTTAGTAGAGATGGGGTTTCGCCATGTTGGTCAGGCTGGTCTTGAACTCCCAACCTTGTGATCCGCCCGCCTTGGCCTCCCAAAGTGCTGGGATTACAGGCGTGAGCCACTGCGCCGAGCTGTGATTTTTTTTTTTTAAAGCTCATCAGATATCCTTAGTTTATTTTATATGTGGCCCAAGACAATTCTTTCAATGTGGCTCAGGGAAGCCAAAGGTTGGACACCCCTGCAAAGAGAGCTGAAAAATCCCAGCACCAAACCACCCCTGCAGGTGCCAAGGAAGCTGTGCAGCACCCAGAGCGTCTCTGCTGACTTCAGGGCTTTGCTGTGGGAGAGGCGATGCTGTCCCATCCCTTCAAGGACTTGGACAGCAGACTGACATGACCAGTTGAGATAGGAAGAGAAACCGTGGCCTTCCAAGCACTCACTTAGGCCCCCTTTGAAGTGGGATATCTTTATGGGAGTAGCAGGGAGTGGAGAGGAAGCTAGAGGGAGAAAGCGGAAACCTCCAGACCCAGATTGCTGAGCCTCTCCAGCAGATTTTCTGAGCAGGTTTGGGGAGGGGCCTGAGAATGTGCATTTCTATCAAGTTTCCAGGTGATGCTGATGTTGCTGGTTCAGCGACCAAACTTTGAATACTAGTGGCCTAGAGGCATCCCAGTTGAGTGTGGCTAACCACCCCCCCCACTCCAAAGATCTGTCATTACTTAGCCAGAAAAGACATTATTATTCCACTTTCTTCAAATACAGTGTTCCTAGGAGTCACTATTTGAAGTACAGCAAACTCACCAAACCACCATGCAAGCTATATTAAAAATGTGCCTGCAAACTTCATCCCAGCATCCAATACAAAAGATGTTGAATTCATCATGTTTTAATTGATTCACATCACACCTTGCCTCCATTAATGTGGATGACTGGGAGTTAGCCAGACTTAAAATTTATTATGCATGGAACGAGAGCTATTACCTGACCTTGAAAAATACTTTGAGCATGGTGTGAGATGTTAGACTTGTGAGTAAAAATGTGAGTGTCTGGTTGTGCTGAGATTTTCTGCCGTGACATCCTGATCAAGACTGATTTGCTGAAGCAAATCTCTTCACTGCTTCTGAAGCCTCTTTCTAAAACTCAAACTGGTAGCTTGGCATTAGTAATCTATATACTTCTAGATTGCTACTACTTTTTCCCCCCATTTAAAACTGCCTTTTTAAAGCTTGGCATTAATTTCCCACTAATCTTGGCCCTGTGGGCTGAAGTAGTAAAAATCAACTTTTGGTCAACAAATGAAATAAACTGTTTTCAAGACACATATGGAGTAAATATGGATGGTAAAGAGGTGCTACTTTTACAGTCACTTTTCTGATCATCCGTTTCACAATGGAATTATTTACAGGTCTCTCCGAAACTGGCTCCTCTATTACTCAGACGGCGGAGAACGGATGGGCCCAGCCACCAGCCCTAATGTGCTCACCCTCATGTGGTTCATTACTGCAAATAAAGGTGTTAGCCAAAATGCTCTGAAGCAGCTGAAAACTATCCCATTATGTAGCACCCAATCAAGGACTTCTGTGTTTTTTTCAATCCTTTACTTGACTCTCACCACATGGAAGCATTTTGAGAACGTTCTGTGGGTTTCATGAAACCATTCTGGGACTCCCGCGCCGACGACAGGCCTCACTTTGATGTCAGTGCTAAAATGGTTGTTCCAGGGAAGTGTGCTCACTAAGTCCACCACCTTCCTTCCGCCCATCATTGTTAAACAGGGCAGCTTTCACAAATCGCTTTTGCAAAATCCTATGGGTTCTGCACTTGGTCCTAGTTTCCAAACTCTCTTCGAAAGGAAACTCAGGGTTTGCCTTTCCTAACCCTTGCCTGATGAAGTTGTACAGTTGTACACTGCCAGTCCTGGCAGTGCTGTTAATAAGGTGTATGATATGATTACTGGTTATCATCAATGAAGGCAATAACAAACATTTGTGAACACCTCTTTTGTGCCAGGCACTGTGGTAAGCCCTTTAGATGCGTTATCTCATTTAATCTTAAAAATAGCCCCAGGTGTTGGTACTATTATATTCCCTATTTTGAAGATGGGAAAACTAAAAGAACACAATATGTTATATTTGGAGTGACATATCTATTATGTGAAGAGACTGAAACACAGGTTTAGAGCTTGTATTCTTAAACTCTTAAGTCACCTGGTAAAGATTAAAAAAACTTATTAAACAATGATGTACATTCAGAAAGGTAAAAAGTCCTCAGTGAATATGGCTTAATGCATTTTCATAAAATGAACACACCCATGTAATCAGCACTCAGGTCAAAAAAATATTACCAGCATCCTAGAAGCCCCACTCTTGCACCTCTTAGCCATTAGCCACCCCACTCTGCACAGGGAAATCTTATGACTGTTCATATTATATCTTAATTTTGCCTATTTTTGAGCTTTAAAGGAATTGATATGTTTCTTTTGGGATTAACTTTATTTATTTACTTTTTTTTGAGACGGAGTCTCACTCTGTCGCCCAGGCTGGAGTGCAGTGGCGCAATCTCAGCTCACTGCAACTTTCGCCTCCCAGGTTCAAGCAATTCTCTTGCCTCAGCCTCCCGAGTAGCTGGGACTACAGGTGCCCACCACCATTCCTGGCTAATGTTTGTATTTTTAGTAGAGACAGGGTTTCACCATGTTCGTCAGGCTGGTCTTGAACTCCTGACGTCAGGTGATCCACCCACCTCTGGCCTCCCAAAGTGCTGGGATTACAGGCATGAGCCACCACACCCCATCTGGGCTTAAATTGTTTTGCCCTATATTATATTTGTGAGATTACCTATGATATTATAGGTAGCAGCAGCTCATTTTTCATTGCTGTATAGTATTCCATTGTATCACTGTATTCATCCATTCTCACACTGCTATAAAGATACTACTCAAGACTGGGTAATTTACAAAGGAAAGAGGTTTAATTGACTCACAGTTCTGCATGCCTGTGGAGTCCTCAGGAAACTTAAAATCATGGTAGAAGGGGAAGAAGACGAGTCTTAACACGGAGCAGGCAAGAGAGAGAGTGGGAGAGCAAAGAAAAAAATTACCATTTATAAAACCATCAGATCTCGTGAGAATTCACTCACTATCACGAGAACAGCATTGGGGAAACCGCCCCCATAATCCAATCACTTCCTTCCCTCAACACGTGGGGGTTACACATCCCTCCCTTGACACGTGCGGATTCCAATTCGAGATGAGATTTGGGTGGGGCATAACAGCCAAGCCATATCAATGACCATCCCACAATTTATTCTGTTGTTAATAGGCAGGGATTATTTACAACCTGGGCTACTATAAATAATGCTGCTAGAAACATTTTTGTACACACATACTGATAACACACTCATATTTCTGCTGGCCCACACCTAGGAATGGAATTGCTGAGTATGTTTAGCTTTAATAGATACTGCCAAGTTCCATCCGTGCTGTTATGAATTGGCAAATGTCTTCAGGGGTATGATGGACTGAACTGTGTGTCCCCAAATTCACATGTTGCAGCCCTAGCCCGCAGCATGATCCCATTTGGAGATAGGGCCCTTAAGAGAATAATTAAGGTTGAATGAAGACATATGAGTGGGACCCTGATCCAACAGGACTGGCATCCTAAAAAGTGACACCTGAGCTCACTCACATGCTCCCTTATTGTGTGCCAAGGAAAGGCCACGTGAGGCTGCAGTGAGAAGGTGGCCACAAGCAGCCAGGAAGAGAGGCCCACTAGACCTAACCCTGTGCACATCTTTTGTCTTGGACTTTTGAGCCTCTTGAAATGTGAGAAAATACATCTCTGTCGTTTAAATCCACCCAGTCAGTGATTTCACATTTTATTAGCTGGAGCTGGCAAATCCAGAAGAGTTGTGAAGAAGCTGAGCTCACTTCAATGTACTTCCTTTCTATATGGGATCTTGACCTCTCTGATCCTGGCATCTGGGCAATTTTGTGCCCACAGTCTTGTCTCCCCAGCCCTTTGATTCTGTCAAAGCTCATGTCAGGGTCACAGCCTCTTCAATGGCTTTGGTGTGGCTTTTCAGCCTCATCCTGTGCCACTTCCAGCCTCGCAAAAGACTGGAGGGAAAAAAGTGCTTTGAGGGTGGTCTGTAAAAGGTTACTCTATCATTACTGGAAAAGAAAATCTAATTATTTATAAACAACTCTTTAAATAAAGTTTAAATAAACTCTTTAAATAAAAAATAACTATTAAAGTTATTTGTAAGTTAATTGTTTTTAACTTACAAATAAATAAAACCGTAGTGGGACTAGCTTACCAAATCTGGCTGCTTTTTTTTTTTTTTTTTCCCTAGAGATGGGGTCTTGCTGTGTTGCCCAGGATGGTCTCAAACTCGTAGGCTGAAATGACCTTCTCGCCTCAGCCTCCTGAGTAGCTGGAACTACAAGTGCCTGCTACCATGCCTGGTGTCTGGCTGCTTTTCATTAAAGTATTTCTCAGAGTCAAATAGCTATTCAAATGTGGCAGTTGCTAATTTTTGAGATATCAATCTGATAGAATTTTTTCCTTTAAGGATGTCTCGACTTGAAAACCCATACTTTCTAGATCTTGTAAACTTAGAATTTCCTAGACACTTAGAAAGGTGACTCCCTCAGAAAGATTAGACTGGCTTGGAATGGTTTCCTGAGAAGGATGTTCATTTATAAAAGATACAACCATTCAAGGGCATCTGAATTTTTTTAAAAACTATCACTTTTGGTGACTGAAAAATATATAATCACAGATAAAACCAGAACAAAGCCCTGCATGTGAGAATGCCTGGTCCCAAGGCCCTTGCTGTCCCCCTTGTTAGCAGTGAGGCTCTGGGGAGTCACTTAGCTACTCAGGGCGTCAGTTTCTTCATGTATAAAGGGCATACTCACACTTGTGAAGTGTTTCCAAATCTTCAGAGCACTGTTGGCTGCTTTGCCCTGGGCACTCCCTCAGCACTGCCGAGGTTAATCCTCAGCACTGACTGCAGGGCAGTGCTCCATGACCAGCACATATATCTTGGCCTCCTCCACTGGACTATGTCCTCGGTCAGGCAGAGGCCCTGTCCTGTTCTTTTATCCTTAGTCCAGTGCCTTGTACGTGGCAGGTACTGAATGATGAACGATGAAGTCCTCCTGCCAGCACCCAGCACACTGCCTTTAACTCTTCCAGCCTGACCCTCTGAGTGTTCACTGAAATGGTGTGTCCCACACTGCAGGGCAAATGGATTTGGGAAGTGGATTTGCTACACGATGTGAGATAATCAGGATCACCCTAGAAAACTCCTTAAAAAGCCCACAAAGTACAGTATGATTGTACATTTAATCCAGTACGGCAATCCTTATGTACCATCAGTTTTGAGAACTATAAGCTAGGTTAAAAAAAGGAATTGGCATAGCAAAGATCTGAACATTCAAACTCCTTTTTGAAATACCTGTTGAAATACATATTGAGGCCAGGCGCAGTGGCTTACACTTGAGATCCCCGCACTTTGGGAGGCCGAGGCGGGCGGATCACTTGAGCTCAGGAGTTCAAGACCAGCCTGGGCAACATCGAAACTCCATCTCTACCAAAAATACAAAAATTAGCTGGGTGTGGTGGCATGCGCCTGTAGTCCCAACAACTCAGGAGGCTGAGGTGGGAGGATAGCCTGAGCCCGGGAGATTGAGGCTGCGGTGAGCCGTGATCTTGCCACTGCACTCCAGCCTTGGTGACAGAGTGAGAGACCCTGTCTCAAAAGAAAAAAAAAAGAAAAAAGAATACCTATTGAGTCCCTGCCATGAGGGCTGAGGAAGGCCTGCTCACCTGCAGTGTCTTTCATTCTGCTTTCACTGATACCGCTATGACTGTTATACCCACGTGTGTTAGAAATTTTTTATTGTGAAGAAAAAGAAGAAGTGAGGTTGAGTTCTCAAGTCAATGACTAGCCTCGGTCCCTGGAACATCCCTCTTTTGAAACCCAGTACACATTAGCTTGGGATCTTTAAGGGCTTTGAAAAAGTCCTGTGGAATGTTTAACTTGGTTACCCCGTTTCTCAACCTTAGTTTGACATAGGAGCTTGATTCTTGTTGGTATATAATACCTATTAATATTCTGTTGAACATCTTCAGTGTGACATGCTGGGAATGAAGGCTTAGGCCATTACTCAAAGTGTTTCTGACTCTGATTTTACAAACAATCCTTAACACAAATGTTTATCTGGCTTTGGGGCAGCAGTTGAGAACAAATTAGAAATGAGTAAGGAAGTCTGTCAGATTAAAAATGAAATGGACAGCTAGCATCCTGGCAGGCATGGAAGGGACAGAGCATGACAAAGCAGCCACGGGGTTAGATTCAGATATTTAACGAATAGTATTGCATGGTACAATCATGCAGGTTTAAAATAATAGCAATTGAGTCCATAGGAGAAGACGACATTCTTGCTTGACAAGGTAGGAACAAATTCATTATATTTCACCAAGACTAAAATTACAAAGTTTGGGTGTGTAAAGGCAAGATTTAATTGTTGGGAAAATTTATCCGAGCCAGCCACCACGACAAAAGCCAGGCTGACCAAATCAAATGGATTCTTTACATCCTCCAAGTTTCAGAAGAATCTTGAATATGGTTAGCCAGAAGATATGGTAAATTTGACCCCAAACATTTGCTTGAAGGAGTAAGGTCTTCTAATGAGTGAATGTCAAGAGATCAGCACATAAGTAATAGCTTATTTATCCTTTAGGTCACATCCATCTGTGAATCAAGCAGCCTTGCAGTCCACATGGTCAGCATCTCTCCCATGGCTCGAGGCTCAATGATCAAGGTTGTTTAGCCAGTCTTAGAGTATATAAAAAGCCTCTCCATTTTTTTTTGGTTGTTTTAGAGAGAGAATACGCAAGGGAATTCTTCACAGGAGGAGACGTAGTCCTAAATCCCTTCTGCTTTCCGTTGCATTGGATGTATCACTTGTTCTCTTTAATAATCATTTTTTCCATCCTCATTCATTGTACTTGGACAGTTTTAACCTGGGGATGATGTTCATAGACTGTAGTTCCTGGAAGAGCAGCTTGCAGGCATACGGAATACGGAGGGAAGACACGTGGCAGGATGACTTGCAGTAATGGCACCTGAAACGCAAGTCAGCAAGCGTTAGACAGACAGCAACTCGGAAACAAAGGCCTCCACGTAGGAAGTGAGAATGGTCTCTATAAAGTTCTATTATCATTCTATCAAATTATCTTTCTATTCCTAAGTGTTCAGTTGCACTATCATATAAGTACGTATGTGCCCAGAAAAAAAGAAACATCCAAGGAAGCAAAAGAAAAGAGGAAACAAACACCATTCCCTCCAGTGTTTAAAGCATGCAAGTTGAGTCAGTTGTTACCACACATCCAGCCCTTTCTCCTTAAAATGTAAAACATTTGCCAATATACTGTTTTGAAAGAGCTCCAGAAATCTGAACCATTGGGAAATTTACTCAGATTTAAATTTTTTTCATTGTTTAAAGAGTTTTAAACCAATTCAATCAATCTCCATGTATTTGATAAGCATCAACTATACTAGCAGTATATTATTCTAGGCAAGGCGCTCAACAATTATAACTTGATTTCTGTCACTGAGATACGTAAAGTCTGATGGAAAAGACAAGACTTTTGAATAGGACAGTGGTATTCAATCAAATGGTAACTTGTCTAGTGCTCTTCAGGCTTGGTGATTTCTATGAGTGTTGGAGGTACTATACTTACAACATGTTGTCCCTTGTGCAAAACTAAGAAATGTGTGTATGTGTGCATGTGCACATATGTTCCCACTTAACCCTAGCAACAACAGTCCATGTTCCTAACCACTTTGCCTCATATTCCAATTAGGACTTTAATTTCTCTTCTTTCCGGAAGAGCTGGTAAACTGAACTTAGTTCTTAATCAATGGCTACAACTGTAGAAGGGTCCCTGGGGAGAAAGTGAATTATTCTTTCAGGTTTCAGACCAAAATACAACCTTACCCTACACCTCAAGGGTCTGCAGCAGCTAGGACAGTAGGTATCCAGTACAAATCCTGACTCTTAACAGGTAGAAAACTAGGTCCTCACAGTTAACGAGGAGGAAAATGAGTCCAAGAAGAATAGCAACTGAGGCTTGGAAGATCGGGTGCTGACCAGGAATTGAAGGGGGATTCCTTAGTGAACAAAGGATTGGCCATTCTGGAGGGCAGTAAGACAGTGTGTGTAAAAACTGTAAATGTGCATATTCTTTGATTTTGTAATCCCAAAAGTGGCAAAGGTATGTGCACAAGAATGCTGACAGCCACACTATTTATAACAGCATAAGGTGAGAATATGCAAATGTCCACTGGGACATTTAGATAGAAGAAGACTGTGAAGCCATTAGACCTGCTGTTGTGGACACACATTTATTGAAATGGAAGGTGTATAGGACAAACTGTGAGGTGAAAAAAGCAGTTTGTTGATCAGCATGGTCCCAAGGGGGCCCTCAAACAAGTTTTGTAAGTGTATGGAGCCCCCAAAATCATACGTAAAATTTTAAGTTTTTTGTGTGTATATTTGTATTTTTCTGCCCTTATCAGAATCTTGAAAGAGTCACCAAAATGTTAATAGTGGTCATCTCTGGGTGGTGGGAATTAATGTGACTCACTTTATATTTGTGGTAACTTTTGAATGTTTTACAATGAGCAGGGATCATTTTTGCAATCAGTAAAATAAAGCTTGTATTATTTTAGAAAAGAAAAGCAAGAACTGAGGCTGAGAATGTGCACGTGGTGGTGGTAACTATGCAGACAGAGTTTCCTGAGGAGGAGAATGGGAGAAGACTAACCCTCACAAATGCACAGTTGATGTTATGATGAGGGGACGCAGGGTGCTTAACCTGTATTTGATCCGTTAACAGTACAAATACAAACTTGGTGAGTTACTTTTTCTTAAAAGATTATCTAAAGACCTATTTAATGCATTCGAGTTCAAAAATTACGTTTTTAATGTGCTTGGGTTGATGTAATTTATCTAGGAATCATGTTCATGCTTTCATTAAATTGGGGAAATGCATTTAACGGGGGTACCTTTCGCTTCTTCTCCTGACTAGTACATTACCCAATGACTCCGATCCAAGCTAATCTATTTTAAATTTCCATATGTACTGATTCATATTCCAGAAAGCCCTTTAATCTTCTCTATTATTAAATACTTCTCCATCATTTAAAATGTTCCAACGTGCATGTGTGTGTATAAAACCTTACCTTACCTTGTATCTGAACAATTTGCAAAGGTAGAAACTTGACGTGAACAACAATAAAATGAACGGCTTTTTTAGGGCAAAGGTAGCAAAAAGGGGAGGCTGTGGCTTCACACGAGAAATGACTGTCCAGTGAAACATCCTCTATGAGCTAATTACCTTAATAGGGATTTTCTTCTTCCTGAAGTCTTCCTTTTGGACCTCTCTTTTGTGACTTATGCCCTTAGTGTCTTCTGTAGAACAACAGTCGTGCTGTAAACATCCCCATAGCAATGCCTCACTAATGTGCAAATCCCTGACAAAAGGCCAGTTTCAAGGTTCCGAACTGCTCTAATTACCTAGCCTTCATTGTGTGGCTCATTAAAGAGCGACTTCCTCCAACGACGCCCATGCTCCCTCCCACTCAACCCAGCACACATGATCAGGTAATGATGGGAAAAATGACAGCATCATTACGCTCCTCGGCCAGAAAGCAGCACCCGAGGCAGCGGCTAGACTACTAGAATGGATTAGGATTTTTTTCTGTTGGCAACAAGGGTATAAGTAGGCCACTCAAAATCAGACATACAGTATATATTGAGGTCTGTTTAATTACAGTAAAGACCCTCAAACTGTATAACCTGATTTAGTCCTCTTTCAAAGGATTTCAAATACAATACACACGGAATACATACGCTTCAAAATCAGACACTGCCATCAGATGCTCTCTAAATGAGACAGAAATGAAGCAGGAAAGAAGATATACATTTAGCAGAATAATGCTGAAGGATCAATCGCTGCTTACAGGTCTTCTTGCTTACATTACCTTCCCTGGGTAACCAGTGGCGGAGAGGGGAAGGTTTTCAAAGCACATAAGTGAATCGGGTTGACTGTTTTCTTTTTTCTCCGGGGGTGGGGAGAGGGAGGAAGAATGCAAGGGGGAGGAAGAGAAAAGGAAACTCTTTTTGAAGTTCCATGACCTCTATTTTTAATGACGTGATTCTTCTGTACCATCCTTTCGAAGTAAATTATTTAAAAATCCTTGTGTCAAATTTGAAGATTTAAGCATAGTGGAACTAGGATCCAGGCATCTTCCTATTACATGATTTCTTTTCTTTTTTTTCTTTTTGGTTGCACAGCCCAGACTATAAAAAGCAAGCTCAATATGCATTTCAAAAGACAAATAGACATCTCAGGACTGAAGCAAACCCCCATCTCATTCATATAAGAAAGAGCTAGGCTTATCCTTGGAATCATGTCACCTCTGCAACCTTATGAAAGATGAACCGCAAATGGCCACCTCTTCTGTTAGTTTTTAAAGTGAAATGATCTCCTTACAGACGAGAGTCTTCACCAAAATCATGAAATAACTGGCCAGAAAGTTTTGACATTTATCTGGCAAGGGATACACTGCGTTTTAAGGAGCCCACTTGTTCAACTTGTGATTGGCTTTTTTCAACTTAGAAATTAGTAGCTCAGGATGGCAAGAAGTTGAGGCTCTGTCTGGAAGGAAACTACGATGGGGACTCAATGGGGAAAAGGTGGCCCACAAATTCCTCAAACCCCAGCAATGAATGCTATTTGGGCCTAACTCTATCTTGGGGATGGCCCCTATCTAGAGAAAAGGCACTCTGGGGAGGGCAGGTGAGGGGCAATGAGGGGGTGAGGCTGGAAGCTCTGTAGCTTGTGTCTTAGATCTTGTTGGACCTTGCCTCTGCTTGAAAAGTAAGTAAAGAACTCACTTTTGGCTGGGCATGGTAGCTCATGCCTATAAATCCCAGCACTTTGGGAGGGATCACTTGAGCCCAGGAGTTTGAGACAAGCCTGGGCAATATGGTGAAACCCTGTCTCTACAAAACATACAAAAGTTAGTCAGGCGTGGTGGTGTGAGCCTGAAGTCCCAGCTACTCAGGGGACTGAGGTGAGAGGATCGCTTGAGCCTGGGAGGTTGAGGCTGCAGTGAGCCGAGATCACACCACCGCACTGCAGCCTGGGTGACAGAGTGAGACTCTGTCTTGAAACAAACAAAAACCAAAAACAAAATAAAAAACCCCTTGCTTTTGGGGAACTATGGATTCTCTTGCCTACAGGAGTGTTTTAGGAATAACCCTAAGTGAGCTTTTTCTTCTCTGGTGAGAGTGGAATCATTACAAATAGGAAAGGTGGTGCAACTGCACAAAAACAAAAAACATCCAGCATCATCTTTTAAGGTGACCTTTGTGTACCAAATGCTACACAGAAATTATAAACTTTACAAATGACATGATTTACTTATTGGCAATCCTACAAATGCAGGGTATCATTCAACCAGTATTTTTTTATGAAGCATCTACCAGGTCCCAGGCTGGAGAAATGAGGGTAAACATGACAGGATGCAATCAGAATGAACTAGAAGATAAGCTCCTTGGGAGCAGCCATCCACTGTCTTGTTCACTGCTGCATTTCTAGGGCCTAGAACAGTGTCTGACACTTAGCAGATACTTACTACATGTTTGCTGAATAAATTACTGAGACAGACCCGGTTTCTGCCCTCACAGAATCTACAGTACAAGTGTGAAGCAGCTAGCCATGGCAGAGAGAGTACAGACAAGGGGGCAGGGTACCAGGTCGTCTTGGTCTTGGCTCTTGGCTCTGTCACCAATTTGCTATAAGACCTGGGGCAGCATCCCTGGCTCTTTGGGTCTGAAGTTACAAATGAAAGCATTCGATGTAATCTTCCCTAAAGAGTTTCTTTAACACACTGCGATTCTAACACCCGACAATGCATCTGTAGGATTTTCACAGGCAAATAGTGTTATAAAAAGTACCTGAGAGAATATTTAAAAGGAGGTAAAGTTTGTACTCCTTGGGAGCTTAGCCTCTAGTTGTGTAGGAAGTAGATCATGATGTAGACAAATGAGACATGTACACAGAGTATCCCCAATGACAGGAATACATGCATGAGGGAGGGTATGTTAGTGATCACAGACAGAGGCTGGAGAATATGCGGATAGGATCCAGGGTCAATTCTTGAGCTGTGATTTAAGAGGCAAGGGGTGTGGTATGGGAGACATATGGTATCCACTTACCAGCCAGAATACCCCAGAAGTCCACACTGCCCACAGACATCAACCTCAAAGGCATCACTTGAAATCATTAGTCTCTCTAGCAAAAGCATACTGGCTCCATAACCGATTAAACAGTCACGTTCCATTTCCCCGAGACGCAAGCCACCATCACGAGACCGTCCTTCAGTGGGTTGCCTTTGAAACAAGTTATTAGACAAATGTGTTATTATTCTGTTAAACAAACAAAGAGGTAGCATCACATGCTGGCAGAGAGCACGAGGCTTTGGAGCAGGGCTCATCTGGATCCAAATCAATAACTGGACAGGGACCTTGGACACGCTGCTTAGCCTCATTTGTAAAAGTGCATAAGCACACCTATCCCAAAGAGCCTCAATTGAGAAAAGATGTAATATTGATGGTTGTTATGGTTAAATGAATATATAATTGCATAATATCATATGATGTAATAACATATTAATATATAATCACAGAAAACACCATTACTATTACCATCACTATCATTATTATTAGGACAGCAGAGTTTTCAAATCAGGAAACAATGTCTTTAAGTATTTTCAAAGAGTCTCAGTATTCTATTATTTAAAAGCAGAAAAACTAAGCAGAATAGACTGTGGGGGAAACCTGGATCCTCCAGTAGCTGCTGCCAGAGCTGTTAGCCTCTTGAATGGATTCCCTGTGGTTTATATGCTGGGCTTGAGAATACTTTAAGAGGTTAAGAATACAGGACCCAGAGGTGTAGCTAAAATTAGGGGGATCTGAACAATTTAGGCAACCCCATGTAGGCATGGATCACACAAATTATTTGGGGGGAAAAAAAAGCAAGCTCCCTGGCAGGCTTCTTAAAGGTAATCTTTGAGCAGGGGTGACCATACACCCCTTGTTTGCTGTATTCCATAGCATCTTTTAATCTTTGTTGTTGCTGCCAGTCTCCCAAAGAATTAAGAAGGTGAACACAGGGTATGCCAACACATACTGAAATTTTAAGATTTTTTTAAATTGTTGTGGTTGAGTTTCAATGTGAAATCAAAGAAGTTGTAGATTACTTGTTGAAAGGAAATATACACATGAATAACTTACAAATACGTCTAAATAAACACATTATAGTGGAAACTTCATAACTGAGCACATCTATACATTTTTATCTGCCGGTAGAAACACAAATGGGTAGTTGCTCCCTTCACTTGAGGTCAGTGAACGAGGTAAAGGTAGACAGACCACATGTGGACAGAATCCAATACTTGGATTTTAACCAACTAAGATAACCAACTACAGACAAACGCACTCGAGGCAGTCTTCATATGGAAGAGACAAAAGTTACCAAAGTAATAACTTTTTCTACACAACAAAGCAAAATATAGGAAATAACTGCTTTGACATTTATGTTACTCTGAAATAGTTTTTGGATGTTGTAACTGAAATGGAAGTTTAGGAGGGGACAGCATTTAGGGGAGAAACACATCTAACCCAATTACGGTACCATTGCTGAGGTGATTATTGTCTTGAGAATCAACTTCTCTTCCCTCTTTGCAGTTTTAAGCACACATATGTCTATCATTTCAACAGACACGTGCATGTGCTCAGTTTTAAATGGTCAAAGAATTGAGTCAACTACACCTCTCCCTTGGCTTAAAAAAAAAATGAAACCCCAAGCATGAGCTGCCTCATCCTTGCCCCTTCTCTACATTGTTACATCCAGGCAGTGCTCAGTGAAAGTGGGGAGGGAACTGGATGCTTGCTGATGCCACCTGTGGATGGGTGCTGTACACATTCTGTATTCACACTCTTGACATTCACTGGCACCTGTTAAGTAGGTACTATTGTCTCCACTTTAAATATGAGAAATGCTTAAGCTGTGAGTTTCATCAGACTGTGGTCATCAGTGATCTGTCTAAGGCTTGTGACGGAATGAAAAGGTGGAGATGAGATCACAGCCTTGTCTGTCTGACTCCAAGGCCTGGGTTCCCTCCCCTAGCCCAGGGTTCCTCAACCTCGGCACCGCTGACATACTGAGCTGGGTAACTCTGTTGTAGGGGGCTGTCCTTGCAGCATCCCTGGCCTCTCCCTACTAGATGCCAGTAGCTACTTCCCCAGCACCAAGTTGGGACATCTGAAAATGTTTCCAGATGTTGTTAAATGTCCCCTGGGAGGCAAAATCATCCCTGGCTGAGAACCACTGCCCTCGACTATGCATCTCCAACTGGAAAAAGTAGCACTAAGAACATGTGAAACTTAGTAGCTATAATTCTCTTTCCCAAGAAATTTATCCATTCATTAACCCACAGACATTGTGCTTGGGATTGAGGGTACACCTGTGAACGGGGCACATGTGGCCCCTAACCTCCTCTAGCTTACTCAAATAAGTCTGCAAGTGGAGGTACTTTATGCTTCAATAACATTAGTTTTAAAAAACTCCAATTGTGGTTTATGCTACCAAATAATGTCTGCATGTGTCTTCTGTGTGCACATGGGTACATGCAAGTATATCAATGTGTGTGTGGCTATATACATACACATCTTCTTGTATGGACCTTTATAAATAGGACCATATTTGCAGACATTTACACAGTAAATAGTTGTGTTAGGAGTCCACTGGCAAGACCTATGGTGGGTTTGCTCTTGCGCTTGTGAAATATTTTTTAATTGGCTGCTACTTTTTCATTTTAATCATACATATATGATTTTCTTAATGCCAAACTTGCCAAATTTTGACATCTCAGGAAAACAGAAACTTTGTTGAGTCTGCTTTTTGCCATATCTGGAAAATACAAGGTGGACTTGACTGCATTATCAATTCTTTTTGTAAGTACTTTTCTCTTACCTGGTAAGGACGGCTCGTGGGCCCCGGGCCCGGGCATGCATTTTATCTAGCACCATGTGTTTCAGCTTCTGATAGTACACGGGGCCAAAATAGATGTATGCTTCTAAGGGCTCACTGAAAGAAAGATCAATTGTTGTGGGTTAAGAAACTAAGTTTGGGCTAACAAGAGACAGCCTTTGGACCCATCACTGGCAGGTCCTTACTCATTTATGACTGACTGGATAAGAATGATTTTCAGTCTGTAGTGAATGAAAAGACTAGTTGTAAAAATATGAAAAGTACCATAGCTATATTTAAAGATAAATGGCTTTACAAAGAAATAGACATTTAAACAGGTTGGGAAACAGTGTGTATGGGATGATCTCTCCTTCAGGATGACCTCCCTGGTCAGGCCACCATCCTTTCTTGCTTGGGCTACCACAGATAATCTTCTAATTAATCTCCCTGCTTCCACTCTCATCCCTCAACAATCTATTCTTTGCATAAAAAGTCAGGGGGATGCCTTCTAAAATGTAAATCACAATAGGTCATTCTTCTGTCCTGAACTCACCAATGGTTTCCCATCATACTTGGAATCTGTATTGCCAACATTCTATATTATGGCCACATGGTGAGACATACTCCAGTTCCTGCACACCTCACTGTTTCCTATTCCAGTGTCCCGCCAGTCACTCTACTCCAACAACACTGGCCTCTTCATTACTCCTCAAATGGAGCAAGCCTGTTCCTCTCTTGGGGCCTCTGACTTACCGTTTCCTTTGCCTGAAACACTCTCCCGCCAGGTATTCATATGGCTCTGTCAAACATTTCACCTGCTCAGAGAGACTTTCACTGAATACCACATCTAAAGAAGTCCTCCTCCCACCTGGCATCGTCACTCCGGCCCTGTCTCAACCTGACCCTTTGGCGCACTTGCCCCTTTTGATACCGTGGTGTACATTTATTATCTCTCGGATTATTGCCTGTCTTCCCCACTAGAAGTAACTCTGCAAGGATAAGCACTTTGTCTCCTTTGTCACGGTGGCTCCAGCACCTGTGACCCTGCCTGGCACACAACTGGTACTCAATAAATGTCTATTACATAACTGCTTCAATGAATCTTTAGAAAGTCTGTAGTAAGAGTTTAAGAAGAGGGTGAATATATAAGTACTTTGACAGAAGAAACCTTTTCTCATTAATCTGGAGCAAGAACAACCAGAGAACTGATGTCTTAAAAAATTTTTTTTTAACTGCCTCAAACTTTCTTCTTCAAAGGGAAGGAAGCAACTACCATGTGCTACTTAATCCACACAACGATCCAGGGAGGAAGAACTGTCACCTCTATTTTGAAGATGAAGAAATGGACACAGAGCGCCCGACAGGTCAGATAAGAACTGGTGAGTGGTGCAGTGAGGGTTCAAATCCAGGGCTCTCCCTGCAACACTGGTCTGATTTGGAACAAGTAAACTCTGGGGTACAGCATGATGTAAAAGTAGAAAAAGTAAAGGAAACAACAGACACAGCAGAGAGGCAAAGGAAAAGCTTGGCCACTGTTTGCTCGGTGTCCCTGATCACACTCTCAGCATCCTGAGCCAAGGCTTTTGTGGTCATCAGGCCATTCTGCTGACTTCAGCACAACCTGGTTCTTGGAAGACACAGAGTGGAGTGGAAGGCACAATGGAGAGGGTATTAAGAGACCCTGTCCTTGTCTTGGTTTTGTCACATAGTAAAGTAATTACATGACCTCTCTAGCTGAGTGTTCTTAGTTGTACAAGAAGGCGGTCAGAACAAGATTCTTTCCTGCTCTAACAGTGAATGATTCTATTCCTCAATGGTAGGGTTGCTCATGGTAGAATTTATGACACTCGGTTACCCAATGCTATTCCATCATCCACAGAGTAAAGCTATATGCAATTTTTCCTCCTACCTATCTATGTTCAAGAATGAACAAAAAGTGAAAGCTGGTGGTGATATATTTAAATGCCCTCGGGAATTTTCAACTAAACAGTGCTTCTCAGATTTTGTCACTGAAATAAATGGCAAAGAAAGGAAAACTCTGGCTGGGGGCATAGGGGAAGGCAGTGTGGACTGGGATATAGACTAACCATTGTCTACGGCAAGCAGGATATAACCCATCCAATTCTTTCAGTACAAATTATGTTCACGAAGGTCCACCAAATTGATCCTATGGTTTTGCACTTTCTGGTCAACACCTGGCCAAAAATGTGCCTTATTTCTGGGTGGAGAAGTGAAGAGAAGGTTAATGAATTTAGCAATGACAACTATGTTTTCTGAAATGGTCACAATTATTTTATTGAACCATTTCTGAAATGGTCCATTAGTCTTTTCCTGTAATGTGCTTTTCTATAACATCTCAGGTATGATACACCTAAGAAATCCATATTATTATAGTTTTAATAGGCAATTTTTAAAAGCACTCCACATTTTTAATAGATAGAGGCTTTAACAATTTCAATCACATCTGGAGAATCTATTTGCAGCACTAAAATCAAGCTCTGTTCTTACATTTGCTTCCATGCTGAGTTTCACTAGTGTTCAAGTGGTTTAAAACCTTAGGGCGTGGTGGCTCACGCCTGTAATCCCAGCACTTTGGGAGGCCGAGGCAGGTGGATCATTTGAGGTCAGGAGTTCGAGACCAGCCTGGCCAACTTGGCGAAACCTCGTCTCTACTCAAAATACAAAAACTAGCTGGGCATGGTGGTCTGTGCCTGTAGTCCCAACTACTCGGGAGGCTGAGGCAGGAGAATTGCTTGAACCCCCCCGGGAAGCAGAGGTTGCAGTGAGCTGAGACAGCGCCATTGCATTCCAGCCTGGGCAATAAGAGCGAAGCTCTGTCTCAAAAAAACAAAAAAAACAAACCCCAAAAAACAAAAAAAACTCCCAAAACCAAACAAAAAACAACACCCAGAAGAACACTAGAAACACTAGGTCCTGGAGTTTTATCTGGCATTAAATACCTAAGTGTGTCTTAATTTAGGCAACTAATTTGAACTTTTAAAAACCACGATGATTCCAGCTTCAGAACCTTGTCATTCACGATCATTGCAGAGATCTGTTTCTCACAGGTTAACACAAGCTCCCAAGCCTGGTCGCCTGGCTCTTCTTCCCCTCCACCCTCACCTCGGGCTGCCGGTACTGCCTCTTCACTGCACCGCAGCCAGGCTGGCCTCTTCCTGTTCCCTGAACTTACCAAGCTCTTTCCCTGGCAAAGTGTCAAACATAACTTTTCCTCTCCCTTAAACACTCTTCGAATGCCCTATCCTTCTCACCCTTTATCTCTCAGTTGAAATATCATAGCCAGTTCCTCACAGGGCCTTCTCACCCACTCTGTCTTCATTTTGGTGAGAGCTATATGTACTTGTATTTATTTGTCTGCATTCCTTTTTTCAATAAATGTTTATGGAGTGCCTGCTGTGTGTCAGGCCCTGTGCTATGCCCTGGAAATAGAACAGTAAACAAAACAGACCAGCCCTGCTTTCATGGAGGTTACATTCTAGTTGGGGAGACAGGCAATAGTATTACTATGTAGTATATTTGAAAATGGTCAGTGCTACAGGGAAAATAAAGCAGCAAATGGGCAGTATGGGGTTATAGTTTTAAATTAGATGGTAACAGTAGGCCCTACTGAGAAGTTACCTTGTGTCTATTATTTTTTAATGTCTAGCAACACACCTAAACGGTCAGCTCCATAGAACTGGGACCATGTCTACTGTATTTATTGGTATATACTCAGTGCCTAGCACATATTAGGTAGGTGCTTAGCACATCTTTAGTGAACACATGCACAAATGTTAGGCCTTGGTCTATCTGTCAAAGCATTTATTATTCTGATACTCATCACATAATTGCAGGGAAAGTTCAACAGTTAAAGGAAAACTTTGCATTATATGTAATTGATGTGTTCCTTAAAAGTAGGCATAGGGTAGAAATCATATTTTGGTAAATTAAATCTTTTCTACTTTATATTTTTTGAGACGAGGTCTCACTATATTGCCCAGGCTAGCCTCAAACTCCTGGGCGATCCACCAGCTTTGGCCTACCAAAAATCTACTTTCCAAATTATAATCTTACCAGTACAAACAGCACTCCTCAATTGTTAGTTTTCTAAAGTTAGATTTTCTTGTATCCAGTTTCTTAAAAAAATAAAGCTTAAGGCATATAGCCTTAATGCTTACATCTTAAGGCAGGGGTGTCCGATCTTTTGGCTTCCCTGGGTCATACGGGAAGAAGAAGAATTGTCTTGGGCCACACATAAAATACGCTAACACAAATGATAGCTGATGAGCTAAAAAAAAAAAAATTTTTTTTTTTAAATCATGAAAAACTCTCATAATGTTTTTAAAAAAAGTTTACGAATTTGTGTCAGACCGCATTCGAAGCCGTCCTGGGCCACATGCCGCCCACGGGCTGTACAAGCTTGCCTGAAGGTATACTTAATAGAGTATACCTTAAGGCTTTGTCTCCCCTATCCTAGTAAAACCATTCTTTTTCTTTAAAATAGCTCAATCGCATGCTTACCCTGTGATGCCGGATGTAACATAGTCTTTCCCCAAGTAGTTATAACCATGGCGAACGAGGTCCTCACACACATCCTTCACTTTACTGCCTCCAAACGCAGTGCCGTAGTGGAATCTGCCGTCCAGCACACCGGCCTTGCCAGCCAGCAGCTCAATGAGCTTCCCCACCTGCAGGATGTGAACAAATTAAGTGAGCACCTCCCTGTGGCACAAGCACTCTCTCTGCTTATTTATCTCCAGCTCATTTCCCCACGACCACTATTAATAACAGTAATAAATTAATAGAAGCAGTATTTAAGCTTGACATGTGTGATCTAATTTTACGCCTCTCAATACCCCTATGAGATAGGTCCTATATTTCTTCATTTTACAGATGAAGAAACTGAAGTATGGGAAGGATAAGCAACTTGTCCAAGGCCACACAGCTGGTAAGAGGTGGAGCCAGGATCACTAAAAATAATCACTGAAAGGGAGATCCATTTAGGTTCAAGACAAGGGATTCTCTTTTGCTGAGGGGTAAATTCATCACTCAGAAGACTCCACTCTCAAAGGGAGGTATAGATGTGCTCCTCATTCTTTATGTAGAGGGGAGTGGCCCAGAATCGTTAGGGGCTGGAAGCCTGTTTATCTGGCAAGGGGCAGAAGAGCTCTACCTGAAAAAACAGCTTCAGAGTCCTCGTCACCTCCACTCACTCTAACTAAACTAACTGCCTGCTTCTTCCTTAAAGGCAATGCCTCTGAAAAACCTACAGGTCACTGACCGTCATTCGTGATGGGAAGCCGTGTGGGTTCATGATGATGTCCGGACAGATGCCAGAATCACAAAATGGCATGTCTTCCTGGGGGACGATCAAGCCACAAACACCTGGGGGAGAGAAGATTTCATGCCACATAAAGCAAGTTGGCAGAAAGGAAGAATACAGTACTTAATTGGGATCTCCCCGCTGCTATCTCTATTTCCACTGCTCTAAAATCTTCCCCATGGCCTCTATCAAGAGCAACAAAAGTGATTTTCAACAATCCTGCTTGACAAACAGTTCAAAAACGACTCTCCTTGCGAAAGGCACTGCAGCCTGTGGACTGTGCTGCCGGCATAGCACACAATGGTGCTGTTGGGCTGCCTGCCCACCCTCCTGTGCCACAGAGACTGAAGAGCAGCAGCTTCACTGGACCCCAGGCCTGTGGCCATACCTGAAGCTTTAAGTCAGCAGCAGTTTTGCTCCTCATTAGCTAGTTCGTGATCTCCTGGGTTCTACACCCAAGTTATAGGAATCCAAGTTCTCTGACCCCCAAACACAGAAATGATTGGATGAGGAGTGTGCTTACAATGTGGTTTGAAAAACCAGTGACAAGAAGTACCTGTGTGTGGCTGATGTGCTAACAGGTCTACCTATAGGCTGCAGTGCTCTGGCTGGTTGGCTGATTTTTGCTAGGGCTTCCCCTGGCTGAGTCTAAACTGCCCAAAGGAATTTTAATTCCTATAGCTTACAGCCCATTAGGAAAGTGATCTTTGATTGAACTTGTAAAGTTGAACAAGAAAATTGAATACCAAATCGTTCTTGGAAAAAAAAAGGCTAGAATTAGAAATGGAATTCTAAGAATGAAAACAACAAAACAAAAATCTACCAACTCTATACACTACTAATATTCTCTTAAATTAATTCCCTTAATATTATTCTAACCTATAGGGGATTTTGTTGCTAAATAGTTTTTCATTCCTCTGATTTTTTTGGGAAGAGGAATGGGAATAGAATTTAGATTGTTAACTATAATCTCCATAATTTAGAATTGTACAGTGTCATTGGACTAAGAAAACAAACACTTTTACATTGGTAGTAAAAGATAAAATTCCTTTTCTCTGTGTATAAAGTTATTAACTATCTGCCCCTATTGCAAAGAAACTGCTCTCAAATATTTCATTCAATTTGATTCTATGTAATTATTCAAACTATTTCAATAGTTTGCGATTTGTTGTAATCACCAGGAGCTAAAGTCAAAAGAAAAAGAATGCCATTTTCCTAGGTAATACTGGTTATTAATATTCTGATTTATTGTAGCTGACAACAATATGGATATTGTGGAGTTGAATTCTAGAGCATGTAGTTAGTTTAAATTGGCTTTTGGGTTAAAATGGTATTGTTTATTATAAATATATGCTTTCCTACATGAAGAACAGAAACAATCATTCAGTTCACTTTATTTCAAATTCAGCTACAATGTGTTAGAATTTCAATCAAGCAGAGTGTGTGAGCCTTCTTTCTTCCCTCCAAAAATCCATCTTATCCACACTGAAATTATCTGACAAAACCCTAGGGCTACTGGGAAATCTACTTTGAAAGAGATCAAATTGTAAATCTAGGTGCACCGACAACAACATTGTTCAGCAGTGAACAAAATGTTAAAAATGGCAATCCCTAAAGGGGCCGGTTCTGGGACGAGCTCGGGGGAGAATGTAATTTTGGCTGGTGAGGAGATGGAGGGTTCAGCTATACCCCTGAAAAAACAAAACCAAAGAGAAATCTCGGCACCCCTTAAGCAGCAGTTCGCAGGAGGAGGCTGGCGTCTGCTCAGGAGGAAGCTGCCTGTCCACCCTCCATCAAGAGAAGGTGGGAGAGAGGGGCAGGAGGTGCAGAAACTGACCAAGGAAGCATGACATACTTATATTGGGGGTGGGTAAGGAGAGAGATGACTTACATTTTGTGTTTTCAGTTTTAATCGACACATTTAATTAAGCAAATTCAACTTTATTATGTTATTAAAATGAAAAAAGTGCTCGTTCCACTGAAATGTGAATCTCTAATACCTTTGCTTGAAATCTGATTAAGAATATTTAGTGCAGAGCTTCCTTCTGGGGAAGTTGTTTTCTTATCAGCCCTCTTCTGACATTTAGTTAAAAAAAATACACATAAGCAGCTTTCGGATTTTTTTCCTTCCATTATAGGAACTGCTTTGGCAATATCTGAACCAAGGGCACCTGTAAGTCAAAAATTAAATCTTAGCTGACTTAAAATTACTTCAGGCCCTGAAAACCCTTTTATATGCCAAGATGGTTCCCATAGCAGACAGCCCTGTGTTGTTTGTTTTGTGTGAAAGTGAATGATAAAAGATCCATGAAATCGACACAGAAAGCCAGAACAGCAGAAAGAACTGAGGGCTCTCCATCATTGCGGCTTCTACCCTCTGCTGACTTGCGGAACAATGGAAGCTACACATCCAACTGCAGATCTAACACAGCTGTGCATTTCATTAGATGAAGAGCACTAGTGACACAAGTAAATAATTAACTTATTCTGGTCCGCTGACTGTGCTTATGAGACCAGTCATAGCTGACAGATTTTAATACAAGTTAACACAAAGAGACCATAATGAGCTTAGAAGTTAAAACAAAATATTTAGACAGAATTTGATGATCTCGAATCTCAAATTAGACAGATGATTTTTAAAAGTTTGTATTTTACTGAATTCATTAGGGGTAGAAAGAGAGTTCTCAATCTTAGAACCAGACTTATCTTTTTCTAACAGTATTTCTCTGTTTCAGAATTATTCAAATCCTTAATCACAGCGGGAAGGTTTCTTTTCTTATTTTCAAATGAAAGATTAAAACTGTTTTCTCCAGGGACAGAGGCATAAAGTCCATTCCAATATTTAGAAGTCTTAAAAGTTATGGTCATTTTCCCTTAACACTGGTTTAAAATGTAAATGATATGCGGTGCGCTTCAATGTGTTAACACTCCCCTGGATCCTTGAAAAGAGGATGGACTACAAATAAACCATATCTAATGGAAGCTGTTGTGAAACAATTACCAATTCATACCTTAAATGCTTACACAGCATTTCAGATTTTAAAATAAAATTTCATCCCCTGGCTCAAGCTGGTGTCTCAACCCCATTGTTTACAGCACAGCCTCCCAGCAATAAAATGCAAATACACCAGTTTAACATGCTCAGGAACATTTAATGCACTCAGGAGGGCCAAATGGGAATTGGACCACAGACTACAGTATAGAACTTTTAACAAATGCAAATAGTAAGAAAAAAAAATAGAATCACAGAAAGTTAGAGCAGAAAGGGACTGCCAATACCCCAATCGACAAAATATTATTCCATCACCATCCATCTTAATTTCTAGTTGTAAAGGGGAAGAATTGAGGGAGTCTAAATCTGACTGCCGATCCACTCAGGAGAGGCACTTCTGACATCCACTATCACAGCTCTCTGTATCATGCTTCAGACACTGCTGGCTCCTACACCAATTTGTTATTTCTATTTCCAAGGCTTCACAGAACAACATAGAAATCATTTAAGAATAGGCTTGCTCAGGAAAAGTCAAGTTAATCTCAGGAATCATCTGGTTGTCTTTAAACATACTCATTTTTTCTTTTCTTAGACAGGGTCTCACTCTCTTGTCCAGGCTGGAGTGCAGTGGCACAATCATGGCTCACTCAAGTGATCTTTCCACTTCAGCCTCCCTAGTAGCTGGGACTACCACATCCAGCTGCGTGCCACCACGTCCAGCTAATTTTTAATTTTTTTTTTTGTAGAGATGAGGTCTCACTATGTTGCCCAGGCTGGTCTCAAGTTCCTGGACTCAAGTCAAAGGGCTGGGATTAAAGGTGTGAGCCACCATGCCTGGCTTAAAAAGTATTCCTAATTCTAAACAGCAACTGACATATTCAAGTCATTTTTGGCCTTTAAAAAATACTGGTTTTAGTGTACTGTCTCTGTGTAATGGACTATCTTAAGCAGGAAAAAAAAAGGTAAGAAAAGAAGAAAAAAATGGTAAGAAAAATTAACACATTCTAGTAGCATATGAAGACAGGAAAGCAAATGGCAACTGCAGAAGACAACTGTAATGCCATCTCTAATTCAAGAGATGTTTTTGATGTGACTTCAGTGTGTTGAGACCTGACTAGAAGATTGTTTCAATTTTGCTGATGGCCAGTTCTCATTTTAATATTACAGTCTGCTTTAATTTTTACATTTTTATTTAGCAAGTCTACCTTCTAAGTGTAATCACATTTGAATTAAATTTACCCCTCTGAGGTTAATATATATTATTACTCTTCCTTTTCTGAGTGAGGAAAGAGAAAAAGAATCATTTCCCTCAATTGCTGGGGAAGTAGAGGTTCAGGGCCCCAACTCCAGATAGGCGGAGGTAGCTTATGTCAAGTCATCTGAGTGAATATTGAAAACTTCGTAAATATATTGCATACATTTATACAATTCAGCTTGCCACTTTCTAATGCTCTAAATGATGTGGAGCACATCTGGCAGGATGGTCTGCTGAAATAATCCTAATCAAAGTCTAAATTACCTCCTTTTACTTTCTGCAGATACTCAGCAGTTGGACAAGGCTATTTATTCTGCACAGTTTTACACTCCTTACACTGAATGGTGAAATGATGCTGTGGTTTTTCTCCATCAGTCACAGTGCAAGAAGAGAGCTGTGTTTAGTAAGGGATGAACACTCAACCAGTGCCCAGTATTAGTGAGGTTTATAAATGTGGGGGAAATGCCGTCTGTAAAAAATTCATCACCCCTTGGACTCTTAGACCTATGTAGAGCAGGTGAATCGAGGAATTGGGTGACTTTAATTTGACTCAATGCTGTTCCACTGATATGTTACTTTGGGGGTGCGGGGGAAGCACCACTTTCTGGTGAGCCTTAGTTGTTTGCTCTTTGTAACGGGAATAATTAGCACCTATCTCATGAAGCAATTGTGTTAGAAGAACAGATGAGCTAATGTCTGAGAGGTACTTTAAGGTCCTTAGAGAAAGGCTGCATCTAAATACAAGGAATTATTATTATATAAGAAACCTAATTACTCTCAGCAGGAAGCAAACTAGCAAAGCAAAGGAGACCAACTTAATGAATAGAAGGAGCAGTTGCAGTTGCACTAACTTTGGCTGGAGAGGCAGAAAAGCAGCTCATTCCTTCCTGGGTTGTGCAGGTCATTTAACATCATCAAGACACTGTCTCCTGATAACTTTCACGAGGCCTGGGGTTGCAGATATCTATTGGGGAATAGTTTACTGCTGATGAATATGGTGGTAAATGGGGCCAAAGAAGCAGTAGGAATGCTTTCAAGTTTGACTGTTCCTATTAAGACATGGTTTGCTTTGAGTAAACTCATCTCAATGAGCCTTTATACATTCAGAAATGAAATCTCTAAATCAAAATGTTAAGGCTAACACAGGTGGTTATTCCGTTCTTCCCCTCCCCTTTTCCAGCTATCGAATTAACCTCCTTTTATTTTTCACACCACCACCTTAAATAATCCCCAGAGGGAGGGGAGTAGACAAAAACTGTTGAATCATATTGGCTTTGTTCTGTTGTTGAATCATTTCCAGATCTATCACATCACTTGCCATATACCGGTTGACATAATTTTAATTCGGCTCTTCCTTACATGTTAACAGATAAATAATGCATAAGAAAACTTGATTAGCTTTCTTATTAAAACATCACTCTAAATGAGAGGAGGCGCTAGAAGACAATACAGTTTTTACACGGCTTTCCCATGAGCAGTTGAATGGTTTGATGTGATAAATTTGCATAGTCTGAAGCGCACAAAGGGCTGATTAATTGAAACCCTTACAATGCTTTTGCAAGCAACTATTGTAAAACAATAACCATAGGAACTTTACAAAATACACACGGCTGAATGTGTCAAGAGCTTAATAAAATGTGTTGAGGCTACACTATTTGGAAACAGAATTGGAGATTTTTATTCTGGGCCATAAAACACTAAATACCCTAATTTCAAAGCTTTAGTTGGATATTTACTGAAAGGTCAGAGGGTTACTGGCGAGCTACTGAAGACCAAAATTTGTTCCTAAAAAAGTCAATTCCATAAAATCTTCTTCCAATAAGGTATCTGTGTGGACGAAGAAACCCTGATTTAATAACATTAAAGTAAGAGCTGCTGGAGTTTTGGTTTTGGACTGAAACTCTGATGGATCATTTGGCATCATACACCTTATGATGGGGCTCATACGGATAGCCCTACCAGCCTCCTTCTCCCCTCCCACTTAGAAACTTCCATTCAAGCAGGATCAAGCAAAGCAGACAGCCAAAGCTATCCAGACTGTTTAAAGCTGTGGACTTGCAGAGAGGATTTTAGACAGTCTCAAGTACTACACGAGTACAAGGTGTTATTATTATTACTTTAAATCAGGTTCTTTTCACTGTCTCAATTTTAGAAAGCATAATACAGAAAAAAGGACTAACAAATGAAGGTCTAGCAAAACCAAACCTTGTTTAACAGATAAACTTTCTCCTTGGCTTTTCTATCACACATGAATTACCATTTTCTTACTTCCCACAAGCCTCTTTATATCTACTGTAAAAAGATTCTTTAATGTGTTGGAAAGTCAGGGCAGGTTTTCTTTTCTTCTAAGAAACATTCAATCAAAATCTTAATAAATTAATTCTGCAGGTTATTGAATAACTTATTAGTGCAAAATGGAAGCAAGTGACCTTATAATGGAACTTTTCTTGTATAAGAGAGGGTCAATGATGAATCTTCCAAACGATTTTATCCATATACGCATAATCCTTATCAACCACAGATAGGCAGACTAAACCATTAAGTGAAAAAACTATATTTTGATAAGACTAGACTTCTATTGTAAAACAAAAGTTGACTTCACTCCATTTAAACTAGCTGTCTGGTCCTTAAGGATTTAGGGAGCGTATGCCATTATCTCAGATTTGCAGTTATTAAAAAGCTTCTATTTGCCAGGACAAACACTCTTGCTCAAATACAGTTTTTCCTCTCCTTAGGAGTACTGCTTGGTATTGCTGCCCGATGCTGTGATCCACAGGACCTTTGTTGGAGGTGCTAATCCTTTTTCACATGAGAGACTGAGAAATGTTCTTTCAGGGAAGTGATATATTGCTTTTTTTTTCTCTCCACATCAAAGGAGTCCGCTTTTTCCTCCTTCATTGTGAATGGCAGCAAAAGAAGAGGAAATCTGGAAATATAATAATTTGGTTTGCCTGAACACTGAAATGGAACTTGAGAATTCCTTGGGCTGTCAGATAATTTTTGTTAAAGATTTTTTTTAAAAGGAGTAGTTAATCTTCTAATAAATGCACTAATCATCAGAGAAAACAAGGCTCAAGATAAAAATATTTGCCCTTGATGAGTTCCCTCCATTAGAATTTATAACACAGTTGAAGAGGCTTACATGTGTTATTTTGATTTTAATAGAAAGTCTAATTCCAAACATAATTTCAATCAGCATATGTGAATGTCTCTTCCTATCTTTATCTATAAAAATGATTAGAATATACAGCAACACATAGAACATTCCACACCCATGTTCAGCTCTGTTTTCCCTTTGGAACATCATTATGCCTCAACCAGATAAGTCATGGCTTCACTCGAAAATACCTAGAAGTCTAGACCACTTGGGAAATGAGCTCAAGACTTCAGGGTTTACATATTTCTCCCCAAATGAATTTAAAACAAAACTAAACTTTCCTGCCTTCATAAATAAACAAAAGACAAATTCACAACTTTGATGTATAGAAGGTTATTACTAAATCATTTCACCTTGGCCAGCATTTTGCATACTACTAAAGGATGAACGGCTCTAGAGATTCTTAATCAAAGGTCCAGCTCTTTTGGGGGGATGCAGACTCACTGCACATTTACTGATAAGATATATAACTGACCTCACAATGCCCAAAGGAAGGTTGTACTTCATTAAGATTCTTTGAATGTCTCAGTAGAAGACTGTATTGAAATGTCCTCATCTAAAAAGTACACTGTGAGTGAATCCTGCCTGCTTCTGAGCCCACAGTAGTCTATGTTAATTGTGATGCCACCTTCTTTACAAAACATGGTTCCTCATTACTTGGTTCTCTGCTTAGTCCTCCTCCACTTTTGAGGTTACAGAAGGTGATGTTGCTTATTGGGTCTGTCACCTCTGTATCTGATAAAACATTTTCACTTCTCCAGTGGGCCTCCTCTGACCAACTGCATTCAATCTTTGCTTATCATGCAGCACTGATGTTGATTCCCAACTACTCAGTATTGACTCGCTTATTCCAGCTGACCCACGCATTCTGCCCCCTTCAGTCTTCTCCATGAGCTCTGTGATCACATGCAGCACATAACTACCACTGTTCCGCTTCCTCTTTATGTTTGTTTCATTTAGCTACTAATTATCCTACCACCTTTGAAGCGATCAGGCTTGAGCGGGACAGATGCACATGTTCTGTGAAACTAAATTTTCAAGTCTCCTTTAATTGTTAGGATATCTGAAGAGGCATTGGGCACCGAAATGTGATCTACACACAATTCATATACAGAAAGAATCCCTAACAACAGCTTTGTCGAAGTAAGCTTTTAAGAAAAGACAAAAATCAGACAATCTGCAGGGCCATGTTACTTTCTGAACACCCAGAACAATACATTTAATGCTCTAAATGGAGAGAGAAAAATAATATGCACAAAGGTATACTAAATCAAAAGAATTTTTAAATTTTCTCATAGATAATATGTATGTGTCAACTTGCAGGAGATACTACAAAAGAAAAAACAGGATTTCCAAACAATTCTACATCTCAGGATTAAAAACTAAGTTCAACTAACCACTGCTCTTATTCTGGCATGTATCTGGACCAAAACAGAAACAAACAAACAAACAAACCTCTGCAGGAATCGTGGTGTGACACATATACCCTGAAAACTCAACACTTTGAAATTTTTATCAGCTCATTTCATGACAACTACAAATAGCATAACTGATGTTGTGGACTACATTTTCTGTTTCACTCACATTTTACTTGCCAATATCCAACTCCTTTAGGCCTGATGCAGTCCCCCTTAGGGCCCACACTAAGCGCTGGGTTATTGTGTGGCTCCTTACAGACACCTGCCATCTGTGCCTGGCATGTGAAGGTTCCAAGTGCACTAACTGTAAACACTGTGGCCAAAACATTTTCTTCAAGTGCCCTCTTTTTGTGGCTTTTACTGTCACATCTAGCCAAATAAATTGGGAGAACTGTCAAAGTTGAGGGCTCAGAAATTTACTTCCTTTTACATCTGTTTGAAATCCTGATAGATTCTGAATTTTACACAAGGCCACTAAAGCCTGACCAGAGGACCCGTTAAAGAAGGGAGTGGGGATAGTGTTTTACAATAAGCTGATTTTAGAAGGAAAGGGACACCAGAAAATACAGCTTTATTTTAGGAGTACATCTTAATATGGGGCTTTGGCAGGCATTTGTGCGACATGCTGTATGAGGGTAGTATTTATTCTGGATTTGTGGCAGCTGTAAAGCTGCTTATCCAGGAAGAATGGGAATTTTGAGAAGATGCCCATCTTAAGGAGGAGACAGAAAATAATACTAAAAAACAGCAGGATTCATCCTCAGAAAAGGTAGTGTCTTTCCAACGAGAAATCTCTGGGAATATGGCAATCTCAGGAGCAGAGTAAGATACAAGAAGAGAAAAGAGCCACCTTTAACCAGATTTAACCAAATGAGCCATATGCTTGGAATCAAAATCCTGGATTCAAATGTGGGCTCTGCCAGCACCAAGCTGTAGGAGGCATGCTACTCACCTCCCCTGAACCTCAATCTCCTTACTCTTTTTTTTTTTTTTTTTTTTTTTTTTTTGAGACGGAGTCTCCCTCTGACCCCAGGCTGGAGTGCAGTGGCCCAATCTAGGCTCGCTGCAAGCTCCGCCTCCCAGGTTCACATCATTCTCCTGCCTCAGTCTCCCGAGTAGCTGGGACTACAGGCACCTGCCATCACGCCCAACTAATTTTTTGTATTTTTAGTAGAGATGGGGTTTCACCATGTTAGCCAGGACGGTCTCGATCTCTTGACCTCGTGATCTGCCCGCCTCGGCCTCCCAAAGTGCTGGGATTACAGGCGTGAGCCACCGCGCCTGGCCAATCTCCTTACTCTTTATAGTAGGAATAACAACACAAACTGGAACTGTACCAGTTAAAGGATGAAATATAGATAAAAGTGCTTATAAATGATCAATACACAAAAAGTAAAATACTATAAATGTGGAGATAAACAGCATGCAAATGATTCCTCAATTTTTTCTCTAGCCCAAATCTCTCCCTGGAGCTCTAGACTCTATAACCAATTGCCAGCCTATATCTTCACTTGGAGTCTAATCATCTCAACCTGAGGCCCAAACTCTCAACCTCTGCCCTTGTCTAATGCCAAAAAACTATTCTTTACCCAATTGCTCCCATCTTGGTAAACAGCATTATCAGTTGCTCAGGCCACAAACTTCATCCTCAACTCCTGTCTTTTCCTCTTGCAACATCCATCCAAGCCATAAGCAAGTCCTGTTGGCTCTATCTCCAGAGTATGTCCAGAATCCAGTCACTTCTCTCTATTTTTCCACTGCTGCTGTCCTAGTCCAAGCCACCACCCTTTCTTGCCTGGACCACTGCAATGGTCTCCCTGCCCCCTTCCTTGCCCGTTCCAATCCACTTTTCATATAGAATCCACAGTGAGCTCTAGAAGTTGTAAGTTAGATCTCGTCACTCCTTTGCTTATATTCATTTTTATGGTTTGTATGTACCCACAAAAACTCATGTTGAGATTTAATTGATATGGGGCCTTTAAGAGGTGGTTAGGTCATAAGGACTCCATTCCCATGAATGGATTAATGCCATTATTACAGACTTGGGTTACTTATCTCAGGACTGGTTTGGTTATAAAAGCAAGCTCTCCTGCCCCTCTGCCTGTCTGCCACGGGATGATCCTCTCCAGATGCTGGTGCCACGCTCCTCCACTTCCAAGTCTTTAGAACCATAAGCCAAATAAACTTCTTTTCTTTATAAATTATCCAGTCAGTGGTATTTTGTCATAGCAGCAGAAAATGGACCAAGACACCCACCATCCAACGGTTCTGTTGGTTCCCAGCATATCTGGAGTAAAGTCCAATCTCCTTTCTTTTAGCCAAAAGGCCCTATAGGATATGCCCCCATCATCCTTCTGTCACTCCCCAAGTCTCATACTGTGCTGCTTGTCAGGCATATGCCTGGCCAGACTGGCCTTTTTTCTGTTCCTTGAATATACCAAGCTTATTCGTGCCTCAGAACTCTTACCCTAATGATTCTCTCTGCCTATAACTAAATCCTCCCAGACTTTTGCTCGGCTGGCTCCTTTGTATCCTTCGTGTCTCAGCTCAATGTCGCTTCCTCCGAGAGGCTGTTCCTGATCGTAATCTAAAGTACACACCCCCACCTCTAAACCATCCACTCTTTTATATCATTCTTCATATATGGCACTTATCATTACCTTCAATTATCCTGTTTATATTTTTGTTTACACTTTTTTTTCTTGAAATGGAGTCTTGCTATACTGCCCAGGCTGGTCTCAAACTCCTGGGCTCAAGTGATCCTCCTGCCTCAGCCTACTAAGTAGTTGGGGTTTATATTTTTGTTTACTTCTTTTTTGTCTGTTTCCTCCCCAAGGAGAACACAAATCCCGGGAGAACAGAGACCCCATCAGTCTTGTTTACCTCTGTATTTCCAGTATTTAGAACAGTGCTTGGCACACAGTGAAAGCTCAATAAATGGATGAATTAATCAACAATATAGGCACTCGAGATGATCTTCCATCATCTCACCATCTCAAGTCAGTGAGACACAAATGCTTTGTGATTGGTGCCATCGTTTACCGGATTAAAACCACAGTCCCCGTGGTTTTTCTTCTTTATGCTGTCTTTATTTCAGTCAGTCAAGTCCATTCATTTGCTCTTCTCTGCTGCCCCCTGTTTTTCTTTCACATCTTTATCAAAGCCCTCTAAGCCTGAACCCCATCTAGTCTCTGAGGGCTTCCTTTACCAGGCAGCCTGCAAGAGAAGACCCAAGACAGACCTGCCCGCAGCTCACCTTTACTGCCTCCTGTCTGTGCATCAGGCACTGTGTTCCCTGCTTTTACACATTAGTATCAAGGAGGCCAAGACATAAAGGGACAAAATAGTTCACCTAGTTGGAGTTCAAGACCTTTCTCTCTCTGCTATACTTTTCGTCAATCCGAGGGCTTTCTTTAAATACTGAACAGAGGATGGCTGTGATGAAAAGGCAATATGTTCATTCAGTATGGCCCACAAGACAAGGCAGGACTAACTGCAGTAACTTATAGACTCTTGAGCACTCTTACTAACTCTTGAGCACCTCTGACTCAAGAAAACTATCAGAGCAGTGCTACTACAGAAGAGGCTGCCTCAGAAAATAGCAAGGGCCTCCCTTCACAGGCCACAATCAACATGGAAAACCATCTGCCAAAGATAATCTAAAAAGAACTCTTATACTAGAAGATGGATTTAGACTGGACTTCTAAAAGGACTTTTCAAACTCTAAGATTCTATTCCTATCTATGGTAAACTCTAAACCTCTATATTTTTAGTGGTTTCTCCCATATAATTTAGCATTTAACTATGTAATCCTTCGTATCCATCTTTTTGCTTCAGGTGTCAGTCAACTCCTCATGGGCATTAGTCAAGGGATTAATTTACTTTCTATCCCCTAAAGTGCCCCACACAGTTTTGAGCCCACAACAGTAACTTAAAAATGACCGAATAGGTTTCCCTGGGGCTGTCAAGGCAGGTTCTCATTTGTGCCTGGGATGGACGTGGGTGGGCATGTATACAGTTGACCCTTGAATAACACAGGTCTTAACTGTGCAGGTCCACTTATATGGGGATTTTTCTTCAATGAGATATGAATCGAAAATACAGCATTTGCGGAATGTGAGCCCTTCTCCACAGAGGGACAACTTTTCATATATTTGGGTTTTACAGGCCCAACTGTGGGACTTGAATATATGCAGGGGTCCTGGAACCAATTCCCAGCATATACTGAGGGATAACTATATTTAGTTATTATGGCTGAAGAAGCTTTAGTGGGCCTGTGTGATCAGTTAGGGTTGGGGAGCTATGAGTCTTAGGTGTTGAAACTCCTGGTGCCAGTTTAGATAAAAATGAGGCATCTCATTTCTGATATTTACTAGGAAGAATAAATTACACTTATTCTGGGAGTAGTGAGTTTGGCTTGTTATGTCAGTACAATTTCCAACAAGACCAATGAATATGTAAAATCCTTTATTTAATAAAGGATTCCTCAAACATCATAAGTGGATACCATATTATATGCAAAGTGCTATGCTGGGTGCTTTGGGGTTAAGTAAATCAGCAGGGCATGTTTCCTAATCTCAACGAACCTAAAATATACTTACCTAAGTGATATGGTTTAGATTTGTGTCCCCACCCAAATCTCGTGTCAAATCCCCAGTGTTGGAGGAAGAACCTGGTGGGAGGAGATTGGATCATGAGGTGGATTCCCCCCTCGCTGTTCTCATGATAGTGAGTGAGTTCTCACAGGAACTGGTTGTTTTAAAGTGTGTAGCACCTCCCCCTTCTCTCTCTTCCTCCTGCTCTGGCCGTGTAAGATGTGCCTGCTTCCCCTTTGCCTTCTGCCATGATTGTAACTTTCCTGAGGCCTCCCTAGCCATGCTTCCTGTACAGCCTGCAGAGTTGTGAGCCAGTTAAACCTCTTTTCTTTATAAATTATCCAGTCTGAGGTATTTCTTTATAGCAGTGTGAGAATGGAATAACACACTAAGTTAGCCAACAAGGTATTCTGGATATTTAACAACATATACAATTATTTTTTAAAAAAACTATTGGTATCTTTGAATCTTTAGAATTTTATTTATAAAACTTCAAAAAATAGACTTTTACTACTGTCATGCCTCTGGCTTCAGATGGGTGACATTCAAGAAGAGGACCAAAGTTGTAGACCTTAGTTACAACAATGATCCAGAAGAAAGATAAATTATTTTCAGATAAGAGCTGACAAACTATGATTAATGCTTCTCTGATGATTGTTAGCATTTATGTAATAATTCTCAGGGTGTGAGCTTTAAACATTTTAAAATTAATTTTCAATCTGAGAATTGATTAAAATAGACAAAAACAAACAAACAAACAAACCCAAGAAGTCTTAGAGGCAAGGCTCTGGTCAGGAAACAAAAGGTTAGTGCTCTAAAAATCCTTCTCATTTTTTATTAAAATAATTTTCAGTTCTATAAGTTGCATTGAAAAAAATCAAGCATACTCACTAAACATTCTTGTGCTGAATATTCACAAATAATAAACAGATTTCTAGTTAAACATGACAGATGAAACACATGTGTTTATCAACACTGCTTCTCTAAACTTCACTGAGTTTAAAAAAATTAAGGTGTAAACCTACGTGTAAGGAGAAAGAATGGGCACAGTGGTATCAGTGGGCATGAGATAATTCTACAACTTTGAAAGCTGATAAAGAGAGGAAAGAAAAGTAACAGGAGAGTAATACTAAGTCCCTGCAGATGAGATGTGAAGAGGTGAGCTGACATGGCCTTTGGTGCCACCCCCACTCACCCACCCGATTCCTGGGAAGGCTCAGAAGACAGAGACACGAAGTACTAGTATTGCAAAAGGCAGCGTGAGGAGCGAAGCTGAAAGCAAGAAGACTGAGTCAAAGCCGCCCAATCCATCAGCAATTCCAGGAGGCTCTACTTTCAAAATGTGTCCAGACTCTGATCCCTTCTCACCAATTCCTCATCGTTATGCTTTTCCAGCCCACCTCCAACTCTCACATAGCTTCTGAACTGGCACCACTGCAGTTTCTTTCAACACAGCAGCCAGTGTCAGTCAGATCATCTCTCTCACCAGCTCAAACCCCTCTCCAGTGGCTTCCCTCTCCCTCAGAATAAAAGCCAAAGTTCCTGCAGTGACCTATGAGCCTCATGGCTGCCTCCTCACTTCTCACTCTGCTCCAGCTATGGGGCCTCCTTGCTGGTCTTCTATTAGGTGAGCTACAGCTGCAAAACCTTCACCTCAAATGCTCTTCAGCCAGAGAGGGCTCACCCTCTTACTTCTCTCAGATCTTTACTCAATGCCATCTTTTCAACATGGTGTTGTTCCCCAACCACTCTGCCTAAACTTTGAATCACTAACCACACGCCCTCCCCTCACATGCTTCCCATCCCCCCTCCCAGCTTTCAATCTTTTCTCATCTCACGACATATCATTCCCTCAGCACTTACTATTTTCCTTCTTGCCCACAAGAACACAAGCCCCGCAAGGGTTGGAACTTTAATCTATTTTGTTTACTGCTTGTGACCAGAGCCTAGAATAGTACCAGACACGCAGAAGATACTTAACAAATATTTGTATAAATAAATGTCTATATAAGAAATTGTCAGTTCTCTGTATTCCCTAGTCCATACAGCCAGGAAACTACACTTCTCCCCTAACCCTTACCTGAGTAACCATCACTTGAGTACTTGATCTGAGACCCAAGGGTAGCAAGCGCAGCAGAGGGTGGGCTGGTCAAAAGCCTGATACAGAGGAATTAAAGTCTATGCACTGAAGAGTAAGCTCCAGTCCCTGCCCCTGCCTGACTCCTGGAGGTCAGCTGACAGCCTTAAGCACTGCCCCACCCTCATTCCCAGCTCCAACCTTCAGGCAGGAGTTAGAAAGATCCTAGTATGTTGAAACTGAATGGCACAACAATAAAGTAGTTCACTACCTGACCACCCAGCAATGATATTCACTAGTCAACAAGTTCTATCCATGGGACACAGAGCTTTGAAATGCTTTCTAGGGTTCAGGGGTATACCAGGTATTAGAGGAAAGCCTCCAACAACAACAAATCAGACACTAAAACAAATAGGAGAGGAAAATCCTATCGAGAGATAGAAACAGCCAGGCACAGTGGCTCACACCTGTAATCTCACACCTGTAATCCCAAGGTTCAAATGCCATTTTGGGAAGCTGAGGCAGGTGGATCACTTGATCCTAGAAGTTCGAGACCAGCCTGGGTAATATGGCAATACCTAGTCTCTACAAATAATAATAATAAAAAAAGCCAAAAAAAAAACCCAAAAACAAAAAACAAAAATTAGCCAGGCATGGTGGTGCATGCCTGTAGTGCAGCTACTCAGGAGGCTGAGATGGAAGGATCGCTTGAGCCCAGGAGGTTGAGGATGCAGTGAGCTGTGATTGTGCCACTGTACTCCAGCCTGGGTGACAGAGCAGAGCAAGATACTGTGAAAAGAAAAGAAAAGAAAAGAAAAGAAAAGAAGGAAGGAAAGAAAATTAGAAACAGAAGAAAACTAAAAAGAAAAAAAGAAAAACCAAAAAACTAAAACTCAAAGAAAACTAAAAATACATACTTCTTGCTATAAGAGAAAGAATAGGCTGGGTGCGCTGGCTCACGCCTGTAATCCCAGCACTTTGGGAGGCCGAGGCAGGTGGATCACGAGGTCAGGAGATCGAGACCATCCTGGCTAACACAGTGAAACCCCATCTCTACTAAAAAAAATACAAAAAATTAGCTAGGCATGGTGGCGGGCACCTGTAGTCCCAGCTACTCGGGAGGCTGAGGCAGGAGAATGGCATGAACCCAGGAGGCAGAGCTTGCAGTGAGCCAAGATTGCGCCACTGCACTCCAGCCCGGGCGACACAGCAAGACTCTGTCTCAAAAAAAAAAAAGAGAGAGAGAAAGAATATAAATTAACTTTAAACATTTAATTAGAAATTTAAAATATGATAGGTTTAAAAAAATCTGAAAAATAACGTTGATCAAATCTCCTAAAAAGAAAAACAAGAAGGCAAAAAGATAAGAAAACTAGAGCATCAATCTGGAAGTCCCAATATTTGATCACTAAGAAAACCAGAAAGGGTATGGGGAAAATGAGGAAGAGGAAATTATTAACTAAATAAATATAAGAAAATGTCCTAGAACTGAAGGAACTTAAACCTCCAGGATGCGACGGTGTCCAATTGCCCAGCACAAGGAATGAAAGAAGAGCCTATGAAATTTCAGAATGTCAAGAAGGGAAGAAGATAGTAAAAGCTTCCAGAGAGAAAGGAATAAAGTAGGAGGGAGGTAAGGAGGGAAAAAGAGAAACAGGGCACAAAAACACGAGGAAGAAGAGTGACATTACAATTTACATGGAATTTAGATGACCATGTGGCAAGGCCACCAAAATCCTTAGGGAAAACAATTTTCAACCTAGACTTTTATACCTAACCAAAGTTGGGTGAGGAGGAGAGACAAGGACTGATGGTTTTTTTTTGTACAAAGAACCCTTTCTTGTTCTGTTTGACCTTTTAAAACCATGTGCATTTATTATTTAATAATAAAATTATACTTAAGAGAAATAAAAATTATGTCCAGTTACGAGTCCCATGTCAATCCTTCTATTACTCTGTTAAAGTTTACACTACCTACTTTTTGTTTGTTTGCTTGTTTTTTCCCCAATCTTTAACATAAATTTGATGAAGCTGTAAGAGAAGGGACTATCAAGGGAATCTAGGCTAATCAGAAGGTTTTTACCCTTGGATTAAAAGCCATCTGGAAAAAAAAAAGTAGCAAGACAAAACTCCTCACTACAAGGGAAAGGTCAGCTAGACCCAGGAGGACTCCTTCAGTTTCGCAAAGAGACGTACAAGTCAAAGCTCCCCTAAGAATGAACAGTTCTCTAAAATCTGCTGTTTCAGATCACTGCAAATTAGAAACCATGCCTGTTAATGAACATTATACCAATCATATTAACAGTCTGAAAAAATGCTATAGCACAAAGACCTTCCTGACGTTTTACCTAGACGCCTGTATTTTCAGGAGCTTACTAATTAGGTGTGTTGTTTTCATTTTTAAAAGCACTGCTTTGGCCGGGCATGGTGGCTCACGTCTGTAATCCCAGCACTTTGGGAGGCTGAGGTGGATGGATTGCCTGAGCTGAGGAATTTGGGACCAGCCTGGGCAATATGGTGAAACTCCATCTCTACTAAGAATACTAAAAATTAGCCAGACATGGTGGTACACACCTGTAGTCCCAGCTAATGGGGGATGCTGAGGCAGAAGAATTGCTTGAACCCGGGAGGTGGAGGTTGCACTGAGCTGAGATCGAGCCACTGCACTCCAGCCTGGGTGACAGAGTGAGGCTCTGTCTCCAAAAAAAAAAAAAAAAAAAAAAAAAAAAAAGGGGAGGAGCCAAGATGGCCGAATAGGAACAGCTCCCGTCTACAGCTCCCAGCCCGTGAGCGACGCAGAAGACGGGTGATTTCTGCATTTCCATCTGAGGTACCGGGTTCATCTCAGTAGGGAGTGCCAGACAGTGGGCGCAGGCCAGTGGGTGCGCGTACCCTGCGCGAGCCGAAGCAGGGTGAGGCATTGCCTCACCTGGGAAGCACAAGGGGTCAGGGAGTTCCCTTTCCGAGTCAAAGAAAGGGGTGACGGACGCACCTGGACAATCGGGTCACTCCCACCTGAATATTGCGCTTTTCAGACCGGCTTAAAAAACGGTGCACCACGAGACTATATCCCACACCTGGCTCGGAGGGTCCTACGCCCACGGAGTCTCGCTGATTGCTAGCACAGCAGTCTGAGATCAAACGGCAAGGCGGCAGCGAGGCTGGGGGAGGGGCGCCCGCCATTGCCCAGGCTTGCTTAGGTAAACAAAGCAGCCGGGAAGCTCGAACTGGGTGGAGCCCACCACAGCTCAAGGAGGCCTGCCTGCCTCTGTAGGCTCCACCTCTGGGGGCAGGGCACAAACAAAAAGACAGCAGTAACCTCTGCAGACTTAAATGTCCCTGTCTGACAGCTTTGAAGAGAGCAGTGGTTCTCCCAGCACGCAGCTTGAGATCTGAGAATGGGCAGACTGCCTCCTCAAGTGGGTCCCTGACCCCTGACCCCCGAGCAGCCTAACTGGGAGGCACCCCCCAGCAGGGGCACACTGACACCTCACAAGGCAGGGTATTCCAACAGACCTGCAGCTGAGGGTCCTGTCTGTTAGAAGGAAAACTAACAAACAGAAAGGACATCCACACCAAAAACCCATCTGTACATCACCATCATCAAAGACCAAAAGTAGATAAAACCACAAAGATGGGGAAAAAACAGAACAGAAAAACTGGAAACTCTACAACGCAGAGTGCCTCTCCTCCTCCAAAGGAATGCAGTTCCTCACCAGCAACGGAACAAAGCTGGATGGAGAATGATTTTGACGAGCTGAGAGAAGAAGTCTTCAGACGATCAAATTACTCTGAGCTACGGGAGGACATTCAAACCAAAGGCAAAGAAAGTTGAAAACTTTGAAAAAAATTTAGAAGAATGTATAACTACAATAACCAATACAGAGAAGTGCTTAAAGGAGCTGATGGAGCTGAAAACCAAGGCTCGAGAACTACGTGAAGAATGCAGAAGCCTCAGGAGCTGATGCGATCAACTGGAAGAAAGGGTATCAGCAATGGAAGATGAAATGAATGAAATGAAGCAAGAAGGGAAGTTTAGAGAAAAAAGAATAAAAAGAAATGAGCAAAGCCTCCAAGAAATATGGGACTATGTGAAAAGACCAAATCTACGTCTGATTGGTGTACCTGAAAGTGATGAGGAGAATGGAACCAAGTTGGAAAACACTCTGCAGGATATTATCCAGGAGAACTTCCCCAATCTAGCAAGGCAGGCCAACGTTCAGATTCAGGAAATACAGAGAATGCCACAAAGATACTCCTCGAGAAGAGCAACTCCAAGACACATAATTGTCAGATTCACCAAAGTTGAAATGAAGGAAAAAATGTTAAGGGCAGCCAGAGAGAAAGGTCGGGTTACCCTCAAAGGGAAGCCCATCAGACTAACAGCGGATCTCTCGGCAGAAACCCTACAAGCCAGAAGAGAGTGGGGGCCAATATTCAACATTCTTAAAGAAAAGAATTTTCAACCCAGAATTTCATATCCAGCCAAACTAAGCTTCATAAGTGAAGGAGAAATAAAATACTTTACAGACAAGCAAATGCTGAGAGATTTTGTCACCACCAGGCCTGCCCTAAAAGAGCTCCTCAAGGAAGTGCTAAACATGGAAAGGAACAACCGGTACCAGCCGCTGCAAAATCATGCCAAAATGTAAAGACCATCGAGACTAGGAAGAAACTGCATCAACTAATGAGCAAAATAACCAGCTAACATCATAATGACAGGATCAAATTCACACATAACACTATTAACTTTAAATGTAAATGGACTAAATTCTCCAATTAAAAGACACAGACTGGCAAGTTGGATAAAGAGTCAAGACCCATCAGTGTGCTGTATTCAGGAAACCCATCTCATGTGCAGAGACACACATAGGCTCAAAATAAAAGGATGGAGGAAGATCTACCAAGCAAATGGAAAACAAAAAAAGGCAGGGGTTGCAATCATAGTCTCTGATAAAACAGACTTTAAACCAACAAAGATCAAAAGAGACAAAGAAGGCCATTACATAATGGTAAAGGGATCAATTCAACAAGAGGAGCTAACTATCCTAAATATATATGCACCCAATACAGGAGCACCCAGATTCATAAAGCAAGTCCTGAGTGACCTACAAAGAGACTTAGACTCCCACACATTAATAATGGGAGAATTTAACACCCCACTGTCAACATTAGACAGATCAATGAGACAGAAAGTCAACAAGGATACCCAGGAATTGAACTCAGCTCTGCACCAAGCGGACCTAATAGACATCTACAAAACTCTCCACCCCAAATCAACAGAATATACATTTTTTTCAGCACCACACCACACCTATTCCAAAACTGACCACATAGTTGGAAGTAAAGCTCTCCTCAGCCAATGTAAAAGAACAGAAATTATAACAAACTATCTCTCAGACCACAGTGCAATCAAACTAGAACTCAGGATTAAGAATCTCACTCAAAGCCGCTCAACTACATGGAAACTGAACAACCTGCTCCTGAATGACTACTGGGTACATAACGAAATGAAGGCAGAAATAAAGATGTTCTTTGAAACCAATGAGAACAAAGACACAACATACCAGAATCTCTGGGATGCATTCAAAGCAGTGTGTAGAGGGAAATTTATAGCACTAAATGCCCACAAGAGAAAGCAGGAAAGATCCAAAATTGACACCCTAACATCACAATTAAAAGAACTAGAAAAGCAAGAGCGAACACATTCAAAAGCTAGCAGAAGGCAAGAAATAACTAAAATCAGAGCAGAACTGAAAGAAATAGAGACACAAAACACCCTTCAAAAAATCAATGGATCCAGGAGCTGGTTTTTTGAAAGGATCAACAAAATTGATAGACCGCTAGCAAGACTAATAAAGAAAAAAAGAGAGAAGAATCAAATAGACACAATAAAAAATGATAAAGGGGATATCACCACCGATCCCACAGAAATACAAACTACCATCAGAGAATACTACAAACACCTCTACGCAAATAAACTAGAAAATCTAGAAGAAATGGATACATTCCTCGACACCTACACTCTCCCAAGACTAAACCAGGAAGAAGTTGAATCTCTGAATAGACCAATAACAGGAGCTGAAATTGTGGCAATAATCAATAGTTTACCAACCAAAAAGAGTCCAGGACCAGATGGATTCACAGCCGAATTCTACCAGAGGTACAAGGAGGAACTGGTACCATTCCTTCTGAAACTATTCCAATCAACAGAAAAAGAGGGAATCCTCCCTAACTCATTTTATGAGGCCAGCATCATTCTGATACCAAAGCCGGGCAGAGACACAACCAAAAAAGAGAATTTTAGACCAATATCCTTGATGAACGTTGATGCAAAAATCCTCAATAAAATACTGGCAAACCGAATCCAGCAGCACATCAAAAAGCTTATCCACCATGATCAAGTGGACTTCATCCCTGGGATGCAAGGCTGGTTCAATATACGCAAATCAATAAATGTAATCCAGCATATAAACAGAGCCAAAGACAAAAACCACATGATTATCTCAATAGATGCAGAAAAAGCCTTTGACAAAATTCAACAACCCTTCATGCTAAAAACTCTCAATAAATTAGGTATTGATGGGACGTATTTCAAAATAATAAGAGCTATCTATGACAAACCCACAGCCAATATCATACTGAATGGGCAAAAACTGGAAGCATTCCCTTTGAAAACTGTCACAGGACAGGGATGCCCTCTCTCACCACTCCTATTCAACATAGTGTTGGAAGTTCTGGCCAGGGCAATCACGCAGGAGAAGGAAATAAAGGGTATTCAATTAGGAAAAGAGGAAGTCAAATTGTCCCTGTTTGCAGATGACATGATTGTTTATCTAGAAAACCCCATCATCTCAGCCCAAAATCTCCTTAAGCTGATAAGCAACTTCAGCAAAGTCTCAGGATACAAAATCAATGTACAAAAATCACAAGCATTCTTATACACCAACAACAGACAAACAGAGAGCCAAATCATGAGTGAACTCCCATTCACAATTGCTTCAAAGAGAATAAAATACCTAGGAATCCAACTTACAAGGGATGTGAAGGACCTCTTCAAGGAGAACTACAAACCACTGCTCAAGGAAATAAAAGAGGATACAAACAAATGGAAGAACATTCCATGCTCATGGGTAGGAAGAATCAATATCGTGAAAATGGCCATACTGCCCAAGGTAATTTACAGATTCAATGCCATCCCCATCAAGCTACCAATGACTTTCTTCACAGAATTGGAAAAAACTACTTTAAAGTTCATATGGAACCAAAAAAGAGCCCGCATCGCCAAGTCAATCCTAAGCCAAAAGAACAAAGCTGGAGGCATCACACTACCTGACTTCAAACTATACTACAAGGCTACAGTAACCAAAACAGCATGGTACTGGTACCAAAACAGAGATATAGATCAATGGAACAGAACAGAGCCCTCAGAAATAACGCCGCATACCTACAACTATCTGATCTTTGACAAACCTGAGAAAAACAAGCAATGGGGAAAGGATTCCCTATTAAATAAATGGTGCTGGGAAAACTGGCTAGCCATATGTAGAAAGCTGAAACTGGATCCCTTCCTTACACCTTATACAAAAATCAATTCAAGATGGATTAAAGATTTAAACGTTAGACCTAAAACCATAAAAACCCTAGAAGAAAACCTAGGCATTACCATTCAGGACATAGGCGTGGGCAGGGACTTCATGTCCAAAACACCAAAAGCAATGGCAACAAAAGCCAAAATTGACAAATGGGATCTCATTAAACTAAAGAGCTTCTGCACAGCAAAAGAAACTACCGTCAGAGTGAACAGGCAACCTACAACATGGGAGAAAATTTTCGCAACCTACTCATCTGACAAAGGGCTAATATCCAGAATCTACAATGAACTCAAACAAATTTACAAGAAAAAAACAAACAACCCCATCAAAAAGTGGGCGAAGGACATGAACAGACACTTCTCAAAAGAAGACATTTATGCAGCCAAAAAACACATGAAAAAATGCTCATCATCACTGGCCATCAGAGAAATGCAAATCAAAAGCACTATGAGATATCATCTCACACCAGTTAGAATGGCAATCATTAAAAAGTCAGGAAACAACAGGTGCTGGAGAGGATGTGAAGAAATAGGAACACTTTTACACTGTTGGTGGGACTGTAAACTAGTTCAACCATTGTGGAAGTCAGTGTGGCGATTCCTCAGGGATCTAGAACTAGAAATACCATTTGACCCAGCCATCCCATTACTGGGTATATAACCAAATGACTATAAATCATGCTGCTATAAAGACACATGCACACGTATGTTTATTGTGGCACTATTTACAATAGCAAAGACTTGGAACCAACCCAAATGTCCAACAATGATAGACTGGATTAAGAAAATGTGGCACATATACACCATGGAATACTATGCAGCCATAAAAAATGATGAGTTCATGTCCTTTGTAGGGACATGGATGAAATTGGAAACCATCATTCTCAGTAAACTATCGCAAGAACAAAAAACCAAACACCGCATATTCTCACTCATAGGTGGGAATTGAACAATGAGATCACATGGACACAGGAAGGGGAATATCACACTCTGGGGACTGTTGTGGGGTAGGGGGAGGGGGGAGGGATAGCATTGGGAGATATACCTAATGCTAGATGACGAGTTAGTGGGTGCAGCGCACCAGCATGGCACATGTATACATATGTAACTAACCTGCACAATGTGCACATGTACCCTAAAACTTAAAGTATAAAAAAAAAAAAGCACTGCTTTGTTTATACACATACATGTACTCACACATAACAGACAGATTAAAACCTGAATAAAATCAATCCATCAACAGTAGAGAATCTACCTCCGTCACTTCCCCTACCTCCAATTTCATTCACTCATTCATTCATATACATTGTGAATTCACCTATTAACTACTATCTATTAAGTGTCTGCTAAGAGAAAGGACTTACTGGGCTTTATGGAGAATACAAGGACATGGTCTCTGCCTTCAAGAAGTTTAGTGGAGACTGACTGCATCCAAGATGGCCAAATAGGAATGGCTCTGGTCTATAGCTCCCAGGGAGATTGATGCAGAAGACAGGGGATTTCTGCATTTCCAACTGAGGTACCTGGTTCATCTCACTGGGACTGGCTGGACAGTGGGTGCACCTCACGGAAGGCAAGCTGAAGCAGGGCAGGTTGTCACCTCACCTGGGAAGTGCAAGGGGTTGGGGGATTTCCCTTTCCTAGCCAAGGGAAGCCATGAGTGACTGTACCTGGAGAAGAGGTACACTCCTGCCCAAATACTGTGCTTTCCCCATGGTCTTCACAACCGGCAGAGCAGGAGATCCCCTCCTGTGCCTGGGCTTGGTTGGTCTCATGCCCACGGAGCCTTGCTCACTGTTAGCGCAGCAGTCTGAGATCAACCTGGGATGGTGGAGTGTGGCAGAGGCAGGGGCATCCACAATTGCTGAGGCTTGAGGAGGCAGTTCCATGTTCACAGTGTAAACAAAGCGGCAGGGAAGCTCGAACTCGGCAGAGCCCACCGCAGCTCAGCAAAGCTTACTGCCTTTCTAGATTCTACCTCTGGGGGCAAGGCAGCAGAGAGCTTCTCCAGACTTAAACGTCACTGCCTGACAACTCTGAAGAGAGCAGTGGTTCTCCCAGCACGGTGTTCAAGCTCTGATAATGGACAGACTGCCTCCTCAAGTAGGTCCCTGACCCCCGTGTAGCCTGACTGGGAGACACCTCCCAGTAGTGGCCGACAAACACCTCATACAGGCAGGTGCCCCTCTGGGACGAAGCTTCCAGAGGAAGGATCGGGCAGCAATATTTGCTATTCTGCAGCCTCCATTGGTGATACCCAGGCAAAAAGGGTCTGGAGTGGACTTCCAGCATACTCCAACAGACCTGCAGCTGACAGGCCTGTCTGTTAGAATGACAACTAACAAACAGAAAGGAATAGCATCAACGTCAACAAAAAGGACATCCAGACCAAAACCTCATCCATAGGTCACCAACATCAAAGACCAAAGGTAGATAAAACCACAAAAAGATGGGGAGAAACCAGAGCAGAAAGGCTGAAAATTCCAAAAACCAGAATGCCTCTTCTCCTCCAAAGGAACACAACTCCTTGCCAGCAAGGGAACAAAACTGGATGGAGAATGAGTTTGACGAGTTGACAGAAGTAGGCTTCAGAAAGTCAGTAATAACAAACCTCTCCAAGCTAAAGGAGTGTGTTCTAACCCATTGCGAGGAAGCTGAAAACCTTGAAAAAAGGTTAGATGAATGGCTAACTAGAACAATCAGTGTAGAGAAGAGCTTAAATGACCTGATGTAACTGAAAACCACAGTACGAGAACTTCGTGAAGCATACACAAGCTTCAATAGCCAATTCGATCAAGCGGAAGAAAGGATATCAGTGATTGAAGATCAAAGTAATGAAATAAATCAAGAAGACAAGATTAGAGAAAAAAGAGTGAAAAGAAATGAACAAAGCCTCCAAGAAATATGCGACTACGTGAAAAGACCAAATCTACGTTTGATTGATGTACCTGAAAGTGATGAGGAGAATGGAACCAAGTTAGGAAACACTCTTCAGGATATTATCCAGGAGAACTTCCCCAACCTAGCAAGGCAGGCCAACATTCAAATTCAGGAAATACAGAGAACACCACAAAGATACTCCTCGAGAAGAGCAACCTCGAGACATGTAATTGTCAGATTCACCAAGGTTGAAATGACGGAAAAAGTGTTAAGGGCAGCCAGAGAGAAAGCTCGGGTTACCCACAAAGGGAACCCCATTAGACTAACAGCAGATCTCTCTGCAGAAACCCTACAAGCCAGAAGAGAGTAGGCGCCAATATTCAACATTCTTAAAGAAAAGAATTTTCAACCCAGAATTTCATATCCAGCCAAACTAAGCTTCATAAGTGAAGGAGAAATAAAATCCTTTACAGACAAACAAATGCTGAGACATTTTGTCACCACCAGGCCTGCCTTACAAGAGCTCCTGAAGGAAGCACTAAACATGGAAAGGAACAACCGGTACCAGCCGCTGCAAAAACATGCCAAATTGTAAAGACCATCGATGCTATGAAGAAACTGCATCAATTAACAGGTGAAATAACCAGCAAGCATCATAATGACAGGATCAAATTCACACATAACAATATTAACCTTAAATGTAAATGGGCTAAATGCCCCAATTAAAAGACACAGACTGGCAAATTGGATAAAGAGTCAAGACCCATCAGTGTGCTGTATTCAGGAAACCCATCTCACATGCAGAGACACACATAGGCTCAAAATAAAGGGATGGAGGAAGATCTACCAAGCAAATGGAAAGCAAAAAAAAAAAAAAAAGCAGGGGTTGCAATCCTGGTCTCTGATAAAGCAGACTTTAAACCAACAAAAATCAAAAGAGACTAAGAAGACCATTACATAATGGTAAAGGGGTTAATTCAACAAGAAGAGCTAACTATCCTAAATATGTATGCACCCAATACAGGAGCACCCAGATTCATAAAGCAAGTTCTTAGAGACCTACAAAGAGACTTAAGCTCCCAAAAAATAATAATGGGAGACTTTAACACCCCACTGTCAATATTAGACAGATCAACAAGACAGAAACTTAACAAGGATATCCAGGACTTGAACTCAGCTCTGGACCAAATGGACCTAATAGACATCTACAGAACTCTCCACCCCAAATCAACAGAATATACATTTTTCTCAGCACCACATCGCACTTATTCTAAAATTGACCCATAATTGGAAGTAAAAGACTCCTCAGCAAATGTAAAAGAACAGAAATCACAACAAACTGTCTCTCAGACCACAGCACAATCAAATTAGAACTCAGGATTAAGAAACTCACTCAAAACCACACAACTCATGGAAACTGAACCACCTGCTCCTGAATGACTATGGGGTAAATAATGAAATGAAGGCAGAAATAAAGATGTTCTTTGAAACCAATGAGAACATAGACACAACATACCAGAATCTCTGGGACACATTTAAAGCAGTGTGTAGAGGGAAATTTATAGCACTAAATGCCCACAAGAGAAAGCAGGAGAGATCTAAAATCGACACCCTAACATCACAATTAAAAGAACTAGAGAAGCAAGAGCAAACACATTCAAAAGCTAGAAGAAATAACTAAGATCAGAGCAGAACTGAAGGAGATAGAGACACAAAAACCTGTCAAAAAAATCAATAAATCCAGGAGCTGGTATTCTGAAGAGATCAACAAAATACATAGACCACTAGGAAGACTAATACGAAGAAAAGAGAGAAGAATCAAATAGATGCAATAAAAAATGATAAAGGGGACATCACCACCGATCCCACAGAAATACAAACTACCATCAGAGTATATTATAAACACCTCTATGTAATAAACTAGAAAATCTAGAAGAGATGGATAAATTCCTGGACACATACACCCTCCCAAGACTAAACCAGGAAGAAGTTGAATCTCTGAATAGACCAATAACAGGTTTTGAAATTAAGGCAATAATTAATAGCCTACCAACCAAAAAAAGTCCAGGACCAGACGGATTCACAGCCAAATTCTACCAGAGGTACAAAGAGGAGCTGATACCATTCCTTCTGAAACTATTCCAATCAATAGAAAAACAGGGAATCCTCCCTAACTCATTTTATGAGGCCAGCATCATCCTGATACCAAATCTGGCAGAGATACAATAAAAAAAGAGAATTTTAGGCCAATATCCCTGATGAACATTGATGCGAAAATCCTCAATAAAATACTGGCAAACCAAATCCAGCAGCACGTCAAAAAGCTTTTCCACCACGATCAAGTCGGCTTCATCCCTGAGATGCAAGGCTGGTTCAACATATGCAAATCAATAAACATAACCCATCACATAAACAGATCCAATGACAAAAACCACATGATTATCTCAATAGATGCAGAAAAGGCCTTTGACAAAATTCAACAGCCTTTCATGCTGAAAACTCTCAATAAACCAGGTATCGATGGAACATACCTCAAAATAATAAGAGCTATTTATGACAAACCCACAGCCAATATCATACTGAATGGGCAAAAACTGGAAGCATTCCCTTTGAAAACTGGCACAAGACAAGGATGCCCTCTCTCACCACTCCTATTCAACATAGTGTTGGAAGTTCTGGCCAGGGCAATCAGGCAAGAGAACCCAATAAAGTATACTCAGATAGGAAGAGAGGAAGTCAAATTGTCTTTCATTGCAGATGACATGATTGTGTATTTAGAAAACCCCATCGTCTCAGCCCAAAATCTCCTTAAGCTGATAAGCAACTTCAGCAAAGTCTTGGGATACAAAATCAATATGCAAAAATCACAAGCATTCCTATACACCAATAACAGACAAACAGAGAGCAAAATCATGAGTGAACTCCCATTCACAATTGCTTCAAAGAGAATAAAATACCTAGGAATCCAACTTACAAGGGATGTGAAGGACCTCCTCAAGGAGAACTACAAACTACTGCTCAAGGAAATAAGAGGGGACACAAACAAATGGAAAAACATTCCATGCTCATGGATAAGAAGAATCAATATCAGGAAAATGGTCTTACTGCCAAAAGTAATTTATAGATTCAATGCTATCCCCATCAAGCTACCACTGACTTACTTCACAGAACCAGAGAAAACTACTTTAAAGTTCATATGGAACCAAAAAAGAGCCCACATACCCAAGACAATCCTGGGCAAGAAGAACAAAGCTGGAGGCATCAGGCTACCTGACTTCAAACTATACTACAAGGCCACAGTAACCAAAACAGCATGGTACTGGTACCAAAACAGATATATAGACCAATGGAACAGAACAGAGGCCTCAGAAATAACACCACACATCTACCACCATCTGATCTTTGATAAACCTGACACACACAAGCAATGGGGAAAAAATTCCCTATTTAATAAATGGTGTTGGGAAAACTGGCTAGCCATATGCACAAAACTGAAACTGGACCCCTTCCTTACACCTTATACAAAAATCAACTCAAGATGGATGAAAGACCTAAACATAAGACCTAGGATCATAAAAATCCTAGAAGAAAACCTAGGCAATACCATTCAGGACATAGACATGGGCAGACTTCATGTCTAAAACACCAAAAGCAATGGCAACAAAAGCCAAAATTGACAAATGGGATCTAATTAAACTAAAGAGCTTCTGTACAGCAAAAGAAACTATCATCAGAGTGAACAGGCAAACTACAGAATGGGAGAAAATTTTTGCAATCTATCCATCTGACAAAGGGCTAATATCCAGAATCTACAACGGACTTAAACAAATTTACAAGAAAAAAGCAAACAACCCCCATCAAAAAATGGGCAAGGGATATGAACAGACACTTCTCAAAAGAAGACATTTATGCAGCCAACAGACATATGAAAAAATGCTCATCATCACTAGTCATTAGTGAAATGCAAATCAAACCACAATGAGATACCATCTCATGCCAGTTAGAATGGCGATCATTAAAAAGTCAGGAAACAACAGACGCTGGAGAGGTTATAGAAAAATAGGAACACTTTTACACTGTTGGTGGGAGTGTAAATTAGTTCAGTCATTGTGGAAGACAGTGTGGCGATTCCTCAAGGATCTAGAACCAGAAATACCATTTGACCCAGCAATCCCATATACCCAAAGGATTACAAATCATTCTACTATAAAGACACATGCACACGTATGTTTATTGTGGCACTATTCACAATAGTAAAGACTTGGAACCAACCCAAATGTCCATCAATGATAGACTGGGTTAAGAAAATGTGGCACATATACAGTATGGAATACTATGCAGCCATAAAAAAGGATGAGTTCATGTCCTTTGCAGGGACGTGGATGAAGCTGGAAACCATCATTCTCAGCAAACTATCACAAGATCAGAAAACCAAACACTGCATGTTCTCACTCATAAGTCGGAGTTGAACAATGAGAACACTTGGACACAGGGAGGGGAACATCACACACCGAGGCCTGCCTGGGGTGGGAGGCTAGGGGAGGGATAACATTAGGAGAAATACCTAATGTAGGTGATGGGTTGATGGGTGTACAAACCACCACGGCACGTGTATACCTATGTAACAAAACTGCACGTTCTGCACATGTAATCCAGAACTTAAAGTTAACAAAAAAAAAGTTTAGTGGAATTAGAGCACATTGCATAGCCACTGAAATATCTGCAAGTCTGCAACTCTTTGCATAATACCCTGATGGGATAAAGACATAAGGATTTGGGGTACCTTAGTCTTGTAAACTGATTCAGAAGGGGGATATTCTCTTATGGTGTACATTCTTGTGAAGCTTCCAGTGTCAATATTTTACAAGAAGAATATCAACTTTGCTCTTGTCCAAGTAGGAGGCCAAGTAAGATAGAGACTACAAATGAGGTTAAGGTTACCCCACAATGACCTAGCGAATAAGGTTAAGGTTACCCCATAATTGACTCAGCAACTGTCAAGACCAAGATAAAAGGGGAAACAGTTTCAATATACAGAATTTGATTTTTTACTGGCAAGCCATATAAAACATTAGAAACTCAAGATACTTTTAAAAACACTCAAAGGGCATTAAGGGTTAGTATCTCAGGGAACTATATAAATTACAGGTGTCAAATTCACATTAACAGATGGAACCAATCATTTCTTAAAAATATTGGCAGGCTAAAATAATCTTGCCTCTGTCAACAGAACTAAAAATGATTTTGATGAAAGAGTATCTTAGTCTGACATAGTTTCACTGGCAGAATGACAACTAAGGCTGGGTATACCTGACCAAGAAAACCGTAACATGGATATACTCGCTTGGCAAAGAAACTTAAAATCAGCAGAAACACAATGTGCAGTTATCTTCAAACCAATTAAAAATAAGAAGATATCACACTAGTAATTTATAAGCAAATGTGAGAGTCAAGGTAGAAAAGTAGAAGTGATACATCTTAAGTATATATCAAAAAAAAAGATGGTCAATGTTAATGATCATTGCTGCTACTTCTTGAGCACTTACTATGTGTGCCAGGCACACTGCTAACTGCTTAACAGTCAGTGTGGCCTAGTAATTAAGAGCTAGGTCTCTGGAGCCAAGCTGCCAAGGTTCAAATGTCAGTTCTCCCATTAATTGTGTGACCTTGGGCAAGCTATTAATCTTTCTATGCCTCTGTTTCCTTATCTATAAAATATGGATAATGATGCCACCTCCCTCCAGAATTGTGTGAGAATCAAATGAGTCAGCACCTGTAAAGTGATGAGAACGCAGCCAGGCACACAGTTAGTGCTACAAAAGTGTTAGCTGTTGTTCTTCTTAAAGCTAAGCGGCAGGCAGAGCTAAAATTAACAGTGATACAGTGCGTGTTTCTTGAAAATAAACAAAACTACAAATAGATGAAAACTGTGCAGTAACCATCAAAGGAATGAGTGAGGCTTGCCAATGGGATTAGATGTAAGACACACACAAAGCACCGCCCTGGGGTCAGGAGACCCAGGTTCTAACACCAGCTCAGCAACCAAGTAGCTGTGTATCCTTGACTGGCCACTGAAAATGCGGGGTCTGAACTTCCTCATCTGTAAACAAGGGGACGGATAACTCTGAGGTGTCTTCTAGTGCTAACATCTGACACTATGACTCAACAGAACATATAGTAGTTTAAAGATGTATCTTTCAGAAAAAAAAAAAGGTACTACTATTTATTTTTTGAACAGCTACATGTATCTCAATAGGCACATCACCTAGACTGTATCTATAATTATAATTCTGGGCATAGCAACTGCAGGAGAATGAAACAGACAGCATAGAGGAGCAAGTCTACCATGTATTTTTAAATGCCATTAAATATAAACAGGTTAATCTAAGAAATAAAACAAGATTAATTTTTATAACAATGTAATACTTTTCCAAAGTAAATTTTTTAAATGGGGGAATTTTATTTAAGTGGTTAACAAATACATTCATATATTGTTTTATAATCAAGTTGAGAAATGATACAGTTTACCTTTTTGCCCATGACGACTGCTGAATTTGTCTCCAATTTCTGGACGCCTTGTCTGTCTCAGCAGCATTTTGATCAGAAAAGCATCTTCAGCATTTGAAGATATCATCACTTTTTCAATATATGAGTCTGTTGCTCCTTTGTAGCTGGTGTTAAGAGAAAGTCACTAAAACAGAGTTTTCAAACTGCCCTTTGTGAACTTCTCACCCATGTTATATTTCATTTCATGCCTACCATAGAGTATTCTGACATTTTCATCTTGGGCTCTGAAAAATGACTTCAATTTTTTTAACATTAAATTCAAATTTCACAATTTCCCTTTTACAATGCTACACGTTTATTATGAGGAAGGCACAGTGCAATTTAATCCTCACAACAGTCCATACTGTTATTCCCTTATTATAGATGAGGAAAACTGATGCTTAGAGGGGTTAAGTAACTTGTCCAAGGGCACATGACTCACACAAAGTGGAACTGGGATTTCAGACTCAACTCCTAGTTCTTAATAGTAATAGCACTTTTACTTACTCAGCTTTTCAATTATTAATTTTTTTCACATAACAAACATTATTAGAAATCTACCAGGTATCAGATCCTGGTAGCCTTCGGACACATAACAATTAAGTAGACAGTTACTGCACCAAAGGAGCTCACAATCCAATCAAGGAGGAGACAGGTAAGTGCAGTAATGGTATCTGGTATGAAGAACAGGAGAGGCTCAAAGGAGATAGTCAATTCTGCTGGGGGTGGGGGATGACAGTGGTGGCAGGAAGTGGCAAGCTGTCAAGCCCTGCCACAGAAGAGGTAAACCTCAACTTGAGACCTGACCAGAGTGGGTCACTGACAGAGTGGCAACCTGAGCGAAGGCCTAATTGAATTAGGATGGCACATTTTGGAGAATAAGAGGTGATTTCCTAGAAACATAGGGCTTAGTGTGCAAGAGGGGCCTATGAGGCCAGGGAGGTGTGCTAAGGACACCTTTCCCACAGGCACCACTGTCGTTCACACTTTTACTTAACTTACTCAAGTTTCACTCTATTTATCCAAGAGAGTAACATGGCCAGAGTAGTTTAGAAAATCACCCAGCCGGGCACGGTGGCTCATGCCTGTAATCCCAGCACTTTGGGAGGTCAAGGCAGGCGGATCATGAGGTCAGGAGTTCGAGACCAGCCTAACATGTGAAACCCATCTCTACTAAAGATACAAAAATTAGCCGGGCATAGTGGCATGCCCCTGTAATCACAGCTATTCAGGAGGCTAAGGCAAGAGAATCGCTTGAATCCAGGAGGTGGAGGTTGCAGTGAGCCAAGATCGTGCCACTGCACTCCAGCCTGGGCAATAGAGCGAGACTCCGTCTCAAAAAGAAAAAATCACCCTAGCAGTGATGCAGAGAGACCCTGAGTGGTACCAGCCTGGAGGCAGATGGACAGTTAACAAGAACTCCAGGCAGAGCAGAGGGCCACAGTGCAGACACTGTAGCATGAAGCAGGAGGAGGGAGAGAAGAGAGCTGCTAAGATGACAGGAACGACAGGATTGGTGTGTGTGGCAGGTAAAGGAAAGGAGTCAGGTTGTGCTGGTGACTGGCTGGCTGCTGGCAGCTGATGCCATTTACCAAGACAGGGATCCAGGAGGAGGAGCCTGTTTGGGACCACTGTAAAGCTGTCCAAGTGCTGATATGAAGCTGACACTGGGCAGATGTCTATATGGGAGTCATCAGCAAAAACAGGGTGACTGGAGTGCTGAGAACTGGGGAGCTTGTCCAGATGAGGTTCAAGAGTCATCTTGGCCAGGGTGAAGTCATCACAAGGCCAGGCAGGATGGGAGGCTAAGAGTGAGTGATTAGACTGATAGGGAGGGCCAGGCGAGAGCAGTGTCACAACATCAAGGGAAGAGAGAGGTCAGTGGTGTCAAATGCTATAGAAGGGTCATATGAAATTCATTCATTCACATAACTATTTACTGAATACCCACTATGTGCCAGGTACTATGCCAGAGACTAGGGGGTACAAGGTGAAAAAGAAACAAAGTCCCAGTCTGCAAGAAGATTCCGATCAAAGAGTCTGTCTGATTTGGCAAGTTCGACTATACATGGGTTTTGCTTTTTTACTTCTTGTCTTCCTGCACTGGGGTGTGATTCCCACAAAGACAGGGACTGCTGGTTTTCCTCCCTGCACTATCCCATGTGCCTGGAATAGTTCCTGGCATACTGTTAGTGCTCAAAAAGTATTTTTTAAGGGCTGGGCACGGTGGCTTATGACTCCCAGCACTTTGGGAGGCCAAGGTGGGCAGATCATGAGGTGAAGAGTTCGAGACTAGTCTGGACAACATATTGTATTTTTTGTTTTTGTAAAAATACAAAAAATTAGCTGAGTGTGGTGGTGTGTGCCTGTAGTCCCAGCTACTCGGGAGGCTGAGGCAGGAGAATCACTTGAACTGGGAGGTGGAGGCTGCAGTGAGCCGAGATCGTGCTATTGCACTCTAGCCTGGATGACAGTGCGAGACTCCATCTCAATAAAAAAAAAAAGTATTTCTTGAATGAAACAAACACATAGGATGTCTTTGGTGACCTCTTCTGGAGCTGTTTCAGGAGAATGAGGAGGTAGGTAAGAGGCCAGTTCCGAGGGTTAGGGAGCAAGCGGAAGGTAACAAAGTAGAAATGGAGACGACAAGATGATTGCTCTGAGGAGCTTCGTAGTGAAAGGAAGAGGAATACAGTGGCAGCTAGAAAGGGACACAAAGACCAGGAAAAACTTTCATTTTCCTTTAAAGGTAAAAAGTATCTGAGCACATTTTCTAGCCTGTGGAGAAGGAATCAATAGGAAACAGGTTGAAAATATGGGAGGATAAAAGAGAAGATGACAGAAAAAGGTCTCTGAAAAGAGTGAATGAAATTAAGAAACCAAAAGGAGAGATGAACTTCGCACAGAAAAAGAGATATCCTCCTTCAAGACGGGAAGAGAGCCAACCAGCAGAGGCACCTCTGTAACTGCAAAATAGCTTTTCATACTGTAGAAGTCAGTGTAGAGTCTGGACCCATCCCCTAAGCAGAGCTGCCCATCTTCTCTTTGGTGCTCCTCCTCCAGAGACAAATCCGTGGCACCCACAATGCTTTGCTGGGTTTAGCACAGTGGTCAAGAGAAGCGCTCTGAAGCCAGATTGCATGACTTCAAATCCTGGTGCTGCCCTTTATTGCTGTGTGACCTTGGTAAGTTACTTAACTTCTCCTTGCTTCCATCTTATCTTTCTAATGAGCCACTAAGAGAACATAGCTCCTGGGATGCTGGTAGGATTAACTGAGCTAACACATGTAAAATGTCCAGAACAGTAACTGGTACAGTGTAAATTCCCAATATGCTATTATGATCATGGTCATTATTGCACTTTTTTTGTGTGGGGGTCTTTGCCAACTAAATATGACTCATTGCAGGCAACGCTTGTGGCTTATTTCAGCTCTATATCGCTGGCACAAGAGGCAGGATGGTTGGCACATGGCAGGCCTCAGCTACTGTGTATTGAATACATTTGTAAAACTGCCATCACAACTCAAGAATCCAGTTCTCCTATGTCACCCTCACTGCCACCTCCTAAACTCAGCCTAGTTCACCTTGGCTAGGTTAGATATCTCTTCTAGTTTGGTTTTTATATCACAATGTGGTGACTATCATTGGCCCTTCTCACTAGGTTCATATTTTATTAAATTTTAGAGCTTAGAAGAAATTTAGAGATTAACAAGTCTAACTCTTTCATTGTATTATACAAATGAAAAAACTGAAGCTAACAGAATTTAAATGCTTTACTCATGTAAGATACACAAAACAACGTCTACTAGAGCTGGGCTATGTTCTAGTATACTGTGATGCCATGCTGTGGCCAGTGTGTTTTACTGTTTAAAAATATGACTCTTATCATGTCACTCTCTGCAGTATCAATTCCCAACTCTTTCACAACCTAGCCCCAGCAAGCTACACTGATCCTCCAAAACCCAGGCACTTTTATGCCATGTGCCCTTCATCCTGTTGTTAATTCCACCAGGAACCCCTGCCTATGTGGTCCACACCTCAAACCCAGTTTAGGGCCTATATGATTCCATAGACTAGCTTTATCTTCTATGCCATGCTTTTTCCATGACAAGTAATGCTACCCCAAATTGCTATTTCTAGTTCTCCAACACGCCAAGACCTAACTTCGAATTTCTCCCATTTCTTCTCTTTTTCTAACCTTTCTACATATTACCAGGGCACAACCAATACATACGTTATGGGTACATCTTTGTACTGTGGTTGCTGTGGTACATTACTTCCTTCCAAAGGAATCTGAGTCACTGTGGGCATGGACTTATTTACAAGCACTTGTTTGTTTTCTACTTTCTCACCTGAGAAAAAAAGAAAAGTGTTAGGCACATCGTTATCATCTGTGTGGAATACAAAGATTACGAACTAGGCAAAGATGCACAGGCCTGCAGTCCCAACAACTCAGGAGGCTGCGGTAGGAGGACTGCTTGAACCTAGGTTGAGGCTGCAGTGAGCTATGGTCATGCCACTGCACTCCAGCCTGTGCAACAGAGTGAGACTCACACACCCACACACACACACACACATCATAGTCTATATAAAATTAAGAAAATAATTCAGAGTACTACATGAACATGAGAAACATCATCTCAGTAAATAGCAATTTTATATATCTCTTAGGGTGTTAAGTTTTGGTCACTTATTTTTATTTATAGTTATTTCAACCAGTAATAAGCCACCACCAATTTAACTTGGGCAACAAGGAAATCAAAATATTTCTTTGGTTATGCTGTTATTCCCATTTTTGCTTTGTATCTCTTCCTGGTAAGTTCAAAGACCAACTACCTGTAGTACTGTCACAGCGCGTATTTTCCAAGCCATACTGACCAGTGTTAGGGTGAGAAAAATTCTCCAAGAAACAAAGGCAGAGGGAGGGAGGAGAAGTCGCGTACTCTGTGTCTCTTTGGAACCACAGCTTGATAAAGCATTCACCGCCCACAGGCCAACCATGACAAAGTCATGTGGATTTCCCTCCTCACAAACTGGGTTCTCTCCACCTTCACCACAGCTCCTGGTACCAGGTCTACCTTCTATTTTAGTGCCCTTCTAATCCTTTTTCTACACTGTAGTCAGAATGATCATTCAAAACACATATCTGAATATATCATTGCTTTTAGGATCATAATGAAAATAGTATCATGGGCTCGGCATGGTGGCTCAAGCACTTTGGGAAGCCGAGGTGGGTGGAGAACTTGAGCCCAGGAGTTCAAGACAAGCCTGGACAAGATGGTAAGACCTCATCTCTACAAAAAATACAAAAAACTATCCAGGCATGGTGGCACGTGCCTATGGGTCCCAGCTATACAGGAGGTTGAAGTGGGAGAATCACTTGAGTCTGGGAGGCAGAGGTTGCAGTGAGCTGAGATTGTGCCACTGCACTCCAGCCTCAGTGACAGACTGAGACCCTGTCTCAAAAATAAAATTAATAAAATAAAATAAAGACAATACTAACATGGTTGCAAGGACTTGCTTACTCTGGCCCCTACCCCTTGCGTCACCCACCAACTCATGTGCACCATGCTTCCCTGCACTCTCTTCTTGTTAGCCACGCTGGTCTTCTTTCAGACCTTTCAACTACCAAGCTCTGGGACCCTTGCACAAGCTTTTCTCATTACTTAGAACATGCTCCCTGATCCTCTTCTTTAGTTAACTCTTCCCTATCCTTCAGATTCCAGCTCACTTCCTCGGGAAAGCCATGCTGATCTTCCCAACAAGGTCAAATTCTCTTGCTATAAAATGGCCTCATAGTTACCTATATGATTCCTTAACCTGGATTTATGCATGATCCTCTGATCAATGTCAGTCTCCTGCACTAGCCTGTGAGACCCATAAGGGCAAGGGCTATTTGTTTCATCAACAAAATGCATTACAAGTTTGTAATTATAATGGAGTCATACCTTTGCAGGGGGATAAAATTCTAAAGTAGTCTGTAAGCTAAATGTGTAAATGAAGAAATACCAGTGCAGATGCAGGGACATAAACTACTCTAAATATTTCCTTAAAGTGGCTTTTCTATTATTCAAAATTATAACTAGAAAATTATAGTTAGCATAGATTACTGATAGGTAAAAACATAGTGTATAGAAAAACAGACTGGAAGGAAATTCATCAAAAATGACCTCATTGGTTGAGTTTGGATGGTGGTTTTATAGGTTGTTACTTTTTTCTGCCCTTTTTGCCAAATATTCAGAAATATTATTGAATAACATATGATGTCAAAAAGTATTAAAATTTTTTCTTTTAAAAGGCTTTTACCTGGAGAACAAATACCATCTGCATCTAAGATTTCATGTCGCCAGATAGGTTTCCTTGTAGCAGCATCCAACATGGGCCCCATCACTTTATCAAAAGTCTGATTGGTGTATCGTTTCAACGTACATTTAGCATTTTTATATACAAGGCAACGCCCAAAGCCTAAAATGAAACCAAGATGGGCATTAGAACCACCAGTAACCCAAAGCTATAAGGAAATATGGATTTGTGCTACTCAACAATCCACTCCACCTCACCCTCCCCCAAATCCCAAAACTTCTCTGTATTTGATAATAATCTGGGACCAGTACAAACCAAATAAAAATCTGATAATCTGAAGAAGCAGCACAGGACTTGTCCCCTACCTACTGTCTGTGTAAACACTGGAATCTCTACAACCATTTTCTGCATGGAATACACCTTGTCATACTGGAGAACGGTGAGAGAAATCTAAGACTGGCGCTGTGATTCTTTCAGAGGACAGAGCCATAGAATATTAGAATTGGAAAGGCCCTTAGAAATCACCTGCTTAACCTATCTGTTTTACAGGCACTAGGAGTGAGGTCTAGAGAAATTAAGTGGCCAAGGTCATCCAAAAAGTTGGCAGCAGAGTTGAGAATTGTGTTGAACAGCACAAGTCCACTGACTCCTGAGCCAGGATACACATCCTTTTGGTGCATAACTTCTGCTAAACTTCCCTGGAAAGTTTTCCTTTTTAAAATTTGGCATTTAGAGCAAGTTCTAAGCCAACAAGTAAAAACAATAATTTTTCTCCAGAGAAGAGACAGAATGAAAAAAGAAATAATCAAATTATTTCAATGGGAAAAATAGTTCTCCTCTGCCCTAAAGATTGGAGTTTAATTACATTTTTAGATTGCATTTATCTAGTGGATGAGGGAAAGGCTGTGAAATCAACTAACAATCTAAACATCAAGAAAAATAAGCTGTCTAGCAATGGATCAGAAAAGAAAAGGAAGAAAAATAAGCAAAAAGGACAGAAGAAAAACCTTTGGGTGGGGCAAAAAAACTCAACCACTGAATCCCTAAAAGAAAAAATCCATGAGTTGTAGAGTTACCCAAAACAGCTGTCATTCCTTCAACACTATAATTTCCTGATTCTGTGGCTGCATTTCTTTCTTTTTTCCCTTTGGCCAAGCAGTTATTTTAAACTGGATTCTCTTACTAATCTCCTCAGGATATACTGAGCCATGCCAGAGTTCACTTAAATAAGAAATGTCTCAGGATTAAATGCCGCTTATTACTGATGAAATAAATGCATGGCAGTAAAATCCTTCACTTAACAATTTTCCACCAAAAACAGAAATCTAAGAATGTGACTTTAGAAATCAATCAGGTAAAAGTGGATTTATAAATAAAATCTCAGGGCTGTAATGTAATTTTTTAAATATGAAGGTGACTGTGAGATGAAGTAACGAATTTCTAAAATTGGACGTCAGATGAAGACATTTGTGTCTTTAAGCAAGGCCGTAGTCATCATGGCTCCTAGGAAATTGTGTATGGCCATAATAAACTCGGCTCAGAATGCCAGCTGGTTTGGAAACATTACATGATCTTGAAATTTCATACAGTAGCCATTAACTGCAACATGCTGGAGTGCAATGTGAATCTTAACTGCATGAAATCAAGAAGTGTTTTCTTCAAAGTGTAAACAGACATTTTATTTACAGGTGATAGCTTAAAAGCTAGGGGATAGTAAACTCAGATCACTGAATTGGGTTGCAGAGTTTCTGACAGACATCACAAAGTCTTCAGATTTCCACATAAACGTTACCAGTTAATCAGAAAGGAAAACATCTAGTTTTAAAGCATGGCTGTTGTCATTTGGAGGAAAAAAAGAGGCATAAATTAAGTGTGGCCAACATTAATGCCAAAGACACATGTCTAGGAGTACTATTATGGCTGCCTAGCAACTACAAAGAGGGAAGGGGAAGGCATAGTGGGTACGCCAGGAAGGAAAAAGAGAAATCGAGATTATGAATAGAGAAGTCAGACTTCAGATCAGGTGATGTCTAACAAACCACGAGGTGGTGACTTGTGAAAGTATTGTCAAAAACAGAAAGAAAAGCAGAAAAACTCCACGCCAGAGTTTGTGGCCGTGTATTTTTAACTTTCGTCACTTGGCCAAAGAAGTTACCAAATTATGAGGTTACACAAATAAGAAACAGCCTTTTACATCCAAATATTGCTACTGCCCTCTCAAACAGGTTTGTTGTTAATAATATGTATCACTAGACACAGTGAAAACACATATTTCATATACTGTAATTCCTGCTGGAAAACAAACACATTCTTACATTTTTTTTCTTTTTGAAGGATTGTCTCACGTAACCAATAAAATAATAAAGGAGAAAAATATTCTGTAGTAGTATGTTTAACAAATTATTTCAATATACTAGTCATTAAAAATGACAAGAAAGCCAACATCAAAACCCAACCACCTCCTGTTTCTATATCATAAAATTCAAATAACTTAAAACTGACATTAACCAAGTGATTTTTACATTAATCATCCCTATATCTAATTCTGCAAAAAGCAACTTTGGTGTTAGTTTTGAAAATTCACTTACCTCTGTCTAAAGAGGCCTTGTTTAAAACAAGAGCATCTTCAATATCATAGCCACTATAGCTCATCACAGCAACTGTTGCATTCTGTCCAGCTGGCAGTTTCTCAAATTCTATCAATTCAATGGTTTTTGTCTTAACCATGGGTTTTTGTGGATATGCTAGTAGATACATGAGAGTATCAATTCTGTTTCGCTGGTTGTATCCTATAGTACCTGCATTGATATGGGAGAAAACAAAATACAACATTCTATTATGTGAAATAATAAGGTAGTAATGAATATAGAGATAAATACATTAACATCACTAATTAAAATGAACAAAATCTTCAGGTTCAACATTTCAAAAGCAATACTCTCATGGTGGCTTAACAACTTGCAAAAGCAACTTTTCTCACTAATATTTAAAGTTCTACAAAGAAGGAAAAATATAAAGTATATTTTAATCTAAATAATTTAGACTTTTTGGATTTACATTATCCCATTTGAGGGATTTAGTTTCCACTGGTTAATTTCACAATCAACAATTCTTTATTTGGTTCTACCGTGTTCCAGGCCTGCTGGGGAGAGGTAATGTAAGAACAACGCCCAGTGTTCACATCCGAGGAGCTTATAAAATGGATAAACAGGTATATTCCATAAAAAGAAATAATTGCAAAAGTTCTAAATGAAAAAGAATACAGGAGAGAAGGGAAGAAAAAGAATGAACAAAGAGGAATTCAAGTGAGAGCAAGGAAGAGTGGATTATGCATTTATTTGATGATTCATGTATTAAGCAGTTAATAAACATCTACTCTGTGCCAAAAACTGGAGATAAAATGAGAAAAGGCTTGGCCCCTTCCTTAAGAAATCTAGGGTACAGCCCAATCAGGGGTGGGCTCTTCCCTCCTTAGCAATCAGTCTTTCCACCTGATTGTTCCTCGGATGGGTGTTATTGGGTCACTGTCAACTGAACATGAAATCAGAATGTTAACCCTTTCTCTCATTTCCCCTTATAAACACACTGGGGTTCATGCACCTGCCTGAAGATGAGTCTTTCAGTCTCCTCGGCTTGTGGACACAGAACTGATGCTACAAAGAGATGTTAAAGTTGGAAAACTCAGGCTTGCTCTACTGCTGAGCTTGAGTGTGGGCTACTGAGCCTCTTTAACTTCTCCTAGGTATCTCTTTTCTCCCCCTGTGAATAGCTAAGGCAGCTTTAAGTCTCTCTCTCTTGCACACGCTTCCATAGTGACACATACACACCACACACACACACTCCGAAGTACCTAAGTGCCATTTCACAGAGTTACACCCTAGGGTATGCAGACACCAAAACTCAGTATTTATTTCCTTTAACTTTTTCTCCATACTCATGTCATTAAATCAATGATGATTTCATTTTGGGGATGAAAATAAGCTATTCAGGCTGGGCGTGGTAGCTCATGCCTGTAATCCCAGCACTTTGCGAGGTCGATGTGGGTGGACTGCTTGAGCTTAGGAGTTCAAGACCAGACTGGGCAACATGACAAAACCATGTCTCTACTAAAAATGCAAAAATTAACGGGGCATGGTAGTCCCAGCTACTTGGGTGGCTGAGGCATGAGAATCGCTTGAGCCCAGGAAGTAGAGGTTGCAGTGAGCTAAGATCATACCACTACACTCCAGCCTGGGCAATAGAGCAAGACCCTGTCTCAAAAAAAAAAAAAAAAGAAGAAAAGAAAAAGAAAATAAACCATTCAAGCAGCAAAAATTACTTGACAATTACTACTGAAAGAAATAGTACATATGTAGGGAATACCTAGTGCAGTGCCATGCTTATTATAGATGCTCAATAAATGTCAAGCAAATTAAATTGAAGAATTCTATTATACTTTTTATGACAGTATGTGCTTAAATCTCTAAAAACTTAAAAAGATTCAGCTGAAAAACAAGTCAAACTGAAACTCATGAACTTTATCAAGGTTGCACTATAAATTGCCAATTGATTTATGTTATTTTAGTGCCAACTAATAAACTGGGCAGGATACCTGGCAATAGATCACTTACTGTTTTAGAAATAAGATTACTACTGCTGGGATTATGGTAAAGTTCACTGACAATAAGTTTGTCCTTTTTTATGAAATCACTTAAAATTTATGTTGAGATTTCAGTTCCAATTGTATACCTTACTCAGCTGGAGACAAGGGTTCAGGCAATGTCCCACCAGGCTGCCAAACATGTCTTCTGAAACCTGAGACACGCATTATTATGCAGCAGGGAAGCATAAATGGCTGCACCTCTAAACAATGGTGAAAGAGACTGGATCCTGCTATAAATTGTGCTACCAGGCCCAGAACATAATTCTCAGGCATTACAACTGACCACTGAATGGATGAACAGCAAAATAGTTTAGCAAATGTTTAGTGCTTATGACATCAAAAAGTTTTCTCTAAAGGCCTTTTAAAGAACTTGTGAGAGTATACATGTACGTGCATTTTTAGCAGCACTGACTATGGGTGTGTAAGTTAAAATGTTAAAATAGAATTTATAAACTATTCTATATCATAAAACTTCAAAATGCTATCAGATTCCCAAATGTTTATAAAAATAATGAATGGCTGACTAACCATTTTGCCAATAAGCAACAGGCAAGCAAATGATAGGGCTTGCCTGTGTGCAGCACACGCTCAAACTTTGATTCCCCTATTAGTATTTTCAGCTTCCTTAAAAAGGGCGTTACATATATATACACACATATAAAATAACACAAGGAGAATATCTATAAGTTGCATTCTACTTCTATTATCCCATTTTGCTGTACTATGGTCTCCAATGATTCCCTTTACTTACTAAGGCATAATCTTTCTAAAAAGCCCTATTTTCTTGATAACAACTTTCTTAAGTCACAAGCTGGCACTACAAGGTAAACAAATGTAAGTTAAAATATTGAAAAAGTGCTCTTTTATAAGGCAGCATGAAAAAGCTTGGTAAGGAAGGATGTAAACAGCTTAGAAAATGTATGCTGAAAAAATTAAAATGAAGTTTTATGCATTTAGCTATTTTTTCCTATCTTCCTTTGCCAAATTTCCTCCCCTCTCCTTCCCTCCCCTCTCCTCCCCCCCCGCCTTTTTTTAAATAACAGAGTCTCACTCCATCACCCAGGCTGGAGTGCAGTGTTACAATCTCGACTCACTGCAACCTCTGCCTCCTGGGTTCAACTGATTCTTGTGCCTCAGCCACCCGAGTAGCTGGAATTACAGACTTGCACCACCACACTCAGCTAATTTTTGTATTTTTAATAGAGATGGGGTTTCACCATGTTGGCCAGGTGAACTCCTCAACCTCAAGTGATCCGCCTGCCTCAGCCTCCCAAAGTGCTGAAATTACAGGCATGAACCACAGTACCTGGCCTCAATTTTCTTTTAAATCAACATTATTGAATACAATAAACTTCATCCATTTAAAGTGTACAAATTAATGAGTTCTGATATACATATATCAGAACTTTTTATCAAGGTTGCACTATAAATTGCCTGTGAAACCACCACTATAGTCAAGATTCAGAACATTCCTAACCCCCAAAAGATCCCTCCCTTTGTTCCTCACCTCAGGGACCACTGATCTGTTCTGTATTGTTACAGATTAGTTTGCATTTTCTAGAATTTTATATAAATGGAGTTATACAGTATCTGCTTATTTAGCATAATGATCCTGAGATTTATGCATATGGTTGAATATTATGCTTCATTCTTTTTATGGCTTAGTATTGTATAAATATACACTTCGTTTATCCATTCACCTGCTGATGAATATTTGCATCGTTTCGCAGTTTTTGGCTACTGTGAATAAAACTGCTATAAACATTCATGTACAAGTCTTTGTATGTTTTTTCATTACTTGGGTAAATATTTAATACCTAGGAATGCAATTTCTGGGTTGTTTGGCAAGGGTATAGTTAACTTTAAGAACATTCCAAAGAATTTTCCAGAGTGATTATACCACTTTACATTTCCACCAGCAGTATATGAGCATTCTGGTTGCTCCACATCCTCACCAACACTTAGTAGGTCAGTCTTTTTAATTTTAATCATTCTGAGTGTGTAGTAGTATCTTATAGGGGTCTTAATTTGCATTTACCTGATAACTAATAATGCTGAACACAGTTTCATGTGCTTATTTGGTCATGCCAAAACTTTGTGAAGTGCTTGGTTTTTGTTTTTATTTTGTCCATCTTTTAATTGGGTTGTCTTACTATTGAAGTGTTCTTTATATATACTTGAATACAAATCCTTTATCAGATATATGTATTGCAAATACTTTCTCCCATTCTATGGTTTGCATTTTCATATTCTTAACAGTATCTTTCCAAGAGCAAAAGTTTAATTTTGAGAAGATCAATTTTTATACTTTGTACTCTTTATGTAAGGAAATCTTAGCTCAACTCAAGCTATGAAGGTTTTCACCTAGGTTTCCTTCTTCAAGAGTAACGGTTTTAGCTCTTACATTTAGGGCTATAATATATTTTTTGTTAATTTTCATATGCTATGAGGTAGGAGCTAATGTTCCTTTTTTCCATATAAGTATACAGATATTTATTTTGTTGAAAAGACTTTACTCTCCACTGGATTGCTTTGACACATTCATTGAAAATCAATTGCCCATAAATGTTTGAGTCTATTTCTGGACTCTTGATGCCAATTCCATTGACCTATATGTCTACCCTTCTGTCAACATCATACTGTATTACTGTAGCTTTATAGTAAATCAAAATCAGGTTGTATAAATCCTCCAACTTATTCTTTGTTTCAAAATTCTTTTCAAAAATCTACCCCTGATTCCTTAATGATTTTAATATTCTCAGAGATTCATTCATTCATTCATTTTTGAAACATGACTTACTATATTCCCTACTAAGCCGGCACTATGCTAGACACAAAGGATATACAGTTGACCCTTGAACATGGATTTGAACTGCGAGGGCTCACTCATATATGGATTTTCTTTTGCCTTTACTACCCCTGAGACAGCAAGACCAATCTCTCCCTTCCTCTACACCTCAGCCTACTCAGTGTGAAGATGACGAGGATAAAGACCTTTATGATAATCCATTTCCACTTAAAGAACAATAAATATATTTTCTCTTCCTTATCATTTCCTTAATAACATTTTCTTTTATCTAGCTTATTTGAATTGTAAGAATATAGTATATAACACATATCACATACAAAATAAGTGTTAATTGACTGTTATTGGTAAGGCTTCCAGTCAACAGTAGGCTATTAGTAGTTAGCTTTAGGGGAGTCAAAAGTTATACACAGATTTTCAACTGTGAGAGGAGTTGGTGCTCCTAACCTCTGTGTTGTTCAAGAGTCAACTGCAGCACAGGTTGAGCATCCTTAGTCAAAAATCCAAAGTCCAAAATGCTCCTAAACCAGAAACTTTTTGAGCGCCAACATGCCGCCACAAGTGGAAAACTCCACACCTGACCTCAGGTGATGGGTTGTAGTCAAAACTTAGTCAAACTTTGCTTCATGTACAAAATTATTAAAAATATCGTATAAATTACCTTTAGGCTATGCGTATAAAGTGTATATGAAACTTAAACGGATTTCGTGTTTAGACTTGGGTCCCATCCCCAAGATATCTTATTATGTATATGCAAATATTTCAAAATCAAAAAAATCCAAAATCTGAAACACTCCTGGTCCTAAGCATTTCAGATAAGGGATATTCAACCTGTAATAAGTAACGGAGCTCCTGACTTCGAGGGGCTTATAATTTACATTCTACCAGAAAAGGCAGCCTGATCGTGATCCACAATGGACAGGAAAAAAATGAGAAAAGAAGTTAGTTTTGGTTGAGAAGAATGTTAGTAAGTTTTATAGGTAACATTACATAGAAGACATAGAAAACCTTTTATATGTTACTCAACAAAACTGGGATTCAGCTTCCTTGTCAGAACAAAAAAAAGTATGTATTATATTTCAAAGGATTATTATTGTAATTAAAAAAAAATGGGCTGGGTGCAGTGGCTCACACCTGTAATCCCAGCACTTTGGGAGGCCAAGGCAGGTGGATCACCTGAGGTCAGGAGTTCGAGACCAGCCTAGCCAACATGGTGAAACCCTGTCTCTACTAAAAAACAAAAAAAAATTAGCTGGGCATAGTGGTGTGCATCTGTAGTCCCAGCTACTCAGGAGGCTAAGGCAGGAGAATTCCTTGAACCCAGGAAGTGGAGGTCACAGTGAGTTGTGATCGTGCCACTGCACTCCAGCCTGGGTGACAGCAAGACTCCATCTCAAAAAAAAAAAAAAAAAAAAAAAAAAAAAGAAATAACGTATGTAAAGAATTTGGATACTCAGTAAGTGGCAACATTATTTATGACCAATATTAACAATATTAGTAATAATAAAAATACATACCTTATTACCCTGTAATATTATCCATTCTACCTCCCACTCAAACCTACATACTAAACTTAGTGTACTCAATTTTACCTCCATATATATGTATATATTCATCGCTAACATTCTAGTCTTAGGAAATACCACATAAGCTTAAACCTAAAATAGCTATAATAATTAAAAAAACTTTTAACCAATAGCAGAATTCAAAAAATAATTTCCAGGGGTAATTTGGCCAGAACATTTTTTGCATTTTGTACCCTTAAACGGACAAAGAATAAATATGCTAAAAATCAAATCAAACAGAAAGGGGGAGGAGGTGTAGAATGAAACAAAATTTTATGAGGATCTTTGTATATTGTGTTTTTAGTGTCTCAAAATTCTCCAGCCTATTTCTAGTGCATCTCAGCCTACTGTAAAGTGCGGAACATAAAGGAAGAAACTATCTACTTAGGAATAAAATCTATTAAAAACAAACACAAAAACAGAAGCTGCATTCACTCCTGAGCTTTAAAAAAAGTCCCAGTAGTTTGAAGTTGAAGCAGGAAGGGGTAGTGAGAAGAAGCCACTGTTGAGGTCTGGGAAGGTCTGTGCTGCATATTCATTAATTGAGCTGATAGTAACTGAATGATCCTTTACACAGGAGAAAGTGTTCCACTAGAGGACTGCCAACTAATAAATGGGCAGGATATGAAAGTGTGGCTCATGTGAACTTGGCATCGGGTGCCGATGAGAGGACACAAAATGCGGCTCCAACACACAGCCCTTCCTGGTAGTGCTGAGCGAGTGACCTGGAGATCCAGCCATTTCCAGATGTCCACCTGACTTCTTGCTCTGAGCCATGTCACAATACACACACAGCCATACCCATGGAGAAGTGCTTCTCAGTGGCACAGTAAGATGCTGTGTGGAAACTCGAACTTTATTAATAAAGCGCCTAAGATTTAAAAAACACCCTCTGCTGGTGTTTTATCGTGGATTAGCTCTCTTACATAGAAGGTAAGGCTTTCCATCTCTGTGGTTTGTGCTGGCCTTGGTCTCCTTCGTAGTGATAGAAAATGACTTTCTCTCATTTCTTCACTCTCTTGTAGGGGGAGTGGGAGGGATAGTAGGGAATGGTAGAGAGCAAATTTTCCAGATTGGCTAGAATATTTAGTGAATTAATTCTGAGCTACTATCTTGCACGTTATACATGGACCAGCAGACAGATGAATACCAACTAAAATATTATTTTAGAAAATCCACATAGAAGCTCTGAATTTAAATAATGTTTAGCAATGGCTCATAGTAAAAATGGGATAGAGTATGAGTTTTAGTTGTCAGCTGTCAAGACTGCAAGGAATTAAAACGATCCAGAGAAGTCCTACTCAAAGTGCGAAGTCTGCATTACAGACCTGGGTATCTGCTGTGGGTTTTCTCCCTCTGCTGACCTTTTTCCTTTTGTCATTTTTCAAGCAGACTTTGCTCAATACTTCTGCAGCTATTTCAGTGTCCACAGAGAAATGCTGCTGCATTATATGCCAACTCTAAATGTACTTTTATCTCGCTGCTTTTCTTTCCAGTCAGGTGTTTTATAATAACAAACAGTAACAAAGGCTTTTTTTTATTACTTAAGATATTCAGTGGCTTTTGTCTTCCTAGCGTCAGCAGTAACGTCAGAGGATTGTATCCAAGGAGCTAAATGTGCAGGACCCAGGGTCAGAGCAGCTGAATACACCAACCTCAGAAAACACAGACAATGAATTGCAAATGACACTCAAAACAAAACGAGAAAAAAAACCTTCACACAGAAAACTACAAAAGAACTCTACAGACACTGAACTGGCTTTCTGTACACACTGATCCTGCTTAACTGTGTGTGGTAACTAACCAAACGTTTCAGATACTCATTGCCACATATAAAGGGTTTCTCTTTTCTTTTTTTTTTTTTTTTTTGTGGGGAGAGGAGTTATAAAAATAAAAATATTATTTCTTTCTTTCAAGTCTATTCTTTATTTTTTAAAAAAGCTTCACTACATAGAGATAGTTGCAGCTCTGTTTCGATCTTCAAACACACTGAAGAGTGGCATTAGCGATGAAGTGATTAGTCTTCCGTTAATTCTGCTGAAGGTTCTACACAAAAGGTGTATTGTTTCAGCTGGGATTCACATCATGAAACAAAATGGTTTGGTAAACCCAATAGAAGTGATAGCCCTTTCATGACACACAGGGTTCAGTACTGTATATTTCAACTTGTTAGCAAGTCAGAAGCACAAGCGGGAAATCAGCCTACACCGCTACTGAGGATGAATGGGAAAGGCTAAATTGATGAGCTGCTGTTTAGATTTTCCCACTGGGAATTATTCTCAACTGTCCAGGCTTACATCATTCAGGTAAATACCAGCAGGATAAAATGCTTTTTATTTCTCTGTAGCTAACCAGAGGGCAATATAAAAACTTGAAAAGAAATATATCTACTCTCTATCCATAATGAAGAAATAGGGTTTCTTAATTGCCAAGCTATGGTCAGTTGCAGCTGGTTGTTGGTAATGGAGGAGCTAAATGCATTCTGGTTGTTACCCAAATGCAATGCAATGCCTCCCTCTCTGTATTTTTACAGTTTCTTTATGAAGCTCCTTGTATCATACTTTAAATCAGAGATGGCAATCATATTGGTGTCATGGGCATATATGAAAATAAAATTTACTAAATATATTAGGATTTAAATGATTTTTTAAAACATTTCAAAAAGCTTTATAAGTAAAACTTTTTTTTTGGCGGGGTCAGGGGGCACTGGTATTCTCTCTGTATTACCTTCAAGATAAAACTCAAACTCCTCAACATATGGCACCTCCCCTTCACGCCTCTGTACCATGCTACACTAGGCAGCCACACTAAAGTACTGAGACCTCTTATGCCATACTTGTTCACACTTTCATACCTTCAAAAATACTCAGTCTTCCAAGACTCAGCTCAGCTCTACCCTTCAGAAAAAACCCACTCTCACTTTAAGTGATCTTCCTCCTCTAATTTTCTTAGATTTTGGTTGTCAATTACAGCATTTATTACACCAGATTGCGTTACTGTTTTATTTGTTGGTCTCTCCTACTAGACTTTGAACTCCCTGAGCACAGGGCTCTGCCTCATCTCTCTATTTTCAGGCTCCAGCCTCATGTCTAGTCTACAGTTATGCTCAATAAATGTTACAAATGAATGAATAAATAAATTAATAGATGAAAGAGAAGACAAAGAGAAAGAGGAAGGAAAATAAACTCAGAAATCAGTGTGACATGAATTGGATAAGTTTTAGGAGATACACTAGCAATTGCAAGGGTATAATGGGTTTGGGGATTGTCAATCAGGCAATTACTAGGTACACTCAAATAGACATCGTACATCTTTATTTTTTTCTCCCTCTTCCTCCTTAACCTTGAGTTTTTCTGCCCTTTCTCCCTTCTCTCAAGGTTAACAAGTTACATCTTATAGGGCTTTTCTCTTTATATTTATCCCTCTTAATTCTGTGACACTTATTACACATTGCTTTGTTTGGTGAAGGAAACAAGTTTAGAGAGGTTTTCTCCATTTTTTGTTTAAGATTTAGACATAGCAGGGCACCAAGCCTTGCAGAGTTCCATAGGCAACTCCCTGGGCTTGGTAACCCTCAGGTGTTCCCAGTGCCTGGTTGGGAACATATAATACTGGTGAAGCAGGAATAAAGATGTAAGGCTTTTTCCAAAAGTATTTCCAAGTATTTAGAACCAACTTTCAAGAAGGAAATCTTACCCATGGCTTGTTTCCCCATGGCACACTGATAAGTGTTTCTCGGTGACTGGTTATGGTGAGGGTATGGGATAAGTCCAGCACACACGCCGAGAAGAGTGAAGGGTTCAATCTCCAAGTGGGTGGTGTCTCTAACAAGTTAAGTAAAAATCACATATCTTAAGCATCAAGTACAAAAATAAATGTCTTTTAAAGGGTACAAAAATATTGTTATCTAGGTCCTCCAGGGATTTATATGTCAATAAAATTTGATGCTAGTAAAACTGGTAAAATAAAAACATACTTAAATAAAATACAGTAAAACATAAGAAATTGTAATTAACACATAAATTACTATATTCAACACATAGAAATACATCAACAATATTCACATGGATGACTAGCCTGCTTTTCCTCATTCTTCTAACATATATCAATGAGTAGGTTGTATCACCATTTAAGAGTGGAATATACGTCCTTTAAATACAGTTACTAGCCAAGTACAGTGGCTCATGCCTGTAACCCCAGCAGTTTGAGAGGCCGAGGCAGGTGGATCATGAGGTCAAGAGATCGAGACCATCCTGGCCAACATGGTGAAACCCTGTCTCTATTAAAAATACAAATTAGATGGGTGTGGTGGCACCCACCTGTAGTCGCAGCTACTTGGGAGGCTGAGGCAGGAGAATTGCTTGAACCCGGGAGGCGGAGGTTGCAGTGAGCTGAGATCATGCCACTGCACTCCAGCCTGGCGAGAGAGCGAGACTCCGTCTCAAAAAAAAAGAATAGGTACTATAGGCCGGATGCAGTGGCTCACGCCTATAATCCCAGCAGTTTGGGAGGCCGAGGCAGGTGGATCACTTGAGGTCAGTAGGTCGAGACCAGCCTAGCCAACACAGTGAAACACTGTCTCTACTTAAAAAATACAAAAAATTAGCCAGGCATGGTGGCGGGCACCTATAATCCCAGCTACTCTGGAGGCTGAGGCAGGAGAATTGCTTGAACCCAGGAGACGGAGGTTGCAGTGAGCTGAGATCTTGCCACTGCACTCCAGCCCGGGCAACAGAGCAAGACTCTGTCTTAAAAAAAAAAAAGAATAGTTACTATAGACCAACAGAGACCAATACCATAGCCACTAGACACTAGATAACTGTGGCTACTGAGCACTTGAAATGCCGGGCTAGTGTGACTGAGAAACTGAATTTTTAAATTTTACTTAATTACTTTAAATTTTAAAACTCAAATTGAAATTTAAGTAACTCAGTTCAGTTATATAAAATCTTTTATCTTGGAACAACTCACATTTATGAATCTTTTAAAAGTGTAAATGTTATGAAATGAGATCTAGTATTTCTGATAAAAAATTGGCATCCAAGTTGAAATGTGCTGTAAGCACACACCAGATTTTGAGGACTTATAGTAGGAAAAAAAGTGTAAAATAGCTCATTAGTTTTATATTAATTACCTGTTGATATAATATTTTGGATATGTTGACAAATAAAACTATTATTCAAAATAATTTTACCAGTTTCTTTTTACCTTTTTAATGTGGCTATTAGAAAGTTTGAGGTTATATAGGTGGCTTGCATTTTATTTTACTGGACAGCTCTGCTATGGGTAGTACTGGACACAAAGTAAGATTTTACCTAGTAGATGTCAGAATCTTGGTTACTTTCATAATATATTTCTGCAGAAAATTCAGTTTTTTGGCCAAATGATGAAGCTACTCAGATGTGTTAATAGGAAAGAGTACCCAGATTAATTATAGGTATTTGTGGAAAGTACCAGATGTGTCATCCAGGATCTGTGATCTCTGTGGACCCGCTATTTTTCCCTCAAGTGTTTGTGAAGTGTAACCTTAAGAATTTCAGTGGTTTACAGCACCTGTGGACTGAAGTGATGTCCAAGAAACCACGTCCCAGCCCATCAATGGAATGTACCTGGTAAAAGATCTCCCACTTATCCAGTTATTAACCTATTTTTTTTTCCAAAACACATGTATTAAATTATGTCCCTAGTTTGGTGAGAGAAAGTGCCTTCCATGTGGTTCTTGGTTTGAAGAGTACTGTTTTCACCTTATGACCTAGCAGAACCCCAATCCTCTCAGACAAGCAGGAAGGGAAAAGACTTCCTTTGTTAAGCAGGAAGGGAAAATACTCTAGGTTTTGTTTTGCTTTTTTCTTTAAAGAACATCAGCTTATAGCTACATTTTATAGTCTAGAAGAAAACAGATTTTCTTTTAAATATACTGCTTTGTTTAAATATTGGCCAAGTTGACATTTTCCATCTAAGTAAAAACTACTTTTTCAGATGTTAACATTGGATTGAGTTGAAAAATGAAAAGAAATATCTGAAGTTTTTTTCTCTTATGGTGACAACATACATAAACTCACATAGTATCTAATAATTACTGGAAGTCCAAACACTCTAGATTCTGACTTTACAAAAAAAAAAAATTATTCTCTTTAAAATCATCAGTTTAGAAACTGAACAGGAATTGGGAGATTTCTTTCTTTCTTTCTTTCTTTTTTTTTTTTGAGGCGGATTTTCGCTCTTGCTGCCCAGGCTGGAGTGCAATGGTGCGATCTTGGCTCACTGCAACCTCCGCCTCCCGGGTTCAAGTGATTCTCCCACCTTAGCCTCCGGAGTAGCTGGGATTACAGACATGCGCCACCACACCCAGCTAATTTTGTATTTTTAGTAGAGATAGGGTTTCTCCATGTTGGTCAGGTTGGTCTCAAACTCCCAACCTCAGGTGATCTGCCTGCCTTGGCCTCCCAAAGTATTGGGATTACAGGCGTGAGCCACTGCACTCAGCCGAGATTTCTTATTCACTGTGTATAAAGCACTTAAATTTAGTTCGAATGAAAACTAAATAACCTGTTGTTTATAACAGTAGAAAAATTGGAAACTACCTAAATATTCAACAGTAGGAAACTAGTTAATAAACTAAATGTGTGTAGGTAGATAATGTAATAACAAATGGCAATTAAAAAAATATATATATGTATACAGTCACACACCACATAACATTTTGGTCAACAACAGACTGCATAAATGGTGGTGGTTCCAAACGATTATAATACTGCATTTTTACTATACCTTTTCTTTGTTTAGATATGTTTTGATACACAAATACTTACCATTGTGCTACAACTGCCTACAATGTTCAGTAGAGTAATATGCTGTACAGGTTTGTAGTCTAGAAGCAATAGGCTTTAGCATACAGTCTATGTGTGTAGTAGGTGACAGTGGGTGACAGACACCATCTAGGTTTGTTTAAGTACACTACGATATTCACATAATGAAATCACCTGACAACAAACTTCTCAGAACGCATCCCCATCATTAAGTGACATAAGACTGTGTATACAAATATACATGTATATAAATATATATACTAATATGGAAAATGTCCAGAGTATACTGGTTAAGTTTCAAAATCAAGGCACTGGAAATGTTATCACTGTTTTATACACACACATTGTGTGGAATCATGTGTGTATGTTTGTACTCAGAAAAAAAATCTAGAATAGTACATAAGAAATTATTAGCATCGGCAACTTCTGGAGGGTGGAGTCTGGTGGGATGGGAAAGGAAGGGGATTCATTCTTTGTACTTCATGCATTTCTATATTTTAAAAAACATAAGTATGAATTAAATAATACAAAAACTTCTAGATTTTTTAAATGAAATTAATTTGATGTATGGAATAGCTTGGTAATTGGGTAACGCTGAGAGTTATATTCATTTACATCAATGAAAAACCAGATGAAAATCCCTGCCTTCGTGAAGCTTCTAAGTGAGGGAAGATAGACAATACATAGATACATCAGTAAAATACCAATTTTACTCTATGGTAATAGGCACAAGAAGTAAAAAAAAAAAAAAAGTAGTAAAGAGGAGTGGATAGAGATAAGAGTTTCTACTTTCACTAGAGTGGTCAGAAAAATCTCACGAGAAGGTGACACCTAAGTGAAGACCTGGAGGGGGTGAAGCAGTGAGCCATGCAGGTATGTGAGAGAGTGCTCCAGGCAGAGGAAGCAGCCAGTGCAAAGGTGCTAAGGCAGAGGCACGCCTGGAGTGTTTGGAGAAGAGGCCAGTGTGGTTGAAACAGGGAGTGGGGAGAGGTAGAAATGGAAGTGGGCAGATTGTGCAGGAACTGGAAGGCTTCTGTAAGGACTTCTGAGGGAGACCGACAGCCCCTGAGGGATTTGAGAAGAGAACGGACATGCCCCCTCTGCTCTATTAGGAAAAGACTATATGGGAACAGGTGTCAAAATAGTCAGGAGGCCTTTGCAAAAATCCAGGTAAGACATACAAATGGCCTGGACTAGGTGATGGATTGAGGTAGTGAAAAAGAGTTCAGATTCCAGATGTATTTGGAAGGCTCATGTGATGAGCTAGGGATTGATGTCAATATAGAGAAAAAGGGTCAGGACGGAAATAGACAGTTTTGTTGGCTTGAGTAATACAACGATGGAACTGTCATTTATGGGGCTACTATAAAATAGTTTTCTTTTATACTCAGGATACATATCTATATCTATATTTTTTTTGAGTAAGGGTCTCACTCTCTCGCCCAAGCTGGAATGCAGTGGTGTTCCAAGTATAGCTCACTGCAGCCTCAAACTGTGCTCAAGTGATCCTTCCACCTCAGCCTCCCAAGTAGCTGGGATCATAGGTGCACACCACAACACTTGGCTAACTTTTTTTTATTTTTAGTAGAGATGAGGTCTCACTGTGTTGCCCAGGTTGATCTCAAACTCCTGAGCTCCAGCAACCCTCATGCCTTAGCCTCCCAAATTGCTGGGATTATAGGTGTGACCCACCACACCTGGCCCTCAGTCAATTTTGAAATGAGGGGTATAAAATAGCACTTTGAGAGATTCACATCTTTAAGGAAGAAAAATTCTGACCAAAAACCACTATTTACAAAGTGCAAAAAATATATATATTTGCAATATATATATTGGCAACAGGGTTTGCTTTGTCACCCAGGCTGGAGTGCAGTGGCATGAACATGGCTCACAGAGCCTCCACCTCCTGGACTCATGCAATCCTCTAGCCTCAGCCCCCTGAGTTACTGGGACTACAGGCGTACATCACCACACCTGGCTAATTTTTAAGTTTTTTGTAGAGACGGGGTCTTGCCATGTTACCCAGGCTGGTAAATTATAATCTTCTAAAAAGTAATATATTTCATTTGGTAGCAGAAAACAGAAAAGTTTTTCTTTTTCCTGTTTTAAGAGATAGGTTCTTACCCAGGCTGGAGTGCAGTGGCACAATCATAGCTCAGTGTAACCCATAACTCCTGGGCTCAAATGATCCTTCCACCTCAGCCTCCCAAGTAGCTAGGACTACAGGTGTGTGCCACTGTGTCCAGCTAATTTTTTATTTTTATTTTTAGACATAGGGTCTTGCTATGTTGTCCAGGCTGGTCTCAAACTCTTGGCCTCAGGCGATTCTCCTGCCTCAGTCTCCCAAAGCACTGGGATTATAGGGGTGAGCCATTACACTGGGTCAGAAAAGTACTTATTCTTGATTGAAGACATAAATAGTTATTAGGTGGTAGTATTAAACTCTCTAGCAATATATCTGCAAGAATTCCAATTTCAGGTAAGTGGTACATCAGTCACATGCATCAGACAGCAAGTTACATAGATGTTCTTTAATGTACTCTAAAATGGAACACAGATGCTTCTAAAAATATCATTGTTCAAGAAGAAATATTGTGAACATACTACCAATTCAAGTGCATACTGCACATAAACTTAGAGTTTTTGAACAGACTATGTAGAGAATTCCTGCACTGACAAGAATTCAGATGTCCATGGACAAAAATCATCTCTAACAGAGGTAAGTATATTTTTATACAGCTTGATTCATTAGTTCAACTTTGGCAGTAATCAAGTATTAAAATCAGAGAAGCAACTCCTTTTAAAAAATACACATTAAGGCTGGGCATGGTGGCTCATGCCTGTAATCCCAACTACTCAGGAGACTGAAGTGGGAGGATCACTTGAGATCAGGAGTTTTAAGTTTCACTGAGCTATGTTGTGCCACTGTACTCCTTCAGGGTGACAGAGCAAGACCTTGTCTCAAAAAAAAAAAAACATATATATGGTTTTATATACATATATATATATGGTTATCTATCTATATGGATATATGGATATATCTTTCTATGAGTGTGTGTGTGTATATATATAAACTGTCACACGAATAGGAAGGATAATTAAATCTAAAGATGACTTGTTAGCTGCTTTGTAATACTCTTCACTAGGATAAATGATGCGTTATGCTCTGCTATAAAATTGTATATTTCTTTATGGTACATACAGAAATATACAATATACATATATACCATGAAATACTATGCAGTCATAAAAAGGAACAAGATCATGTCCTTTGCAGAGACATGGATGAAGCTGGAAGCCATCCTCAGCAAACTAACACAGGAACAGAAAACCAAACACCGCATGTTCTCACTCACAGGTGGAAGCTGAACAATGAGAACACATGGACACAGGGAGGGGAACAACACACACCAGGGGGACTGTTAGGGGGTTGGGGGAGGAAGAGCATCAAGATAAATAGCTAATGCATGCTGGGCTTAATACCTAGGTGATGGGTTGATAGGTACAGCAAACCACCATGGCCCACGTTTACCTATGTAACAAACCTGCATGTTCAAACAAAAAAAAGAAGATTGTATATTTCTAACAGTTCCTGTCAAAAGAGTAAAAGATAGAAGGACTGAAGATGACAGTAAAAGAGAAGGTAGTTTCTATAGTCAGAACACGTTTTAATTATGGTTGCTATGGATCCTACTTACTTATTAATTGTGTGTTCGTACAGTGCAATGTTACAATCATTTTCTTCATTCACATCTAAATATTCAACCAGACTCTCATGTAAGAAATCTTCAAAATTCCTGGGAAAATATTGGTGAAAGAGACATCATTAAAAAGCATTTTTCTGCAGTATTTTATATAATAACAGGAGATACTGGCTTTCGTTTAGGCCCAAAGCACCTTTCTCTCCCAGAGAATATCATTACATTGGGATACCTGAAACATGTTATTCTTAGCTCACACAGTAACCACAAACTGCTGAAATAAAAACAGCAAAGTGTCTGTCTGTAACTCTTGTGAACCTAGTCCCCACTTCTTAAAAAAAAAATTCTGACCTTAGAAACCTCATAATGAGACCCACAGTGTCTACACTGACACATGATGTAAGTCCTTTTCTTACCAGAAACACTTACTTGTGTACTAACTGACATCAAGACTAGGTAACCCTCATGATCTAAATTGATGAATATTTTACAATGTCCAAGCAAGTTCACATGGAGCAAAATAGGTTTTTAACAGGCTGGTAATTTGGTGGAAAGAAATTAAAACACTAAAATGAAAATACACTTTTCTTAAATCATGTATGTGGGTATTAAGGAGATTGGTAAGTTTTACTTTTGGCTACTTACCTGTACCCTTGGGCCAGCTCTTCCATATGTTTATTTGTGACTGCTGGCTTCTGTTTCTTGACAATTATGTAGGGTCTAGAATGGAAACAGCAAACCAAATTAATAATAGTTCCAGGGAAAAATTACACAGGCAAGTTAGTTTACCAAAGTGAGATGAGGGAAGATGTAAATACAAACAAACCTATTCCTGGATTGCTGAGGACACCAGGTAATTTTTGTATGGATGAGCATGGTGTAGGGGACTATGCTCTCTCTCACATACACACACATACATACCCAAGCCCATGTGTACATGTGAGTATGTGTGGACATATTCATGCACACACACAGTGCTTCCTGCAAGTATCTTAGGAAACATTTGGTTTTGAATGAAAAGGCAACACAAAAATGATACTCAAAGTCTGAAAAGGAAACAAAACCTTTAATGCCATATTTTAAAAAACGGTGTAATGTATCAATCTAAAAACTTCCCGATTTCACATTGGAAAATTTTGCATACTACTCATGGAGTTAACAGGCAAAGAAGCACTGTCACCTAGGGTAATAACGGCGTTGTGTTGTGAGGTTCTGATGAATATCCAGATGTTTAGAGTAGTTTGATTTAGTCTAAACATCACTGAGCTAGGTTAGCAAGATACTTAAAGCTACACATTACCAAAGAGAGTGGCTAAAAGTTGGCAGAGAATGAAGCTTTCTTACTTTGTGGTTTTCAGTGACGTAATGGGTGGAAGGTGGAGAAGGCATTCTGGCAGATTAACCTGTAACTGTCAGTGGGGACTTGCCTCGGAGGGCTTTGCCACCATGAGGAAACCCGGACACAAAGGATGGCATGCGGCACTGAAACGTCAAGGGCTGTTGCTATTTGGATAAGCAGCTCTTACAGAGAGGAGCAAGTAACCACCAGACACTTGTGCGCTCTACCCTAAAGTCCAAATAACTATTTGAGGACTAATGAGCACTTTTCAACAGTTAAGAAGAGGAGCTGCACAATTACAAAAGGGGAACACAAGTTGTTGAAAAATGAACTGGGTGAGCTTTTCATGGAAATCCACAGTACCTCGAAATTCTGGCTCCTTCTTGGTAGGGAAGCAGAGCCTACTAATGCCTCATTTGAGCGCTGCAGTGGATTCAGGTTAAGCCTCAGATGAGAAGACAGAAACCGGCGGAGGAGAGGGAGGGGATCACATTTAGCTGCCTCAGTTATCCTTACGTTACTCAACGCATTCTACTATTTTTTCCTGCTAGATCTGTTATGCCATTATAAAGTTGCTTCTATAAAAGAGTTTTATTTTTGAATATATATTATGTTGGATGTAATGAAATCCTAAAAAAGAGTAACCTAGAAAATGTCACTGTTATTCCTGCCCTTAACTGGACCATGCTATTAAGTTATAAATAAGCACCTAATGTGTGCCTGGCACCCTACTGAGCACTTACCACACCTTCTATCAACTAGTTCTCAGGACAATCTTAGGCAGGCATTATTGTTTCCATTTTACAGCCAAGGAAACCAAGGCTGAGAGACTGAAGTAGTATACTCAGAGTCACACAACTCAGTAAGTGGGAAGTTAGGATTCAAACACAGGTATATCATCAGCTAACCATTCTTCGGTTGCAAAGAAGAGAAACCAATTCTGGCTAATTTAAGCAAAAATGAAGTTTACTGGAAGCATTAAGAATTTACAGGTGCTGGGTGCGATGGCTCACACCTGTAATCCCAGCACTTTGGGAGGCTGAGGTGGGTGGATCACTTGAGGCCAGGAGTTCGAGACCAGCCTGGCCAACACAGTGAAACCCCATCACTACTAATAATACAAAAAATTAGCCAGGGGCAGTGGTGTGTGCCTGTAATCCCAGCTACTGGGTCAGGGACGGGGGTGGGGAGCTGAGACATGAGAATCGCTTGAACCTGGGAGGCGGAGGCTGCAGTGACTCAAGATCGTACCACTGCACTGCAGCCTGGGTGACAAAGTGAGACTCTGTCTCAAAAAAAAAAAAATAATTTAATGGAAGGATAAGAATCAAAGAAAAAGGTGAAATGCTCAGCCTCAGAAAGAAAAGGAACGAGAGCAGTTCCAAGAATCCAGAAAATGAGGTTTAACAGGCAGTCTCTTGCATGTAGCACTGGGAGAATGAATCAAGTCCAACCACCTCCCTCCCTTGATTTATTTTACCTGGGATTCAAATTCTCTGATGAGGGGGTCTGACTGACCTCATTTGGGTCATATGCCCAACCCCTGGCTGAAGAGAAGAGGGTGCTGGACTGACCATCCCAAGAAGCCTGCCAATGGGGACAGGCAGTCCTCAAAAGAAAATGAGGTAGTGTCATATGAAGGAGGAAAGGATGCTGGAGGAAAGAAAGCATGCAGTCACTCTCCCAGCTCTGACAGACTTCCAGCTACTGCTGGCTCACTGCCTTGTGCTTCAACACTACCCGAGGTATACACAGAATAACTACGGTAATGCTAGAAAAGGCTTGTGACACAAGGCAATGTCCTCAGCTGATGTCTCTGCATAGCCCCTCAAACCAGACACCATGTCACATTCGTCTCTGTACCTCCGGCTCCTAGATAGTACCTGTGCACAATAGGCCCTTAATAAATACTTACTGAATGAATAAAAGGAACCTACTTTTCCATTGGATCTAGTGTTATTTTATTTCTTCATGCCTCCATGTTTTCATTCTTGCCTTTTTTCAGCCTTTCTCCTCCCCACCTACCTCCAAGTTAACACAATCCTACTCCTCCTTTAAAGCTCAGTTTGTAGCAACAGACTATAGTGGGCAAAATCATGCGTCAAACGAATCCTAAGGACTTTCAAATAAAAAACAGATTCCACCACTCTTTAGCTTTCAGTAAGTTACTTAGCCTCACTGAACCTCAGTTTCCTCATTTCTTAAATGACAAGAATAATCCAACCTCATAGGGTTGAATGAAGAAGTTAAAGCCTTACACATATAGTGTCTCCATTAAAATGACAAATGGTGGCTAGCATTAACCACTACCACAGTTGATTGTTATTAGTCATTTTTTCTGCCTTTCCCGGCAGACTGAGCTCTCTGAGGGCAGACTCTGTCTCCCATTAATCTGAATCCTCGGTACCTAATATGCATATTCATGAAGTGTTTGCTCACGGAATTAAATTTATCTTCACAATGAAAGAGGTTAAAACAGTTTCAAAAATAAAAACAAGTCTATTTCTTTCAAGAGCAAATATAAAGAGATTCTTAAAAACTCTTTTTAGTAACCTGCATATATACCTGCATAGCCTTCCCCCATCAGAAGAAATATAGACACATCGATCTGTAAGATTTGTTGAGATGGAAACAAATTCATTGATATATCCTGCTCTTCTCATGAGTCGAAATGTATTCACTAGCTTTTTGTGGTCTCGAATGACACCTAAGATGTTACCTAGGCAAAAAGAAAGAACAGGTAAGACAGAAATAAAAAATAAATGCAACCTGATTTAATATATCCAACCAATAAAAATAGTAATCAGCACTAAGCAGTTATTTGAAAATACCATTATTAACACCTGCAGCCAGTCCACAAGGTTGCAGGGAAGCAACAAAGGAAGAATGCTTAAGGGCCAGTCCTTCCACATGCAGGCTGAGGAATACTGGAAAAGTCAGCTTCATTTTCCTCATCTTTCAGCACAGTGCTGGGGCATGAACTTGGGGTCCAAACAACCTGGGTTTGAACACTGGCTCCATCACTTCCACAGGCTGGCAGTAAAGGTTAAACGAGCTGATCATTTAAAGTACTGAGAATTCTGCCTAGCACCTACTAACTGCTATTATTAAACTGCTTCTTGTTGTAATCAACATTTGTGAAATGAGGAAAATGAACTTTGCTTCCCAAGGTTAGCGGGAGGATTCAAAGAGGCACTGGGTGAAAGTGCAGAGTAAAAGCTCACTCAATGTTAGCCTCTGGGATACAATGAACTAGGCAGTCAGTTAACAGCCCTGCTGAGGCTCTGACCCCTTCCTCACCAGCAGATATAAAAAAGAGTTAATGCCTCCTAGAATGAGAGGAAGGGGGAGAGGAAGAGAGAACAGACAAGTGATAAGGGATAAGCTCATGGAGCATACTAGGGAGAGAACAGGCACACAGCACCAAATCAAAAGCAGAAAGGAAGAGAGCACACTTGCTGCTAAGTCTCTGGAAGACTTCGAAGGAGACGGGAAGAGGTATATGAAAGAAATAACTGGAGTGTGAGCCAAAGGAGAGGGATCCTCTTATCACAGGCTGCTGACATATTGATTATCAGATGGCTAGACAAAGTCAATTCATTATAAGAGTTGATCTGATAATTTTTGCAGAATGACTCCAATATTTGACTTGTACTTAAAGATACCATGTTGAACCGTATTCCACTAAGGATATGCCAGCAACTGCAAAAGGGGAGAAAGCAGCCACTTTCTGCAAAGTTACCCTTTAGCTCTGATAGCTATATCCTCTCAGAACCTTGGATAACCCAGCCAACAAAGTAACTGTTTCTGTTATCATTGTATTTTCTACCTTTAAGTGAAGGTCAACCTGGGCCCAGAATTAAAGTCTATCTGTGCTTTAAATACCAGGATAATAATGGATTCCCTCCCCCTCTTCACAGACTATCTAGGACCAACATGTCTCTATAATATACCCACCATTAAGAAAGACAAGAAACACATTTGGGTAAGAGAGCTCTTCCCCACATAATAAATTCACATCTTCTACTCCCAAGTTACTGGCTAATTTAACAATGGGTCCATCTTCCATATCAGTTGTGATGTGTGTCATAAGGGCCAAGTTTTTAACCAAACCACATGCCTAAAAAACAAAAGATGGTCATTTCTAAGAATGAACATTAGTAATACAAAGTACAGTTTACATCTGAAAATAGCTCACTACTTTGCTGGCAGCAATGCAAAGCAGTACAACTTTGTAGGGGATACTGTGGTGATTCGCACAAATGCCTTTAAAAAATATATATATCCCTTAACTCAGGGGAATTTCTCTTCATAACAAGCAAGGATATAAAATAGATTTAGATACAGAAATGCTCAGCACAGTACTATTTGTAATTGTAAATGCTGACGACATCATAAATGCCCAACAAAACTGATTACATTAACAATTACTCCCAGACATTGGAACATTACAGTCATTATGATGACATTGTATAAAATAAGTAAAGGAAAACATTAATAAATGCAGCTACATAAAAATATAAAACTTCTGGCCTGAAATGAGAGACTGTATAAAATAACTGGCCAGTGCCCTTAAGTTTCTTGGTCACGAAAGGTAAATAAAGACAGACTGAAAAACTCTTTCAGATGAAAAGAGACAAGGAGACATGACAACTAAAAACAATGTGTGATTCTGGATCAGAAAAAAGACAACAGTGGGACAACTGGCAAAATTTGAATAAGATCCATAGATTATAGTATTGTTCAATGTCATGAGGCTGATAACAGTGCTATGGTTACATAAGATGTTCACAGTTGGGAATCTAGATGAAAGATTGTGGAAAATCTTTGTACCAGTTTCATCACTTTTTTGTATATCTAAAATTATTTCAAAATGAAAAGAAAAGAAATCTTTTTAAACATCTATGCAACCCGGTACAGTTCTAAAACAAAAATACCAACAAGGACAGAATATAGCAAATAGGAAAAAAATACTTAAGACAGGTGACTTGTAAGATTGTATCTTCAGGTCTTAGAACCATCTGCTGCAGTAATGTACAAAATAGCTACTTTTTTGAAGTTAGCTGAAGCAATCTCTGGGAAATGAAATGTTTCAAAGTTCAAGATATATAAATTATGCAAAATTTGACAAACTGGATAATTTTAGTGTCAATTTCCATATGGTTTAAGATAAATTAAATAGTTTCTAAAAATCGCAGCTCTATACAGACTCCTATTTTCATCTCTTCCAAATAATAAATTCCTACACTTTGGACCCTACATCTTTTACTTGTTGTAATTATTAATTCAGCATATATTCATGGGGCCTGTACTCTAACCAAGGCTCTATGTTAGGAGCTTGAGATACAATGGTGAACCTTCCTTCCTCCAGAATTTTACAATTTAGAAGGAATAGAATCAAGTGAAACTAACAATGTTAACACAAAGGAGAAAGGACCGTGACACAGGGAGTAGCGGGTGCTATAGAAGTAAACCCATGTAAACTCCCTGGCTTGATGTTTAGGCAATTGCTTGTGTTTCCAATATAAGTGAGTCAAAATCCACATTAGGTCATGGACTGTATACTCCTAATTGGCTGTGACTGAGCCTACCTAAGGACAATAAGGAGCTGCTCAAAAAGAGCCCCTCATGAGCATGAGAGGTGGTAGGTCTTTCAATCTGCCTTCACAGTCTTATCCCCTCTGTGCATGTTTTGATTTTGGGATAAACTAAAATAATAAAGAGAAACATGGACTATATTACTTTTAGCTAACATACTGAATCAAATGCTTCTGCAGGTCCTAGTTTTAGAATGATACTAATGTAGTCTTCCAAGCATGTCAATATTTATTTGCCAGATAAATGACAGACCAAAGAAAGGATATGGCCTGGAGATGGGAACAGAAGCAGACCTCCCCACCCCACCCCATGCACAGACATAGGTATCGCCTCTTACACAGCATCAAGACTCCTCAGATTCCTTACCTCTCCTTCAGGAGTGTCCGAAGGACACAGCATTCCCCACTGAGATGGCTGGAGGGAGCGAGGACCACTCACTTTTCTCGTTTTTTCAAACTGGGAAGAGATTCTTGTCATCATGCCCAGTGCGGATATATATGACAAGCGAGACAGCACTTGGGTTACACCCTGGCGGTCCATTTTAAATCTCTTTAAAGACCAATTTCCCTGTAGGGAGATGAAAGACATAAGACTATTCCTAACCCAATCCTATGTTGTCTGATACCGTGCGGTCACTCCAAGAAGTTCATTACAGGAGCTTCATGCTTACGAAATTAGAACCATGACATATATTCAGAAATCAAAGTGTCACAATTAAAATGAAAGTTTAGTCAAGTCACTTGCTGGGGTTTTCTAGGAAGATAATGAACATTACTATGTCTAGCAACCATCTCAGAATTATTCGACGCATAACCTTACCACATCAGAGCACTCACCTTCTGAGGAACTAATTCTATAATGAAGAGCCAGTTCAACCAGAGATTTCCATGGGAAGTCATAAGCTAACTGATAAAACACCAGCAATTTCTATACACATTTAAAGGAAAACTAGTATGAAGCTCAAAGAGATCATTTCATGTAGGAATGTGCTATTATTTGGATGTTTTCCAAAGTTAGTCTTAAGAACAGGAAAATGTAGCAACAGAAAAATAACTCAGATATCATTTACTTAGGATAATGAACAAACTGAAGGCTTCTTAATTAAGGTTTAAGGAATCTAAAAATAGTACATATATTCATATTAAGAAACATATATTCTCTGTGGCCACTGTGTCATTATTAAAATAGATTCATATGAACTAAACCTTGAACATTAAATTTACTTTATCTTCTTATGCATTAAATATGTTGTATTATTTTAAATATATTTTATAATTGTATTAATTGTATACATTAAAAATATTCTCAAGGATAAAGATTAAGATTAGAAATTTTTGAAATTTAAATTCATGGTAACATGAATTAACAGTAGAAAACAGTATTCATCAAAAAAGCAAAGCAGGCCGGGTGTGTTGGCTCACGCCTATAATTCCAGCACTTTGGGAGGCCGAGGTGGGTGGATCACCTCAGGTCAGGAGTTCAAGACCAGCCTGCCAACGTGGCAAAACCTCATCTCTACTAAGAATACAAAAACTAGCTGGGCGTGGTGGTGCACGTCTGTATTTCTAGCTATGTGGGAGGATCACTTGAGCCCAAAAGGCAGGGGCTGCAGGGAGCTGAGATTGCACCACTGTACTCCAGCCTCGAAGTAAGATGCTGTCCAAAAAAAAGCAAAAAGAGCAAAGCAGACAATAAGATTTGCTCACAATTCTAAAGAGAAAAACTGCACCTGCCATGGTTCTTCATTCCTCCTCAGAGGACCCAATAAAAGCCAGGAATGTTCTCTTGAGAAAAATGCACATAGAAACAAGAACAAAAATTTTATATTCATTTTTGGACTCTTGTGGATCCCAGGTTAAAAACCCTTGTAGCAGAAAAACTGCTAAGGCTTCAGGAAAAGATTAGATGATCTGTTTGCATTAAAATATGTAACTTTGGGGGAGCTCCCTCACAAATTACAGTTGGCTCACTGTTATAGTGAAGATCGATCACTTTGGAACCTTGAGTTTCTGAAACGTGGGAAAGAGCTAAACTCTAAGAAACCCTATTATAAGGCAAAGAAACACAGCGACCATATATATCCCACAAATGAACCTCTCATATTATTACTTATTTCATTAACTCCTTTTATCCTTGGAGGCAGAATGAATCTAGTAAACTGACTTATGCCCACAGAGTAAGAGTAAATAAGGTAAATAAGTATTCAGCACACAGCTAAAATAAGGCAGCAGCTGTTGGCAAGCAGCAAGTAGATGGGAGTGAAGCCAAGATGTTCAGCAAGAGAATTTGTTCTTGTATTCTGTAGGAGTATTACAAAAGGGAGAGACGAGAAACAGACAAGAGGGCTAAAAATGCTCCTTTGAGAAAAATGTATTTGGTAAAAGCATTCTTCTAATAGCAACATTAAGAATTTTAAAGGTTGATCTTTTTCTGTTGCCTAGAGTGGGGCACACCTGTAACTAGGCCTGCTACTGATTTTTGTAATAAGCAGTTCTATCAGGGAGGTAAAGCAGTTTTCTTTAGGAGCAAAAGAACTACTCAAAATAGCTCTTTTGACCTGAAAATCATGGGTGAGGAAGCAAGGAAAAGTAATTCTAACAGAAGTTTGTTCAAGCATTCTTTGGAAGATTCTCTTCAAATATTCAGGGATCCACCTCAGACGACTTTGGGCCACTAGAGTTTATGTGCCTAAATAGGGACAAAGGCCTGGTTCTCCTCAAATTTAGATGTAGCTGTCACTGTATGGGCCACTCACACAGACACACTATAAAGTTCTAAAGTCAAGTATTGAAGCAAGTTTGCACTAATTCTTTCATCATTAAGGGAATCAACATGGTAGATTATACTATGCTTTGTTGGGGCAAAATCTCATCCATAAAACTAATTTTATGTCTGGCATGCAAAACATGAACCAGACTTCATCAGATAGACCTATAGTTGTTATGCTTTAAGAAAGGAAGCAAAAACCCATCTGATAACCTTTTATGAATAGCCTGAGACCCTGACTACACAGCAGCTGCCGAGAACTGAATTCATCCAGAACTGAATTCATTGCTTATGTGAGGAACAGCTGATAGGTCTTTGAAGAATATAAACCTCCTGTGAAATGAAACACTTTGTATTATTTTGGACAAAAGGTTGATAATTAATAAACCTGCCTGAAATGCGTCAATTTTACTACAGAATAAAATAGGGGAAAGTATTCTTTAAAAGAATGGTTATTAACAGTTCAATGAAGATTTTTCCTCTATATAAGAGTATCTATTTTCTTATTGCCTCATATAACAGCAACTATAATTTGGCAGGAAAGTTATAGTAATAAACACTTCAGACTTTCTTTCAAAGTAGAAATTTGTGCTTTGTAAACATTCGTTTTGATATATATATTTCACCTGGATTCTCAAAGTGCTTTAAGTTTCTGTTCTATTGAATAGGTTTACAAATAAATTACAAAATCCTAAAAGAGTGACTGAAGACTTACGGTAGAAATAGCATTCACCATGCCATTGGTGATCTGGTCTTGGCGCATGTGTTTGACAACATCAAACTGGGCTGCTCTTTGCTTAGGAATCACCTGGTCGGCAATCTTTTTCATTTCAGAATTAAATTTTTTGAACAAGTCTTCAAAAAGAAGAGATAAAAGCTAAAAAAAAAAAAAAAGGTATATGGTGATTTTTCAAAAAGCATTGCTAGATTATTTTAATAAATTTTAGGTCTTAAGATTTTTAAAAAATAAGATGGAGAAACTGCTTAAAACAGAAAAAAAATTGCTATTTTCAAATTCAGTTTGACAGATATGTACATAATTTTCTATGTGCTTAACACCGTGCTAGGCATTTAAACGAGAGCAAAGATGATGACATACTCACTGCATTCAAAGACATTTTCTTTAGACCAGTCACTTCTAGACTTTCAGATTTCATTGACCAATGACCTAATTTTTAATTTTACAGATAAAGTTATATATTAAAACCAAAAAGGACGGGGGGGGGGGGGGGGGACGGTGGAGAAGAATTACCATTATAAACTCTGAAGATATCCAAGATGTTTCCTGTATCATTGGTAAAGGTATAAATTGGTACAATCACTTAGGAAACAGTTTGCCATTATCTACCCATCCCTGTGCCCCAACAGTTCCTCTCCTAGTTATACCTGCTGCAGGAGTGTTTCTCAAACTTTAGCATGTGTAGTAATCACTCTGAGGGATTGTTAAAACACAAATTGCACCCGGGCGTGGTGGCTCATGCCTGTAATCCCAGCACTTTGGGAGGCCAAGGTGGGTTGATCACGAGGTCAGGAGTTCAAGACCAGCCTGGCCAAGATGGTGAAACCCTGTCTCTACTAAAAATACAAAAATTAGCTGGAGTTCAAGACCAGCCTGGCCAAGATGGTGAAACCCTGTCTCTACTAAAAATACAAAAATTAGCCGGGTCTGGTGGCGGGTGCCTGTAATCCCAGCTATTTGGGAAGCTGAAGCAGAGAACTGCTTGAACCCAGGAGGTAGAGGTTGCAGTGAGCCGAGATTGCGCCACTACACTCCAGCCTGAGCGACAGAGTGAGACTCTGTCTTAAACACACACACACACACACACACACACACACACACACACACACACAAATTGCAGGCCCTGCCCTTACAATTTCCAGCTTAGTAGGTCTAAGGTAGTGCCCACGAGTATGAATGCCTAATCAGCTCCCAGGAGATGACAGTGCTGCTGGCAGGAGGAGGGCACTCAAGATACTTATACTAGCTATTCATAGCAGCTAAAATCTGGAAACCATACAAATAATATATAGACAAACTGTGGTAGACTCGTATAATGAAACACTGTAAAACAATGAAAATGAACAAAAAATAACTAACCACAAAATCATGGCTGAGTATTAAAAACAAATACTCAGCAAAAGAAACCAGACATAAAACAACATATATATGGCATGATTCCATTTATATAAGGTTCAAAACCCAGCACAACTACATTATATTGTTTAGAAAGGTACAACTAGGTGGTTAAACTTTAAAGAAAAGTTAGGATGCAAATAGTGTAATTGAAGGAATCAGCTAAAATTTTAAGGACTTCTTAAAGGCCAAATGTGGACTGCCACACAAGTTCAGAATTCTTCTGAAGCCCAGGCACAAGAAGTGTCCACTCCCACTCACAAGTTCCTTTCTGTGGAGTGCTCATGAAAGGCTGCAGTGAGGAGAAAACCTGAGAAAGACCCCTTTGTTGGAAAACAGGCAATAAAACCCTACCTACCTACTTCCCTGGGCTTTCTTGCATAGGAAGCAACACCTAAGTCCCTGGGAAGGGGGCAGGACACCCTCCTGCCTGGCAAAGTCCCAGGAGGCAAAAATAACCTCTTCTCAGAGAGGGACAGAAGCAAAAGCTGTCTGTCCCTAATCCCCCAGGCTCTCCCAACAAACTCTGCACCTACAGTAACTAGCAACAACAGTCTACCCCCGGAAGAGGTCCAGCAAATCCTCTGATTCCAGGAAAAGGTGCAATGCCAGAGAGAAGAGGAGGGAGAAGCATCTTTCCCTAGGGGAGGAGCAGGAAACCTGGTTGGGCAAAGATCCTGCACTGATACACAGCAGGGGCCAGATACCACAGGGAGGGGCAGGAAACTGAAAGCTTTCCTTTAGAAAATGTGGGAAAAAGAAAAGATTGCCCATGCTCAACACTCCTATTCAACATTGTATTGGAGGTGCCATTCAGTTCCATAGGACAAGATAAATAAATAAAAGATATAAATATTGGAAAAGAAGCAATAAAACTGTCTTTACTTGCAGATAATATGTTCATCCACATAGAAAATCCAAAAGAATCTAAGAAAAAAACCTTAATAGAAATAGCACATGTGTTTAGCAAGTTTGCAAGATACAAGGCCAATAAACACAAAGCAACTGAAAATTACTGAAAGAAATTAAAGAAAATTTCAATAGGTGAGATGATATGTTCATGGATTGGAAAGCTAAATATTATTTAGATATCAGTTCTCCCCAAATTGACCTACAAATTCAAATGCAATCTCAATGAAAAAGCTTGCAGGCTTTTATTTATTTATTTGTGAAAATGGAGAAGCTAATTCTAAAACTTAAGTAAAAATGTTAAAATTCCTAAGTTTATAATAATACTCAGAGAAAAAACACCTTCACTATTCACTTCTGGAGGAAATTAGAGAACTAAATCATTATTCTGCAAACAGGCTTAAAAAAAAATCTAGCAAGCATTTACCCCACCTTTCCCATGGAAATTATGTTTCAGGGTAACAAAAGGGATGACAATGAAAGTACTCTTTATTAAAAAATTCCAGCTAATAAATGGACCAGGATGAAAATGTTAGAATATCACTGTTTTGCATGCCCTAATGAGATAATGAATAAAGGAAATGATCATCATCAGATGCTAAATAAAACTATCAGGAGAAAAGTTGATGGGGAACTTAATAATGGATGAATCAGGGACCCAAACACCTAAACCCAATGATCAATTTCAATGGCACAAAAAGTGGATAAAATCAGACATACAGGATAGGATATACTCCCACCACCCATGAAGTGTTCTAGTCCCAAAAACTAAACCAAACCAAAACCGGAATACCATCTATCCTCTAGATTTAACTCCTGGTTTATAAGAAATTTAGGAGGGAGAGGAATATATATATATGTTAAAAGACACCATGAGGGCTGGGCTCGGTGGCTCACGCCTGTAATCCCAACACTTTGGGAGGCTGAGGCGGGTGGATCATGAGGTCAGGAGTTTGAGACCAGCCTCGCAACATGGTGAAACCCCATCTCTACTAAAAATACAAAAATTAGCCAGGCATGGTGGCGGGTGCCTATAATCCCAGCTACTCAGGAGGCTGAGGTAGGAGAATCACTTGAACCCGGGAGGCGGAGGCTGCAATGAGCCGAGATTGTGCCACTGCACTCTAGCCTGGGCAACAGAGCAAGACTCTTGTCCCGAGGAAAAAAAAAAAAAGACACCATAAGGATATGTGAGTTAATTTTAGGTGTCAGCTTGACTGGGTTAAGGAATGCCCAGAAGGTTGGAAAAGCATTACTTCTGGGTGTGTCTCTGAGGGTGTTTCTGGAAGAGATTGACATTTCAATCAGTGGGCTGAGTAAGGAAGATCCGCCCTCAACCAACGTCAGCAGGCATCATCCAATCTTTTGAGGACTCAGATAGAACAAAAAATCAGAAGAAAGGCAAATTTATTCTCTCTTCTGGAGCTGAGACACCCATTTTCTCCTGGCCTTGGACATCAGAACTCTAGGTTCTCAGGCATTCAGCCTCAGTCTGAGAGTTAACACCATCACCTCCCTGGCTCTCAGACCTTTGGACTTGGACTAAACTATACCGCTAGCTTCTCTGGTTCTCCAGCTTGCAGACAGCACATTGTGGGACTTCTCTGTCTCCATAATCACATGTGCCTATTCCCATAATAAATTCCTTCCTATCTTATCTATCTATCTAAAAAATTTTAATGTGTGAAAAGGTGTGAAAAATTTTAGTCATGTCTTTTAGGGACACATTTTTAAGTATTTACAGAATGTGATTTGACATCTGAGATAATGAAATGATTTGATGGCGACAATTTGTTTAAACAACATAATTTGGGGAATAAGGGGAGGGGAAAGAGTTGAGAAGGGTACAGAGGAAACAAGATTGCCTTCTACTGATAATAGTTGAAGGTCTGTGATGGATATATGGCAGTTAATTTTACTATTCTATTTTTGTATATTTTTGAAAATGTTCATATTTTTATTTAAAATGTCTACCAAAAACCCTTAAAAACTTAGAAATAAATCTGAAAGAGGTGCAAGACCCTCATGAATAAAATTATAAATCTTTATTGAAAAACATCAAAGAAAACCAAAATAAATGAAAAGAAAATATTCATGGATAAAAAGCCTACATATTTTAAGATTACGAATCTTCTCCAAATTGATCTACAGTTCCAATGCAATGCCAATTAGAATCCCTAGAAGACTTACTTTGATGAAAATTGACAAAATAATTCCAAAATTTATATGGAAAAGCTAAGACCCTGAAATAGCCAAGACACTCCTAAAAAAGGTAAAGGTACTAATGAATACATAGACAAGCTGACCAATGGATAGACCAAAGAGTCCAGAAAAGATCTGCACATACAATAAAACTTGTTATATGATAGAGATGCATTTTGGATCAGCGAGGAAATGAAAGACTATACAATAAATGGAGCTGGGACAACCAGTTATCCATTTAGAAAACAAATGAAATTGGATTCCTTACTTCATTCCAGATGAACAAAAGAACAAATACTAAACACACAAGTTTAAAAAATAAAGAGCACTGTATTAGTCTGCTCTTGCATTGCTATAAAGAAACAACTGAGACTATATACTTTATAAAGAAAAGAGGTTTAATTGGTTCATGGTTCTTCAGGCTGTATAGGAAGCATGATGCTGGCCATCTGCTCAGTTTCTGGGGAGGCCTCAGGAAACTTACAATTATGGCAGAAGGCAAAGGGGAAGCAAGCATGTCTTATATGGCCAGAGCAGGAAGAAGAGGGAGAAGGGGACGATGCTACATATTTTTAAGCAACCAGATCTCATGAGAATTCTACCAAGAAAATGGCACTAGGAGGATGGTGCTAAGCCATTAAAAACCACCCCCATGACCCAATCACCTCCCACCAGGCCCCACGTCCAGCATCGGGGATTACATGTCAACATGAGATTTGGGTGGGGACACAGATCCAAACCATATCAAGCACTATTAAAAGTTAGATAAGTTGACAAATGGCTGCAACTAAAAGCACAAATTAGTAGCACTTTAAAATACTATAAAGTTGGCCGGGCACCGTGGCTCATGCCTGTAATCCTAGCACTTTGGGAGGCTGAGACGGGTGGATCACTTGAGGTCAGGAGTTCGAGACCAGCCTGGCCAACATGGTGAAACTCCATCTCTACTAAAAATACAAAAATTAGCTGGGTGTGGTGGTGCATGCCTGTAATCCCAGCTACTTGGGAGGCTGAGGCAGGAGGATCACCTGAACCCAGGAAGTGGAGGTTGCAGTGAGTAGAGATCATGCCACTGCACTCCAGCCTGGGCGATAGAGCCAGACTCTGTCTCAAAAAATATATATATATATATAAAGTTATTAAAACAAGAATTTAGACTGGAAAAGGATATCTGCAACACATATAACAAAAAATTAGGAAGCAAAATATACAAAAATCTCCTTGAAATCAGTAACAAAAATGGGAACAACCCAAAAGACATTGCAAAGAAAACAGGAATAGTCAATAAGTACATGAAAAGGGGCTCAACCTCATTAGTAATATAGAAAATGCAAATTAAGACCACAAGGAGATGCCATTTTGCATCTATTAGACAAAAACTTAAAAGTTTGATAGTAAGTCATGGGACGGAGCTCATCAGAAATTCATATACAACGTAATGTAGAAATACTTGGCAAACTAGTGTGACATTCTGCAGTTCAGGTAAAAATTTAACTTGACTCTGACTCCATGACTAGGCAATCCTCCTTAGAGAAACTCTTGCATATGGAAACCAGGAGATATAAATAAGAATGCCAGTGTTGTTGTGTTTTTTTTTTTAATGTCAAATGGGGAGAAACAATACAAAGTCCTTGATCAGTAGAATGAATAAAGTGGTATTCATCATACTGTATCACATCTTGACACAATGGAAAACAGAAATGAAAATGAACTACAGTAACATGCAACAATATAGACACATCTTAATGTTGAAAGAAGAAAAAAATTGCAGAGAAATTATACGGTATATGGATCTATTTCTATAAAGTTCAAAAGTAAGCAAAGCTTATACTGTAATAAATAATTTTAAAACTTTAAAATTAAAGATGTAAATGATATAATAAATCAAGAAATTAAAAAATGCAAAAGTTCAGGATGGTAGGGGAAAATGAAGAATGGAGTAGGGGGTACATAGGTAAATGAAATGCTATTGGTAATAGTCTAGTTGTTGAGTAGTGGCCTTGAGGTTGTTCATTTTATTTGTACCCTTCATAACATATAAATGTAACATTTAAATTTTTATGTTAAAAATTACCTATAAATGCTATTAAACCACAGTGATATTTTAAAACAGTGATTATGGAAGCCAAATCAACGGGATAGAACAGTAAGTCATGAAAACAGACTAGGTGGCTCTGTTTCCCGAATTGGTAGAGTAGGTCCTATCAGACGGATTCATCTGCAGATAATAATCATAAATTCTGGACAAAACATTTAAAAACTTTTTGAAGGCACTAGGGAGTGTCCAAAAGCAGGACACTGAGAGTGAATGGCACTGGGTACACATCTCATTTTTAAGGCTTTTCACCTAAGGGTAGGCCACGTTAATAAAAAGGGTCCAAGCCACACTGGGAAGCTGAAACTCAGAGAAAGACCTGCAGTCTTACTGGACTGAAGAAACAGAAGAAAAAGATCTGAACTACTGGATTTGAGTAGCTGGAAGGTGAAGGGGAATTCCATAAAGGAGAGAACCCAAGGAAGAAAACTCCAAACTATATATATAAACTTTGCCCAAATCTCTGGCTGATCCCTGAAGCAAACATTGAGAGGTGTGGCCCATGTCCATCCCTACCCCCGTGCCCCACTGCCCCACATCTGGGTGGGGACTATTTGACCAATAGAATAAACATAAGTGATGCTGTGACTTTCAGTCTAGGTCACTAAGGTCACACAGTTTCTTGTCTATGGGAAACACTTACTCTTAGATTCCTGAGCCACCGAATGTGACAACTCTGGAAACGCCTGAGCCTAGCTTTCCAGCCCTTCCCACCAACCTCTAGCAGAACATCAACCAACCAACCTCCATCAACACCATGTGAAACAAAAGAATCAAATAGCCAAGTCCTGCCTGAATTCTTGACCCACAAAACTGTGAGGTATGTATAATAAAATGGTTGTTGTTTTAAGCCACCATTTTGAGATAGCATGTAACAGAGTAACACATAACCAGAATGCCAGTTATATCAAGTTCATTAAAAAAAAAAAAAAAAAAAAAGCAAAACTAAATATCTGGCTCACTATAAATAAAAAAAAAGTAGACTTCTTCAGTAATATAATAGATATTATGCATACTAAATACTCCTATACAATTAATTCTATTAGTTTTTTCCCTTTGTACACATCTTTTTTCTTTGCAGTGGAAGAAAAAAGCTCAATATATTTGTGATCTAAGTTAAATAACAAAACATTAAAGTAATATGGGGGGCATATTTATACTAATTAATTTCTTAAAGAATTCTGAGGTTCAGTGAAGTATGTTTAAGCTAAAGATTTTCCAGATTCCATACTGACTATATTCCTGAATGTTTCTGATAGGTAGTTTTTTGACTCAGAATGAAGAAGGTATTCAAAGCAAATGAATCTTCTCCTCTAGCTAGTGCCAAAGAAGGAATTTCCTAAGTGGAACTGGATTTCATGCTTTTCCTTCTTTAAAGTTAAGACATGTCCTTCCACTTTTCTACTAAAACCACCTTTTCAGATAGAAAAGCCTGGATCTTGGATTTGAATTTACTATGTCAGAAGTGTTCTAAAAAGAAAACTTCCTCCTCTGAGAGCTTAATCCTTTCTTACAGTGAGACCCAGCAGTTTCACTCTTGGAAAGAAAGAATATGGGAATGGAAGCAGGTGCAGAGGGGTGAGAGGGGATGAAGAAGCCTATTCCAGCAACTTCCTGTGGAAACTGGCAAAAGGAACTTGAATAAGCATCCTGAACAGAATCGAATGCCCTTAACCTAAACAACAAAAGCTCAGCTCTATTTTAATTAGTCCCTTACACTTAGACACTTTTGTCTCAAATTATGACAAAGTTTTTTTGGATCCCAGCTGAATTTATTGTAGCCCCTTGATTCAAACACAAGGAAATGTCCTTGGTACTAAAGAAGTAAAAAGTAAGAACACAGTCAACAGAAATACTGCCTCATTATTAAATTTTCCTACTCCTAAAATTTCAGTTTAAAAGAAAAAATGCTGTCCAAGTTCACAGAGCAGTGAGAAACCACAAGGCCATCCACACAATACACCACATTATTTAGGTCAAAAGTAAAATGACTAAAAGGGAAGGAATGCTGGTGATAATATTCAATACCTTGGTAGCACAAGGCCTTTCAGCCTGTTTAAGACAGGAGAGTAAAGAGCAAATCATATTTCAGGGAAAAATGCTGACAGCTCATCAATTGATTTTCAATGAAAATGCTAAAAAAATTAATAAAGAAGTTAAGCTGCTGAAATACAGTTTCACCAATTAGCTTAATGTCAGAGAATTCTAATTAGGCGTCTTGAGATTGCTATTTAGTGTTTAAGCCTACAGAGTGCCAAATTCTCCTTTTCACACAAACTGGTTGCAAAATTAAAGACATTAGGCAGCCTTAATTACATTATCAGAACAGCTGGGATTAGGCAATCTCTGAAGTCAAGACGGCATTCTTTTGTCATAGGGTAGAAATCCCTGGCTTTCCAGGGTGCCGGATTTTGGTGCCATTCCATATCTCACCCATACAAAGCAAGCTGCATTAGAAACAAAAAATTTGCAGACAAAGAATAGAGTAATGCTCAGCAAATAATGAACACATTACCGAAAAAGAAAAGGTAGGTGAAAGATTAAGCCTGAAATCGGTAGGTTTTGCTAACACCTCTACTGGCGGCTGGCCTGCCAACCCTCTTGTGGCATCAAGACTGAAGGAAAGCTCTGTGAACCCGCTTGGCCAGTGGAGACAACTCTGTTATCTAAAGCTGAAGCACATTTATGCTCCCTCATCCCATGGGGTGTGAAATTAGCAGCTATTGTTTTTACACATTTTTGCTAACACAATACCTTTTATGTCTTTACATTGTTTATAAAGCTATGTTTTCTTGCACATGGGAACCCTCTTTTTAATTCTAATTTTTTAAGCAACAGGATCAGCTCTCCTTTCCCCCTCCTTACTCCATTCCTTATTCCTCTAAACAATCAACTTTTTTTTAATGGACTCATTTAACACCATGGTTTTTCCGAAGTAAAAAATAGTAAAAATGGGATTGATGGTGAGGATACCCATAATTCCTTGCACAATGGTCAATCTGAAGGTGGCCAAAAACCAAACTGCTAAGTAGTGGCCATTAACCAAACAGAGCTTCCTCAGTAGTCCTGATGCTAATTTTTTTTTCTAGAACCTAAAGTTACTATAATTTCATAATTCTAGTTTTTAAATTTTAGTTGTGGTACTATCTGCTGTGATCATCCCAGCCGCACTATCTCTCATCTAGAAAACTGCTACAGCTTCTAGCCGGTCCACTCTTCGCCTGTTCATCTCCACATCAGATCTTTCTAAACTAAAAATCAGATCATGTCACTCCCCTGACTAAAACTCTTCAATGGTCTTCTGCTGCATGTAGAATGCCAAGTCTCTTCCCATGGCACACAGGGCTCCAGATGATCCAGCCTCCACCTGGGTCTCCAGTGTCATTTCTTACCATCCTGACACCTCACTCACTCCAGCCACACTGACCCTCTATCAGTTCCTCCAGTCCCTAAATTCATTCGTGCCTTAGGAGATGTGAACTTGGTTGTGTCTCTTGCTGGAATGCAGTTTGCAAGGCTGCATGAGAGCAACTTCTCCTTATTCAAATATCGGCCTGCACATATGTGGAAATAACGAGATGAATATAAATGGTTCCTTTCCTCAATGAGCTTACAATCTAAAAGGGGGAAGAAGCATGGAAGTAAAGAATTACATGTTAATTTAGCATGCAAATAAAGACTTGAATAAACTGTTACTGGCCTAAGGAAGACAGAGCAACTAACTGCACCTAGGAGGTCACAGTTTCAGAGAGGGCTCAAAAGATGAATAAGGAGGAGCTCCTCTTTAGAGAGAGGGTGAAAGGGATATGAGGGAGGGGCAGCTTCGGTAGAAGGCATAACTCAAAGGAATAGTGATAGAAGAGCATTATGGTATGTTTGAGAAGATGTAAGTGCCTCACTTTGGCATGAGATGAGGCCGGAAAGGCACAGAGGGGCACGATCATCAAGGACCCTGCAGGCTCTGTGAAAGAATCTAAACATCCTTCTACAGAGGAAACTGTGCTTATGAATTCCATGGAGGAGTTTCAGGGGAAGGGGAAGGAGGCAGAGAACCCCTCTGTCCCACCTCAACCAGAAAGGCTCAACTTTTATCTGTTTTAATATTGGGATTCCAACTGAGAGTTCATGCTTTAAAAACTTTGAAACCTACATCTGAAGCTCAGGTCTGCTGCGGATGCTCCTGGGAAAAGGACCTGTGCTTCACTTAATCACACAGAGAATGCTCAGGAATGTGTTGGGATTGCTTTGTACCAAGTGAATAGGCAGGCACATGGCCAGAGCCTCCAGACAGATGGGAGGGGCAGCCAAGAACAAGAGAAGGCACATGGAGGATTCAAATGTACTGACGCTGTGTTCATTCTTAAACTGAATGGGAATATACAAGTATTTGCTTTATGAGACTTAATGCACACACATTATATATAGTGGTGTGTATGCAATTTCTCATAACTAAAAAGCACATACACAAACAGGTATATGTCAATTTCTGCAGCAACAGACACATTTAACTGATTAAATTCCCCCTTAAGTCAAAGGGCTTGGCAGTAATGGTCAAATAACATTCTCGGACATAACTGCTTTGAAAATCTGTTTCAAACTAATGACAGCAAACCACACCTTTATATAACTTCTTCTGAACTTGCAAAACCTGACTCCAAACTTGCCTGTGACAATGATCCCCAAGGAAGCCCCACTAAGCATAAATTCACAGAGTCCTGAATAGTTTTCAGGGCAAGAGCTTCCAATGGTTTAACTTTAAACTGCCAGTTAATAAAGATATTTGTATATGCATAGAGTGTCTCTGGAAGGATAGAGGACAGTATAGGAAAAGTGACTTTCTGGAAAGGAGAACTGGGGAACTGAGTCAGAGGGAAAAGAGGGTCAGAGGTGGGTCACTTTTCACTGCAAATCTTTTTGTTTAAAATTCTTTTTGCTATGCTATTTTTTTAAATGTTTACTAAGAATGACTTCTGCTATTTTACAATATTTATTATTTTTACTGCTAACATTACTTTTTAAAAATCATAACACTTTTAAAAAAATTAAAGATATTTGTTTAAATTGGTAAAATAAATGAATAACCATCAGAATAACAAAAGAAGTGTCTTGGGCTTTGCAAAATTTCATTCTAGGCCAGTGGTATCATTCACAGATACATATCTCCTGGGAAAATTCCAGGGGACTCAGAAAGTAGTGTCCCTAATTAGGAGCATGCTAGTGCTTTATACACCCATATCCCTAAGTTACCATATCTTTAGTTATTAAGGAAACTTGGCATCCTCTTTCCATCAACCATACCATCATCCCTCTGTGACAACCACAAAGACTGATCTCATAAGTAGAATTGTCACCAACAACATAGACTCTAAATTCCTAAAAGATGATTTGGCTGACACATCATTCCCTAACTTGGTATCTTCCATTAACCACATCACATCTCACTGTAGTGACCTCACTGCTTTCAGAGGGAGCCATTCAAATAGCCTAAGTACAAGAGTGAGAAGATCATATTTGTGTGTTGAAATAATTTTATTAGCACTGTGGAAGATGAATGGAGTTGGGGTGAAGCTAAGAACAGAGACACTTGTTAGGAGGTTACACTGAAGTTGAAGGCCTGTGCTCTAACAGTTACACTGGAAGTAAATTAGAGATATATTTAGGAAGTGGCACAGGCAGGATTTGATGATTTGATGAACCTGATGTGTAGAGTGAAGGAACAGAAAGAGTCTGGAGTGACATAGAGGTTCGTAGCTCAGCAGCATGGGTAGATGGCACTGTTAACTGATTAAGACAGCAAATGAAGAAAGAATATCAGAATTCAAAGGGGGCTTTAAAGTAAACTATTTTAGAACATGTAATTAATTGATTCATTACTACAACAAATATGTGATGAACATTATATCTGGGGCATCTTATTAGTTGCTAAGTTTAGTAAGATGAACAAGAAAGATACAGTCTCTGTCCTCATGAAGCTTCAAGTCTACTGTGAAAATGAAGGGACCTCTGCTGCTTGCAGCATACTGGGTTGGATTCTCTGAGGAGTCTGGTTACTACAATATGACTAGATTCTGGATAAAACATATTAAAAATGAGGTGAAGCCATGGTAGGGAGTAGGGAGCAATAAGCAAACCCAAATGGCAGAGTTGCCCTGAGAATAAATACTGATATCAGCTTAGGGACCTGGAGACTAAATCAGAGTTCAGTGACAAGATGAAGGATGTGAACTTGAAACTCATAATCCTCAGAATCATGTAAGAAGACTTAGAAGTTCCAGGTCAGCACTATTCCCTGAAAAAGAAAATACATATCCCCAAAAGAAAGTATCCCTAGAATAACACCCAGGATCAGAGCTCAATTAAATATGAGTTCATAAACAAAGATCACTAAACTCACAAGGAACCAATCTATCTTGAGTAAGAGTAATCAAAAACAACTAACTCAGCAGCTTTAGAACATTAGATACTGGAATTACTATATTTCACTGATTGGAATTTTTTTTTTTTTTTTTTTTACTTTTGTATCCCATCCTGAACATGGGATACATCTTAGCACTGTGTCATAATTTAACTGGTGATGTGTTTTATTTCTTAGTGGAAATAAAAATAGTGGTCCACCTGATAATTAATGGCATATTAGATTCTAGATGCTAAAATACAGTTATCAAATATGGAATTAAAAAAAGCTATGTAAATCTATGAAGAAATAAAAAAAACACACAAAATAAGATGATCAAAGTGACCACAAAATCATTCTTCTAACTCTTCTGAATGTTTCAGAATTTTCATCATAAAATGCAAAACCAATAAATTACCAAAAATATGTGAAAAAGACTTCTATAAAAGTAAACAACAAAAAACTCAATTACTGAACATGGCTGAATAGAAAATGAACTAAGAGCTAAATTAGAAAAACAATCGCACAGAATGCAGTAAAGGAACAAAGATAATAGAAAAAAGAGAACAGAAAAAAGGGAGAATAGGCAACACTTGAAGAGATAATAGCTGAGAATTTTTCTGAACTGATTAAAGACATTAATCCTTGGGTAGCAGGAACACGCACATACCAAGCAAAAAAAAAATAAAAGAAATTCACACCAAGGCATATCATAAAGAAAACTGCAGAATAACAAAAGCCAAAAGAATATCTTAAAAGTACCTAGAGAGATAAGACAGAACACCTGTGAAGGAACTACAATGGTTCTGTGCCATTCAAGGTACGGTATACATCATTCATCTAATCCCATAACAATCCTATAAGGTACATGGCATGAACCCCATTTTTACAGACAGGGAACCTGAGGCAGAAGGAGGTGAAATATTTGCCTAAAGTAAAAAAATAAAAACAAACAAATAAACTAGTAAATGATGGGAGATAATAAATATCTCCACCACCAAATGGTGACACATAATAAATATCAATCTAGAATTGTACATCTAACAAAATTCTCACTCTAAAGGCCTAAACTTAAGAGCTAAAACTATAAAACTTTTAGAAGAAAACATTGGGGAAATCAAGACACTGAATTTGGTTATAATTCATGAATATGACACCAAAAGCACTGGCAACAGGAGAAAATAATAGACAAATAGGACTCTTTCAAAATTAAGAACTGTTGTACATCAAAAGACACTGTCAAAAAAGTGAAAAAACAACCTATAGAATGGGAGAAAATAATTGCAAATCATATATCTGATATATGTATGTATCCAGAATATACCAAGAACTCCTACAACTCAACAACAACAAGAAAAAAAATTTTTAAATGGGCAAAGGACTTGAATAGACATTTCTTCAAAGAAGGTGTATAAATGACCAATAGGCACATAAAAAGATGTTCAACATAATCAGTTTTTAGGGAAATGCAAATCAAAGTAGTAAAAAGGATACTTGTTTACAGTATGAGAGCTGAAACAAGAAGGCAGAACATTGCCTTGTTAGACTGCAAGTAGGAATGTGTAGTGACTCAAATTTTTTGCAGTTCTGCATATGCCTGCAAATGGCCAATAAAATGCCGCTGAGTACAGATTTGGAGGTTGAAAATACATTTTAGCAAGTAGACAAATTTGCAAATATGCATAATGTGGCTCAACTGTATAAACTGGATGAAATATTAGATAAAACAACTACTTGAAATTCATTGAAAGAGTATCAGGAAGCAGAAAGAAACTGAGGAAAAGGAATGCTTATCAAAAGCAAATGGTTCTGAGTGAGTTTCCTGTTTTATGGCTTTTCACCTAAGGGCAGGCAGTGATCCCTGTCAAATCAGAAGGCTAAAACATGAGAAAGTAAGTTGCAGTCTTACTGGATTGAAGAACCAAAAGAAAAAGATCTGAGCTACCTCAACAGCTAGAATGTAAGTGAGGAAATTCCAAATTCCACATTTAAACTCTATCTAAATCCCCAATTGACCCAAGCTACAACTGAAAGAACTAAATGAATATTTCAGCTGATGTTTGCTGCAGGAAGGCAGGATTCAGAGGTTTTCAGCCAAGTTCAGAGGGTCTTAAAAAAAAAACAAAAAACTGGGACACTCTTTAGAGGAATACAGCAGAATTCAGAGCCTCCACAACTTATCCACAATGTCTATCAGGTTGCAATCCAAAATTATCAGACATAAGAAGAAACAGAAAAACATGAGCCACATTCAAGAGAAAAGCTAATGAAGAGAATGACCCACAAGTGACTGAGACGTTGAAATTAGCAGCAAAGGTTTTAAAGTAGCTATTAAAATACAAGGATGTAAATAAAAATAGGCTTGTGATGGATGAACAAATACAAAATCTCTGTAGAGAAATAGAAGCTATGAAAAAATACCTAAATGAAATTTCTAAAACAGAAAAATACAATATCTAAACTAAAAAATTAACTGGAGCTTTTTAGTTACTTGCTAGCCAAAGATTTTTGGATGCTTGCTAGCCAGTTGAAAGAGATACACAGTCTTGAAATAAAATGTCATTTATCAGCTAAGACTTAAAATGAGATTAGAGATATCCTCACTAACCTACCTCTACCATGTCACCAAAACAATCAGCGGATTGTTTCCTTGATTATTGTCTCTCTCCCTTCCACTGAGACTACAAGGAGTAAGAGAAAAGGGGCTTTTGTCTGTCTTACTCCCTCTTATATAACTAGTACTTAGGAGTATGCCTAGAACATAATAGGTGTTTAGTAAATGTTTGTTAACTGAATAAATGATATTACTTAAAGTCATACTTCACTTTGTATATTATACAGAATGAGGGTAAACATCCCAACAAAAGATATAGGTCACGTACTATTAACATTTAAAGAATTAGGCTGGGCATGGTGGCTCACGCCTGTAATCCCAGCACTTTGGGAGGCTGAGATGGGCAGATCACCTGAGGTCGGGAGTTGGAGACCAGCCTGACCAACATGGAGAAACCCCATCTCTACCAAAAATACAAAATTAGCCGGGCACGGTGGCACATGCCTGTAATCACAGCTACTCGGGAGGCTGAGGCAGGAGAATCGCTTGAACCCAGGATGCCAAGGTTGCAGTGAGCTGAGATCGTGCCATTGCACTCCAGCCTGGGCAACCAGAGCAAAACTCCGTCTCAAAAGAAAACAAAAAAAAAAGAATTAATGTTTTTATAGTTAAAGGAATTCTAGGAGATAATAAGTCAGGTATGAAATGTTTATACTTCAAACCTGCAAACTATATTTCATTCAAATGTTTCTTCTTATGTGAAATGAAAACCAAATTAATTTTCATTAAGGAAAACAAGATTTCTGACATAAAATATTAAATCACCTGTCCTGCCAATTCCAGTCGCTTGTTACCATAATAATCTCTGTCGTCAACTTTATTATCTCCTTGGGCCAGAATAACTCTTCGCACCATCACTGCAGTATAGATACATTTGGCTCGGAAATTGAATTCCTTAACCTGTAAGTCAGAAATTGGAGAAAAATTTTGAGAAAATGGACATTAAAATTTAACGTACCTCAAGAAAAGTATCAATACTATAACATTCAACTAAGAAAATACTGAATTGTTATGATTCTCTCCATTCAAATAAATTCAACTAGTCTGGAAATTTCCTGAGCTGAGATGATGACTTTTCATCATTGTCCTCAGTAACCTGTGAGTACCTCTGTGTCAAAGATGACTACATCAACTTCTTCCCTTCATATAAACTTCATGCCATTCCTTCATTAAAGGTGGAATCTATCACTCCCTTGGGATTGGCCTATGATTAATTTAACCAAGAGAATACAGCTGAAATGATACCAGCCAATTCCAGAATTAATCTTTAAGTCAACTGGCAGTTTCCTCTTCCTTTCTCTTAGAGTCCTGAGACACTAAAGTCCAGAACGCTCTGTTGCACAGAGAGAGAGGCTACATTTCATTTAGTAAAATCCCAATGAAATGGAAAATCAAGGAGGGGCCAGAGATATGAGTGAAGATGCCATCTTGAATGTCCAGCCCAGGTGAGCTTCCAGATGACTCAAACCTCAGCTGCTATCTGTCTGCAACTTTGTAAGAGACCTGAAATGAGAACTCCCTCCTCCACCTTAAGTTAAACCCGGTCAAACCACAGAATCATGAGATACACAATGAACAGTTACATTAAGCCACTAAGTTTTAGAATTGTTTGTCATGCAGTGATAACAAGAATTGTACTAACATGCTGTCTGGCATGCAACAAATAACTGCCGAATGAATGAACAGATGAATGAATTTGTAGCAAATGTTCTAGTCAATCTTCTCTAGCAGAAACACTGAAACCCATATGAATGAATCTGGCTCAATCATAGTAAGTTGACTCAGAACTGATAAAATAATTGCACTGGTTTGTTTGGAGAGACAAAAAAACTGAAGTAGATCCTACATCTAAAAAGACAAATTTTGAGAATGTAGCCTGAGCTTCTGCCAATTCCAAGGAGTATTTATAGGCTTTTCCACAGATGATACATACTATTTTAAAATTTCTTCTTTACTTACCTTAATCATTTAGTAAAATCCCAATGAAATCTCTTTTATAAAATTTATCACTATGACAATAAATCAATAGACTGCATTCAAAAAAAAAAAAAACAAGCAAGCATTCTCCTTCATACATTTTGTTGTTGCTGCTAAGTAATTTCACTAAATAATGTAGGATGTTAGAATTCTGTATGTGTTTCAAATACTCCATTTTCCTTCAAAGGAAGTTTTATTTCTTCTCTAGGTCAATTTACTCTCTATTACTGAGAACTCTGGAATGTGTTAAAAGAAATGTGTTTGAATGTGGTAAAAGAAAAAGTAGCCCTAAAAGCTACTTTGTTATCTTGTACCCACAAAACAATTACATCAATAAGAAGGTCTTTAAAAAGAAAAGGCTCTTGTCCATCCTCAAGAAAAAAAAAAAAAAAACAAAAAAAACCCTCTTACAATCGTAACACCAGTTACCACAAAACCAAGCAGAAAAACTCAGTGTCTGGGCAGCTATAAGTAATTTACATTTTCAATTGGTATTTCGAAAGCTGTATGGTCCTCCATTTAAGTATATATAATTTACATTTTATTGTTCTAATCTTAATGTGGCAAGTTACATGGAACATCTAACTCTTCTAGTTGTAGTTATCTTTCTTGTTAATGAGAAAAATAAAGCAAACTTTCACTAACAAAATTTTCAATTTTCAACAAAGCCCATTTCACATTTTCCTTTTGCATAAACACTGGTAGTAGATTCTCCCAAGACATTTATAAGTAGAAATAAATATGGATATTTACGGAAAATGCCCCTACTGAACTGTATAATGCCACTCGATTAGAGGTACAGTCCATCACCCCCTTGGGATTGAACTCTAACTCATTTCACTCCCCTTTTTAATGACTATATGCTGGAAAGCAAACCCTAGGTCTAAATTGAAATGAGTTAATACTTAGCATATTTTTCCAGGACTGTTCCCAGAGTCATATGGTGAGTGGGGATCTTCTCAATCTAGCAGCAGGTAAGACTTTTTAGGAGAAAGCTAAGAGTAGTTCAGATACTCCTTTGTGGGATACTAACCTGTGGATTATGTGAAAGAGGGGGAGAAAAAAGGACTAACAAACGAACCCAGAATGCTGACACAGAATTGTTGCCTATTTCAGAACTCCGGAGATCTTTTAATACTACATTAGAGGAAAGAGTGGTCTGGGACTTAGGCATCTTGGAGCCTAACCACTCTTATGGCAGTGGTTTCTAAACTTTAGCATGCACTAGAATCATCTGGAGGGCTTGTTAAGACACAGATTACCGGGACCCACCCCTAGGGTTTCTGATTCAGTAGGAAGAGTTCAAGTATTTCTTACAAGTCCCCTAGTGATGCAGATGCTACTAGTCCAGGGAATGTTCTTTGAGAACCACAGTCTCCAAGGAACTGAAAGGCCAGTATACCAAGACAAAGGCCTCTGCAGGCCCACCCTCAAGGACAAGCACTGAGAACTACTGAATATCTGCCCGTGTTTTTCCCTCTACACAGACACACCTAAACAATACTTTCCAAATGCTAGTCATTCAAGTTCCACCATCACGAATATCAGCATATCTCTGTAGTACTTATTTATGTAATACGTCTAATCATCTTTAAACAACCAATTTTAAGCTAAGCTTCATCCTATGCAATAATACCATAAAATCACATATATCACAAAAATGGATTTGATGTGCTAGTTGTATTCCTTCTAATAAGTATGTAATTACTTACATAAAAAATGACCCTGTATCACTGAAAATCATCCTTTATATCACATTTAGGTAAATACTGTCCAAAACAATTCTGGAAAACAAAGTTCTTTTCCCTGAACCATCTATTCTGACTTTATTCCTCACTGGATTATGTATAACCAAACTTTTAAAATGGTAATTTAGGTTCCATGCAACCACAGAAAAGCACAAATGATTTTTTTTTTTTGAGTCGGAGTTTTGCTCTTGTTGCCCAGGCTGGAGTGCAATGGTGTGATCTTGGCTCACTGCTACCTCCGCCTCCCAGTTTCAAGCGATTCTCCTGCCTCAGCCTCCCAAGTAGCTGGGATTACAGGCATGCACCACCACACCTGGCTAATTTTGTGTTTTTAGTAGAGATGGGGTTTCTCCATATTGGTCAGGCTGGTCTCAAACTCCTGACCTCAGGTGATCTGCCCGCCTCAGCCTCCCAAAGTGCTGGAATTACAGGTGTGAGCCACTGTGCCTGGCCTATCTTTATCAGTCTAACTAAACAAATGTTAATATCGGCAGGACTCTATCAACTAAAGCTCTTTAATTAACCCAACATTCTTCTCAGTTATAGTGTGAAGGTAAGTGTAGCTCCTGAGAACTACATGGGGAGCTGTGGAAAATACAGAGCTTTACGTATATTATATCTCCGAATCATCACAAGAACCCTGCAAGAAAGTGGAATTACTTTTATTAAAAAGATGAGAAAACTGAAGCTTAGAAAAGTTCAGATTTGCCCAAAGTTCATCAGTTAGGATGTAAGAAACCAGGATTTGAACAATTACGTCTCAGGCTCAAAAGCCTTTGTTGTTTCTACTATCCATTTTTGCTATTTTAAGTTTCAGACTCTTCCAATCATCCAAAAGAGCTTAAAATTCAGTTGAGACCCAGCTTTAACATTCAGAATTTTCTAATTATTTGGATTAAATCAAGGACATGCACAAATGGTAGCCAAGGGGCAGAATGAGAGACCTGTATTATTTGGATTGAAGGGTGTTTTAATACAGGAAAATCGGATCTGGATGCATTCAGGTGGTTACTCTCGACTTCCACAGATCCCGTGACCTTCCATTATTTTACAGTCAGCCCCTGAAGGTAGTGTTTGCAACCCTTGAAAAAGATTATTCACGGATGGAACACATGATAACTCACTACAAACCAGACTATTTAGTTAACAAGATAGTCTAACAAATAATAATTCCATAACTTAGTAAGAGTAGCATATACATTAAATGGGAAGAAAATTGAGGGCTGCCTCTTGCCAACACCCCACATGCCAATATGGTTGATCTCTGTTTAATAATAAATTAATAAAAAATAAATATTACATACTAGTTCAAGGCCAGAAGATAGGTTCTAACCCTTACTCTTACCACTAACCAGCTGGGTGACAACGCAAATCATCTAGCATGTTTGGATCAGAGAATCTTCACAATAAGTGAAGGAGGCTGGATAATGTGAACTTTAAATTCAAGGTCTAGAAGATGAACTCATCCAGTAAACATTTTTAAAACTATCTGCTGTGGTGATGGTTGTACAATAATGTGAATGTACTTAAGTCCAGAAAATTGTACACTTAAAACAGTAAACTTTATGTTACGCATATTTTACCATTAAGCATATTTTACTATACAATAAGCATAAGCATATTTTACATAAGCAATTTTACCATACAATAAAAAATATGTACGGGCAAGGCACTGTAAGCTTATTTTAATTTATTTATAAAACATGTAAGACACCATCTCTGTCCTTCAAAACCATGAAATCTAGTAGCAGTACTAATGTATGTATGAATATAAAATAACAATAATTTAAGACTGAAAGAATAACCACAAGAGAATAAACATGATGATGGCGATACAGCTAACATTCTCCGAGTATAAACAAACTGCTGATAATGGAAGGTTATTTCTGATGGGGCAGTACAGTCCTCTTTAGAATTTTCTCTTGAGGAATTGGACTTTAAATAAGGTAAACTCTTATCACAGTTCTCTAACAGGAATTCACAGACCCCACAGTCCTTATTCACAATAACGAAGTGTTACTCACTGGGACATGGGTCAGAATGGTGGAAGCCAGGAGCTCTCTTGCTTCTTCTATTTTGGTTTTCTTTGGTCCACCTCCCCACATCCTTTGCCTTCTTACTTTGTTCCCTATATATTTTAATGCCTATAAAAAACAGATTACAATAATGTTTGAATGACATCACTGGAGGTAGTTTAGCAAGCACCTAACCACATGTACAGTATGAGCGAAAGAGATAAAGACCCTGGTTATAGAGAAAGCTGTACTGGGTCTAGTTGAAAATCAACGTTTATCATAAATCAATGACAAAAAGCATAGCATACTGCCTAACACACTGGTTCCCTTTTTTCTCTTACTAAAAAAAATGATACATTGTCATTGTAGGAAATTTAGAAAATACAGACACAAGTAAAATATATTTGTGTGTGTGTGTGTGTGTGTGTGTGTGTGTGTGTGTGTGTAGACATATAGCAGCCATCAGTCCTTCACCCAGAGAAAACCACAGGTAAATTTTATAGTAGTACTTTTTTCCTCTCAAAAATGAATCATACCATGTAAGACCCCTACATTGAAAGCTACAAAACAGTGCTGACAGAAAACAAAACCTAAATAAATTAAGGGTCATGACATGTTCGTGGACTGGATGATTCAATGGTATTAAAAGTGGTTTAATGTTAAAATTCTCTCCAAACTGACCAATACATTCATAACTGTTCATTATACGCTTAGCAGGCTTAAAAAGCAAAAACTGACTAATTCTAAAATTCTAGATTCTAAAATTTACATGGAAATGCAAAGGACCTGGAGTAGCGAAAACAGGATTGAAAGAAAAAAGTTGGAGTATTATATTACCTGATTTTTAACTCTAAACCTAAGTAATCAAAACAGTGTGATACTGGCACAAGGATAGACAAATAAATCAATGAAAGAGAATAAAAAGTCCAGAAATAAACACATACTAAATGGTCAGTTGACTTTTGATGAAAGTATCATAGCAATTCAATGAGGAAGGAAAAATCTTCTCAACAAATGGTGTTGAAACAACTATCCATAAACTAAAAAATTAATCTTGACCCCTACCTCAAAACAAATATAAAAATTAGTTTAAGATGGATTTTAGACCTAACCATAAAAACTATAAAGTTTCAAGAAGAAAACTTTGAAGAATATATTTCTGACCTTGGGGTAGGCAAGATTTCTTTAAACAGAACACAGAGAGCAATAAATATAAAAGCTAAACAAATAAAAAAATCCTCCTAAGTTTTTTCAAAATTAAAAGAATTAAGAAAACAAATAGGGAGTTAATGGACTGGGAGAAAATACATAATGCTGACAAGGAAGTTACATCCAGGATTTGTTTTTAAAAGGACTCTTAAAGTCAATAATAAAAAGACAATTCACTAAGAAAAATGAACATTTGGCTCACACTTCACAGAGAAGAAAATACAAATAGCCAATAAACACATAAGGGCTCAACATCATTTGTTACCATAAAAATAAAAACTAAAACCATGAGATACCACTATACACCCATTAGAGTGGCTAAAATTAAAAAGACTAACAACACCAGATATTATGAGGACATGAAGCAACCTGAACTTTCTATCAGGCTGGGTGTGGTGGCTCATGCCTGTAATCCTGCCACTTTGGGAGGCCGAGGCGGGCAGATCACCTGAAGTAAGGAGTTCAAGACTAGCCTGGCCAACATGGCGAAACTCCGTCTCTACTAAAAATACAAAAAGATTAGCCGGGCATCGTGGTGCACACCTGTAGTCCCAGCTACTTGGGAGGCTGAGGCAGGAGAATTGCTTGAACCCAGGAAAGGGAGATTGCAGTGAGCGGAGATCATGCCACTGTACTCCAGCCTGGGTGACAGAGTGAGGCTCTGTCTCAAAAAAAAAAAAAAACAAAAAACAACTCTCATACACAGCTGGTGTAAATGCAAAATGGTACAATCATTTTGGAACAAGGTATATATAAAAATTATATACATATCTGCTCTCTGATTCAACAATTCTTTTTTTTAAAATTTTATTATTATTACACTTTAAGTTTTAGGGTACATGTGCACAATGTGCAGGTTTGTTACATATGTATACATGTGCCATGTTGGTGTGCTGCACCCATTAACTCGTCATTTAGCATTAGGTATTACCTCCCAATGCTATCCCTCCCCCCTCCCCCCACCCCACAACAGTCCCCGGTGTGTGATGTTCCCCACCCCGTGTCCATGTGTTCTCATTGTTCAATTCCCACCTATGAGTGAGAACATGTGGTGTTTGGTTTTTTGTCCTTGCGATAGTTTGCTGAGAATGATGGTCTCCAGCTTCATCCATGTCCCTACAAAGGACATGAATTCATCATTTTTTATGGCTGCATAGTATTCCATGGTGTATATGTGCCACATTTTCTTAATCCAGTCTATTGTTGTTGGACATTTGGGTTGATTCTAAGTCTTTGCTATTGTGAATAGTGCCGCAGTAAACATACATGTGCATGTGTCTTTATAGCAGCATGATTTATAATCCTTTGGGTATATACCCAGTAATGGGATGGCTGGGTCAAATGGTATTTCTAGTTCTAGATCCCTGAGGAATCGCCACACTGACTTCCACAATGGTTGAACTAGTTTACAGTCCCACCAACAGTGTAAAAGTGTTCCTATTTCTCCACATCCTCTCCAGCACCTGTTGTTTCCTGACTTTTTAATGATCACCATTCTAACTGGTGTGAGATGGTATCTCATTGTGGTTTTGATTTGCATTTCTCTGATGGCCAGTGATGATGAGCATTTTTTCATGTGTCTTTTGGCTGCATAAATGTCTTCTTTTGAGAAGTGTCGGTTCATATCCTTTGCCCACTTTTTGATGGGGTTGTTTGTTTTTTTCTTGTAAATTTGTTTGAGTTCATTGTAGATTCTGGATATTAGCCCTTTGTCAGATGAGTAGGTTGCAAAAATTTTCTCCCATTCTGTAGGTTGCCTGTTCACTCTGATGGTAGTTTCTTTTGCTGTGCAGAAGCTCTTTAGTTTAATTAGATCCCATTTGTCAATTTTGGCTGTTGTTGCCATTGCTTTTGGTGTTTTAGACATGAAGTCCCTGCCCATGCCTATGTCCTGAATGGTATTGCCTAGGTTTTCTTCTAGGGTTTTTATGGTTTTAGGTCTAACATGTAAGTCTTTAATCCATCTGGAATTAATTTTTGTATAAGGTGTAAGGAAGGGATCCAGTTTCAGCTTTCTACGTATGGCTAGCCAGTTTTCCCAGCACCGTTTATTAAATAGGGAATCCTTTCCCCATTTCTTGTTTTTGTCAGGTTTGTCAAAGATCAGATAGTTGTAGATATGTGGCATTATTTCTGAGGGCTCTGTTCTGTTCCATTGGTCGATATTTCTGTTTTGGTACCAGTACCATGCTGTTTTGGTTACTGTAGACTTGTGGTAGTTTGAAGTCAGGTAGCGTGATGCCTCCAGCTTTGTTCTTTGGGCTTAGAATTGACTTGGCGATGCGGGCTCTTTTTTGGTTCCATATGAACTTTAAAGTAGTTTTTTCCAATTCTGTGAAGAAAGTCACTGGTAGCTTGATGGGGATGGCATTGAATCTATAAATTACCTTGGGCAGTATGGCCATTTTCACGATATTGATTCTTCCTACCCATGAGCATGAAATGTTCTTCCATTTGTTTGTATCCTCTTTTATTTCATTGAGCAGTGGTTTGTAGTTCTCCTTGAAGAGGTCCTTCACATCCCTTGTAAGTTGGATTCCTAGGTATTTTATTCTCTTTGAAGCAATTGTGAATGGGAGTTCACTCATGATTTGGCTCTGTTTGTCTGTTATTGGTGTATAAGAATGCTTGTGATTTTTGCACATTGATTTTGTATCCTGAGACTTTGCTGAAGTTGCTTATCAGCTTAAGGAGATTTTGGGCTGAGACGATGGGGTTTTCTAGATATACAATCATGTCATCTGCAAACAGGGACAATTTGACTTCCTCTTTTCCTAATTGAATACTCTTTATTTCCTTCAACTGCCTGATTGCCCTGGCCAGAACTTCCAACACTATGTTGAATAGGAGTGGTGAGAGAGGGCATCCCTGTCCTGTGCCAGTTTTCAAAGGGAATGCTTCCAGTTTTTGCCCATTCAGTATGATATTGGCTGTGGGTTTGTCATAGATAGCTCTTATTATTTTGAGATATGTCCCATCAATACCTAATTTATTGAGAGTTTTTAGCATGAAGGTTGTTGAATTTTGTCAAAGGCCTTTTCCGCATCTATTGAGATAATCATGTGGTTTTTGTCGTTGGTTCTGTTTATATGCTGGATTACATTTATTGATTTGTGTATGTTGAACCAGCCTTGCATCCCAGGGATGAAGTCCACTTGATCATGGTGGATAAGCTTTTTGATGTGCTGCTGGATTCGGTTTGCCAGTATTTTAATGAGGATTTTTGCATCAATGTTCATCAAGGATATTGGTCTAAAATTCTCTTTTTTTGTTTTGGCTCTGCCAGGCTTTGGTATCAGGATGATGCTGGCCTCATAAAATGAGTTAGGGAGGATTCCCTCTTTTTCTATTGATTGGAACAGTTTCAGAAGGAATGGTACCAGCTCCTCCTTGTACCTCTGGTAGAATCCATCTGGTCCTGGACTTTTTTTAGTTGGTAAGCTATTGATTATTGCCTCAATTTCAGAGCCTGTTATTGGTCTATTCAGAGATTCAACTTTTTCCTGGTTTAGTCTTGGGAGGATGTATGTATCGAGGAGTTTATCCATTTCTTCTAGATTTTCTAGTTTATTTGCATAGACATGTTTATAGTATTCTCTGATGGTAGTTTGTATTTCTGTGGGATCGCTGGTGATATCCCCTTTATCACTTTTTATTGCGTCTATTTGATTCTTCTCTTTTATTCTTTATTAGTCTTGCTAGCAGTCTATCAATTTTGTTAATCTTTTCAAAAAACCAGCTGCTGGATTCATTGAGTTTTTGAAGGGTTTTTTGTGTCTCTATTTCCTTCAGTTCTGCTCTGATATTAGTTATATCTTGCCTTCTGCTAGATTTTGAATGTGTTTGCTCTTGCTTTTCTAGTTCTTTTAATTGTGATGTTAGGGTGTCAATTTTAGATCTTTCCTGCTTTCTCTAGTGGGCATTTAGTGCTATAAATTTCCCTCTACACACTGCTTTGAATGTGTCCCAGAGATTCTGGTATGTTGTGTCTTTGTTCTCATTGGTTTCAAAGACCATCTTTATTTCTGCCTTCATTTCATTATGTACCCAGTAGTCATTCAGGAGCAGGTTGTTCAGTTTCCATGTAGTTGAGCGGTTTTGAGTGAGTTTCTTAATCCTGAGTTCTAGTTTGATTCCACTGTGGTCTGAGAGACAGTTTGTTATAATTTCTGTTCTTTTACATTTGCTGAAGAGTGCTTTACTTCCAACTATGTGGTCAATTTTGGAATAGGTGTGGTGTGGTGCTGAAAAGAATGTATATTCTGTTGATTTGGGGTGGAGAGTTCTGTAGATGTCTATTAGGTCCACTTGGTGCAGAGTCGAGTTCAATTCCTGGTTAACTTTCAGTCTCGTTGATCTGTCTAATGTTGACAGTGGGGTGTTAAAGTCTCCCATTATTATTGTGTGGGAGTCTAAGTCTCTTTCTAGGTCACTAAGGACTTGCTTTATGAATCTGGGTGCTCCTATATTGGGTGCATATATATTTAGGATAGTTAGCTCTTCTTGTTGAATTGATCCCTTTACCATTATGTAATGGCCTTCTTTGTCTCTTTTGATCTTTGTTGGTTTAAAGTCTGTTTTATCAGAGACTAGGATTGCAACCCCTGCCTTTTTCTGTTTTCCATTTGCTTGGCAGATCTTCCTCCATCCCTTTATTTTGAGCCTATGTGTGTCTCTGCACCTTAGATGGGTTTCCTGAATACAGCACACTGATGGGTCTTGACTCTTTATCCAATTTGCCAGTCTGTGTCTTTTAATTGGAGCATTTAGCCCATTTACATTCAAAGTTAATATCGTTATGTGTGAATTTGATCTGTCATTATGATGTCAGCTGGCTATTTTGCTTGTTAGTTGATGCAGTTTCTTCCTAGCCTTGACAGTCTTTACAATTTGGCATGTTTTTGTAGTGGCTGGTACCAGTTACCGGTTGTTCCTTTCCAAGTTTAGTGCTTCCTTCAGGAGCTCTTTTAGGGCAGGCCTGGTGGTGACAAAGTCTCTCAGCATTTGCTTGTCTGTAAAGTATTTTATTTCTCCTTCACTTATGAAGCTTAGTTTGGCTGGATATGAAATTCTGGGTTGAAAATTCTTTTCTTTGAGAATGTTGAATATTGGCCCCCACTCTCTTCTGGCTTGTAGAGTTTCTGCTGAGAGATCCGCTGTTAGTCTGATGGGCTTCCCTTTGTGGGTAACCCGATCTTTCTCCCTGGCTGCCCTTAACATTTTTTCTTTCATTTCAACTTTGGTGAATCTGACAATTATGCGTCTTGGAGTTGCTCTTCTCAAGGAGTATCTTTGTGGCATTCTCTGTATTTCCTGAATTTGAATGTTGGCCTGCCTTGCTAGATTGGGGAAGTTCTCCTGGATAATATCCTGCAGAGTGTTTTCCAACTTGGTTCCATTCTCCCTGTCACTTTCAGGTACACCAATCAGACCTACATTTGGTCTTTTCATATAGTCCCATATTTCTTGGAGGCTTTGTTCGTTTCTTTTCATTCTTTTTTCTCTAAACTTCTCTTCTTGCTTTATTTCATTCATTTCGTCTTCCATCACTGATAGCCTTTCTTCCAGTTGCATCGGCTACTGAGGCTTCTGCATTCGTCACATAGTTCTCGTGCCTTGGTTTTCAGGTCCATCAGGTCCTTTAAGGACTTCTCTGCATTGGTTATTCTAGTTAGCCATTCATTTAATTTTTTTTCAGTTTTTAACTTCTTTGCCATTGGTTCGAACTTCCTCCTGCAGCTTGGAGTAGTTTGATCGTGTGAAGCCTTCTTTTCTCAACTCGTCAAAGTCATTCTCCGTTCAGCTTTGTTCTGTTGCTGGTGAGGAGCTGCGTTCCTTTGGAGGAGGAGAGGTGCTGTGATTTTTAGAGTTTCCAGTTTTTCTGCTCTGTTTTTTCCCCATCTTTGTGGTTTCATCTACCTTTGGTCTTTGATGATGGTGACGTACAGATGGGTTTTTGATGTGGATGTCCTTCCTGTTTGTTAGTTTTCCTTCTAACAGACAGTACCCTCAGCTGCAGGTCTGTTGGAGTTTGCTAGAGGTCCACTCCAGACCCTGTTTGCCTGGGTGTCAGCAATGGTGGCTGCAGAACAGCAGGTACTGGTGAACCGCAAATGCTGCTGCCTGATCGTTCCTCTGGAAGTTTTGTCTCAGAGGAGTACCTGGCCGTGTGAGGTGTCAGTCCGCCCCTACTGGGGGGTGCCTCCCAGTTAGGCTATTCGGGGGTCAGGGAACCACTTGAGGAGGCAGTCTGCCCATTCTCAGATCTCAAGCTGCATGCTGGGAGAACCACTACTCTCTTCAAAGCTGTCAGAGAGGGACATTTAAGTCTGCAGAGGTTACTGCTGTCTTTTTGTTTGTCTGTGCCCTGCCCCCAGAGGTGGAGCCTACAGAGGCAGGCAGGCCTCCTTGAGCTGTGGTGGGCTCCACCCAGTTCGAGCTTCCCAGCCGCTTTGTTTACCTAATCAAGTCTCGGCAATGGTGGGCGCCCCTCCCCCAGCCTCGCTGCCGCCTTGCAGTTTGATCTCAGACTGCTGTGCTAGCAATGAGCGAGACTCCGTGGGCATAGGACCCTCCGAGTCATGTGCGGGATATAATCTCCTGGTGTGCCGTTTCTTAAGCCCGTTGGGAAAGTGCAGTATTAGGGTGGGAGTGACCCGATTTTCCAGGTGCCGTCTGTCACCCCTTTCTTTGACTAGGAAAGGGAATTCCCTGACCCCTTGTGCTTCCTGGGTGAGGTGATGCGTCGCCCTGCTTTGGCTCACGCACGGTGCGCTGCACCCACTGTCTGGCACACCCCAGTGAGATGAACCCGGTATCTCAGTTGGAAAGGCAGAAATCACCCGTCTTAGTGCGTCGTTCACGCTGGTAGCTGTAGACCGGAGCTGTTCCTATTTGGCCATCTTGGCTCCTTAACAGCAATTCTATTCTTAGGTACACATTCATGAGAAATGAAAATGTCCACACATCCACACAAAGATTTGCTTATACAGTCTTATTTATAATTACTAAAGACTGAAACACCAAGTGTCTATCAATAGGATAAACTGTGGTATATTCATATAACGAAATACTACTCAGCAATAAAAAGAAATGAACTACATGGATAACTGACATAAAAAGGAATGAAAAGAAATAACTTGGATGAATCTTAGACAATAAGCTCAGCAAAAGCTAGACACAAAAGAGTATATATGGCCTAATTCCATACACAATGCTGTAAAATAGGTAAAACTAATCTATGGTGCAAAAATCACTAAACTATGATGCCTAATTCCATATATAAAGTTCTGTAATTGGCAAAACTAATCTACGGTGCAAAAATCAGAATAGTGGGGAAAAAAATCAGAGAGTAGAGGTAAAGATTGACTAGGAAGGGGCATGAGGGGGAACTCTGTGGGATAAGGAAATATTCTATATCTTGTAAAGTCATACAATTAAGATTTGTACATTTTAGTGTACATAAATTTACTTAAAATAACCAAGTAAGAGTGTTGACAACTTTTGAAGGTAGGCCTTGGATACATGAGCATTTATAACACTATTCTCTGTACTTTGTATATGTTGAAATTTTTCCTAATCAACAATGTTTAAAGAAGAGGCATATGTGGTTCTTATTATTTTGGAACAACAATGTGCTTTTTTTTTTTTTTGAGACAGGGTCTCACTCTGTTGCCCAGGCTGGAGTACAGTGGTGTGATGTCAGCTCACTGCAGCCTCAATCTCCTAGGCTCAGGCAATCCTCCCACCTCACTCAGCCTCCCAAGTAGCAGAACTACAGGCACACGCCACCATGCCCAGCTAATTAAAACAACGACAACAACAACAACAACAACAACAAAACCTTTGGTAGAAACAGGGTCTCACTATGTTGCCTAGGCTGGTCTCCAACTCTTGGCCTCAAATGATCTTCCTGCCTGGGCCTCCCAAAGTGGCAGTATAACAGGTGTGACCTACTATGCCTGGCCAAGAATGAACTTAAAAAAAAAAAGACTTTCAGCTTAACAGAAGAAAAGGCTGGGATCTTTGATTCTTTAACTTGGAATTCCTGTCCAATTACCTGCTTGGGGAATTCCTTTTTCATGCTTCAAAACCTAGATCAGGTATCACTTCCTCTCCGAAGGCTTTCCTAACCCCACTCCTCTTTCTCTGCAGTTTTAATTCTTTATGCATTCAGGATTGCATATTTTAATTCTTGTTCATATCACATTATGTTTTAATGATCTATTTACATGTATGTTTTTCCTACTAGACTTGGTTGGTGGGAATTCCGTCATCTTTTTCTTTGACTCCCAGTGATTAGTACAGTGTTTGGAATTGAATGAAACTCTGTCCCCATGATAAGATTTGGACTTCAAATCTAAATCTTTCCCATTAAAAGGCCATTAAAGTTTAAGATAAATTAAAACCCTGAAAACACTTGCTGCAGTGACCTAGTAGTAAGTAGTAACTAAGTAACTGAAGAAAGCAGGTCAGTTGGCAGGAACCATGAGTAGATAGGCAGTTCAGTTTTCCCCCAACTAAGCTGTCTTCAATAAATGTTGGCCTTCTAGTTTCCTTGTGAAAAAGGCTAAAATTTTTCACTTGTTTGAGGGAGAAATAGAGGAACACAGGTGAGCAGGGTATCCCTTGTGATGCAAAGGCCAAGATAACATGCCTAGTGCCTCCTATCCCCCGCTACAGCTAGTACTTTCTTCTCTATATACTAGAGCCCAAGACAATGATGGTGTAAAACATACATGACCAACACAGAAAGAAGGCTTCAGGGAACAGAAGAAATGTGAGAGAGACTACAAAGCGAGGCATAAAAAACGGAGTCTCACTCTGTCACCCAGGCTGGAGTGCAGTGGCGCGATCTTGGCTCACTGCAACCTCCGCCTCCTGGGTTCAAGCGATTCTCCTGATTCAGCCTCCCGAGTAGCTGGGATTACAGGCACCCACCACCACGCCCGGCTAATTTTTGTATTTCTAGTAGAGGCGGGGTTTCACCATGTTGGCCAGGCTGGGTCTTGAACTCCTGACCTCAAATGATCCACCCACCTCGGCCTCTGGATTACAGGCATAAGCCACCATGCCTGGCCAAAAAAACAAAACCCCACAGGTTTTAAGCAATCCATTAAAGTGCCACATCTTCCAAAGTTCTATTATATAAAATAAAGTGTGATATGGTTTGGATCTGTGTCCCTACCAAACCTCACGTCAAATTGTAGTGCCCATTGTTGGAGGTGGGGCCTGGTGGGTGGTGGCTGGATCATGGGGATGGATTTCTCATGTCTGATTTAGCACCATCACCTTGGTGCTGTCCTCCTGATAGTGAGTTTTCCCAATCTGGTTGTTTAAAAGTGTGTGGCACCCCCTCCTCCCTCACGCTCTCTTGCTCTCACTCCCACTATATGAGACACCTTGCCCCCTCCTTTGCCTTCTGCCATGATTGGAAGCTTCTTGAGGCCTCCCCAGAAGCAGGTTTTGGTTCCTGTACAGGCTGCAAAACCATGAGCCAATTAAACCTCTTTTCTTTATAAATTACCCAGTCTCAGGTATTTCTTTTTTTGAGGAAAGGTCTTACTCTGTCACACAGGCTGGGGTGGCACAATCATGGGTCACTGCAGCCTTGACCTCTCAGGCTCAAGTGATCCTCCTGCCTCAGCCTCCCAAGCAGCTGAGACCACTGGTGCCTGCCACCACGCCTGGCTAATTTATTTTTATTGTTTGTAGAGATGGGGTCTTATCATGTGGTCCAGGCTGATTCGGTGTTTCTTTATAGCAATGTGAGAACAGACTAATATAAAGTGTACTTACTACATCTTCATTTTGAATAGCATAGAATATTCATGTTTTCGTAACTGTTAATATATGTTCTACATACCAACTATTTTGGGTTATTTGCATCTCTATATCCTTTTATTAGTTTCAATAGCTAATATGTGCCTTAATCCTGCACACAGAGTACGAGCACTGTCAAAGTTATACTTCCCTTTCGAGGAAAAGGAACATTTGTCTTTCTTATGTTAACTTCCTTCCATCTTTTCCTGCCATCTTCTCACTAATCTGATCTAATTTAGTTAGCTGACATTTTCTGTCAGAACCTATTTAACAGAAATAAATGAATGATTTTCCAACCTACTGTTTGGGCTCTGCTCAAACAGCTTTACAATGCTAGGGTTATTTGACCCCAATGATGATGTTTGAAATAAACTGCATACCGGATTTCACTGAAGCCACTGAGGAACCATTAAGGTAAACTTGTAGGGCACTACACAGCATTAAAGAATAGGGTATCTCCCAAAATGGAACCAAATATTCCTGTTTGCAGGGTAGATTCTACATTTTCTGCCTCCTTGATATTTCTTAATGTTTTCTCTTCATGTTCTTGGAACCCTTGGACAATGTAACTTTAGTGTACAACAAAGATTCATGCCTACCAAATATTTCATTTTTGATAAAGGCCAAAAATAGAATCTCCTAAATCCAAACCACCCTTCCTGGTGCTGCCTGCCCTGTAACTGCAGTCAACTATTAATTAACTGTAGAAAAAGAGGAAGACGGTGATGAGAATAATCCTTACTGATTTGTGCTTTGGAATTATATATATATACTGACCTATTTCGATCTTCCTAAATATCTAGTGTAGTCTACAAAAATATCAATACTGATTTGATTTCAGAATACACACTAACAGATATAAGTGGGAAATGCTTTCTCTACAAGCATCCTGGGTGAAGAGAAAAAAGCAGCCCAGAGTTTACATATGTCATACATAACCCACAGAATAGACAATGTACACGTGGATAGGTAAGAACTGTCTGTTGTGATTCTATAGTGGGGAATTCCCACCTCCCAGGATGGCTATGAGGGATGTTAACTTTGATTTATACTTAGGAAAGCACTTGCAAATATGGGACTAAAATCCTAAGTATGGCTGCTGGGGCTCCCTCCATGTGGGAAGGGAAGTGCAATTATTTTTACTATGGGGTGTGTGTGTGTGTGTGTGTGTGTGTGTGTGTGTGTGTATTTCTCAGTCTTCATCTTTGAGTCTTGCCCTAAAATTCCCAGGGTCCAACCAGGAGTGCCTGAGCAGGTCAATGAAGGCTCTGCAGCAGTAAAAGGGACTGATCCTGGGTTTTCCTTGCTGTCCAAAGCAGCACTGGGAATTCAGGAAAAGAAATAGAAACCACATACAACTGGATGCCTAAAGCAACTGAAGTAGGGAATAAAAAAAGATATTAAAGAGAAATGCATGCACACATACACACACACACACACACACACACACACACACACACACAAAACCTGTACACGAGAGTTGCCATAGTTTAAAAAGTATATTATCACTCAGGCAAATAAGGAAAAAAAAACAGTACTTCCTATTATATCAAAACAAACACCTCTTCGCCATATATCCCCTATTCTAAGTCGGGCACCATAGGCTCCTAATTTGTCTGGGCAAACTCCTTCCTCCAAACCTGACGAAAGTGAGTTAAAGAAACTTCACTCCTCCCATATCTCCCCAATACCTTTCCCAAATCTATGAGCCCAAAGCCATCACATCCGATGAGCTTTATCAATGAGCAGCATTAAGTCTCCAATTCCATTTCATAGCAAAGGACAACATGAAAAGACACACCTGCATCTGTGTGAAAATCTGAGCTTTCTGGCACTCTTCCAGACTGGGCCCAAATGCAGCCATCACGTGCTCCTCTGTTCCAATCATCTGCACAATTTCCTGGTCACTCTCAACACCCATGGCCTAGGAAGGAAAGAAAAGATAGAAAGAGTGTTGGCTTTGTGTTAACTCACTGACATTTGCTTATGCTAATTTGGCATTGTTTGTGGGTATTACTTCTAAGCAAAAGCTAGCTCTTCTCTCAGAAATGGTGCCATCTGGCATTGGCAGCCTTGCCCAAGCTGCAGAAAAACCTGAAACAGATATTTTGATTAGAAAGTGGAAAACAAACATTCTCAAACATTTTTTGCATGTGTACTATCTGCTAAAATTTTTAAATATTCTAAGAGTTTCATCACGAAAAAAGGAGGCTGGGAGGTATGGTAAAGACAACTGGTCATGACTACAAAGGCAAACTGTAAAGACAAACAGCCAAAAGGCAGTGAATCAGAAAAGATGCATTGCTGAAAATAAGCAGAACCCCAATCAGTCTTGTCACAAAATTAATTTTTCTGAGAACTGTCAAATCACTCATATTTTTCCTAAAAAGGAAAAGAATTTTTCCTAAAACACGTTTTACCTCACTATTCTAAAGATATCAAACCAAACTTCATGCAGGTTTCAAAGGAGACTTAAAAAGTAGGAACACATGGGCCAGGCATGGTGGTTCACACCTGTAATCCTAGCACTTTGGGAGGCCGAGGCAGGTGGATCACCTGAGGTTGGGAGTTCAAGACCAGCTGGGCCAACGTGGCGAAACCTCATCTCTACTAAAAATACAAAAATTAGCCAGATGTGTTGGCATGTGCCTGTAATCCCAGCTACTCGGGAGGCTGAGGCAGGAGAATCGCTTGAACCCGGGCGGTGGAGGTTGCAGTGAGCTGAAATTGTGCCATTGCACTCCAGCCTGGGCAACGAGAGCAAAACTCCGTCTCGGGAAAAAAAATAAGAAAATAAAAAAAGTAGGAATACACTTAAGAGGTTTCAGAAACCCACTTAAGTGTTTCAAGGTGGCAGCAGCAACGCAAGTCTTTGTAGATTCCATATGGTACTAGGGCTCACTCCTTCACACATTTGCCTGGAATTTTGCCATATCAAGGAACACAGCATAATCTCACTAAATCTCTCCTGGAAGAGTAATAGTCAGCTTCTTAGAAGTGAGGGGAAAAGTTATGTTTGCATTAAAATTCTTCCTTCAGCTGTAGAGAAGACAGAACCAGAGGATAATTGTGTAGTTAGTGTTGATGCCCTAGTTCCCAGTTCTCCACACAAAAAAGAAAGGAAGGGAAAATCAAATCCCAAGTTCCAATGCAGAAAATCAAGGACATTATCCTCAGTACAACAGGGGCATCTATCTAAAAGTCCAGAGATCTGAGGTGTTTGTGCTAATATAATACCAACAACACACACAGACATTACAACTACTACTGTCATGCAACCTCTTCGCCTTTGTTTTCTCATTTGCATAAATGAAAAACCAGATCCCTTCCAGCTCAAAATGCTATGATTCTACATTTGACCTTCAGTGGTCTGCATTCTAAAAATTTGATTTGGATACTTTAGGATCCGATGTAAACTTATAGAAAGTTTTGAAGATTTGGGGGAAATCTGAATAGATCCCATGTCCCTTTTAGGCCAACATTGGTGGTTTTAAAAACCTTCATAGATTCTTTGATACTCCCTTCAAAAGGTGGAGACTAATTCCCCACCCCAAGTGCAGGCTAAGCTCAATGCCTCACCTCTATAGAAAAAAATGTGAAGGTGGCACGTATGATGACTTTGAAGGACTGGTCATAAAAGGCACTATAGCTGCCTGCTTGCTCTGTCTGAAAGTGCTCTCTCTGGGGGAAGATAGCTACCATGTCATGGAAACACACAAGCAGTCTGTGGCAAGGTCCGGTGGTGAGAAACTATGTCCTCTTACCAACAGCCAATGAGCACCTGCAGTTTTCTGTCAACTGCCATGGGGGTGAGTTATCCTGGAAGTAGATTCTCCAGGCTGCTTCAGTTCAGCCTTCAGATAACTGCAGCCCTGGCTGATTATCTTTTCTTTTGTTCTCTTTGGTGAAGCGGTCTTGCTTATGTTGCCCTGGCTGAAGGCAGTGGGTATTCACAGGTGCAATCATAGTGCTCTACAGCCTCAGGCTCCTGGGCTTAAGTGAACCTCCCACCTCAGCCTCCTGAGTAACTGGGACTACAGGCACATGCTACTATGCTCAGCTTGTGGCTGACATCCTGGCACATGAAAGACTCTGAGCCAGAACCACCCAGCTAAGCAAGTCTTAAATTCCCAATGAATAGAAGCTATGCTATAATCTGTTACACAGCACAGATAACTAATATACCAACTTTTGGAATTAAATTCACTATCTGAATTTAAAACAATTTATTTTGTTCTTTTTTTTTTTTTTGCAAACAAGTTCTCAGGATGCAAGACCTTTTTCTATAGTTTTAGCAGTCTTTTTTTTTAACCTCCAATTTGATATGGAAACATTTATCAAATGGATACTAGAAATAAGCTCCACTATTTAAAAATTACACGATTTCATTAAAACACTAAGCCTTTCATGGATTAAAAGATAGCAATCCTAAAAAAAATTACCAGTTCTAATTTTTAAACAAACAAAACTAGATTATTCTTAGCTCAAGCACACTGAGTTGCATTTACTTTGATGGTGATGGCACATATGTAAAATCATCTACACTTTCTCTTTGGTCTGCAAGTAGCCAGTCACAAATATTAGAACAGAATTCCTTTCTTTGGTGTTTAAATAATACAGGTTAATTTTCCCTAATCTGAAAATCCAAAATGCTCCAAAATATGAAACTTAAAAAAAAACTGGGGGGGGAGAGAGTTTTTCTGCTTGTTTTTTTGTTTTGCTTTTTTTTTTTTTTCAGAGACAGAGTCTTACTCTGTTGCCCAGGCTGGAGTACAGTGGTGCAATCTCAACTCAGTGCAACCTCTGCCTCCCGGATTCAAGTGATTCTCTTGCCTCGGCCTCCCAAGTAGCTGGGACTACAGGCATCTGCCACCATGCCCAGCTAATATTTTGTATTTAGTACAGATGGGGTTTTGCCATGTTGGCCAGGCTGGTCTCAAATTCCTGGCTGCAAGTGATCCACCCACCTCAGTCTCCCAAAGTGCTGGGATTACAGGTGTAAGTCACCACGCCTGGCCAAAGCCACCGCGCCCAGCCAACTTTTTTAAGAGACAGGGTCTCACTATGTTGCCCAGACCGGGGTGCAGAGGCCATTCACAGTTGCAACTGCAGTGCATACTATAGCCTCAAATTCTTGGGCTCAAGCAATCTTCCTACCTTACCCTCTAAAGTAGCTGGCACTATAGGCACAGGCGACCATGACCAGCTTTCAGAATCTGAAACCTTCTGAGTACAGACATGACACTCAGAGGAAATACTCATTAGAGCATTTCAGATTTTGGATTTCTGGATTTGAGATGCTCAACCATAAGGATAAGGACAATGCCAATATTCCAAAATTAAAAAAAAAAAACCTGAAATCCTAAACACTGCTGGTCCCAAGCATTTCAGATAAGGGATGCTCAACCTGTAACGAAAAAGTCTTTCCTCATTTGACGTATGGATTGCCACTTCAAGTTGTCTTGATGCTGAATCTAAGTGGTGATTTCATAACTGCATAAAATTCTCAAATGTCCTAACAGGGATCTAAACAGACTGCTTAGGCCTTCCAAATATTTCTAAGCTATGAAGCAAAGATATGCCAAGCACATGGTAAATGACACCATATGTGCAAAAAGCATGATTACTGCCAAAGCTTTGCTCTAAAAGGACTAAACTCTTCCTATATCAAGTCACTAAATACAGGGGCGATAACTCAGTCAAGTTATCATCAAAGCACACCAGCTGCAAAGACCGAACTGACTTTATGACTATTTAGCCTTCAGTAGTCACAGCTACAAATAAATGACATATTGCTATGGAAACGACAGCAAAATGCTCAACTATTTTACTTTAAAGACATAATTTAGACATCTGAAAACTGGCTTTATATGGACCTCTTTGTACTCCAGATATCTGAAATCATTTTTTCTAATAAGTCAAAAGTAAATCCTACATAATAAACTTATGAAAAAATAGCAGAGATAATACATTTCAGCAGGTCCCCTACACTCTAGCAATCAGCAATACCATTGAACAAAAATAAGGGGAGATGCACTATAAAAAGTGGCATGAGGTCTTTTTAGATATCTACAAAGCGTGACTTTTAAAGACAAAAAGAATACTAATGAGCAAAAGAGACTGATACACACACTAATGGTGACAGGTTGAAATATATTGTGTGAAGGCAGGAAAGGAAATAACTTCTTAAAATATCTAATATTCAGAAATCTCTAATGTTTCTTTAAAGTAGACCAAAATCAATCTATTATTACTCACAGTAGTCCCAGCAGGTAATAAGAGAACTGTGATAGCCCTCTCTAACTTTGTAACTGTTTCTCTTTAAAGAAGATAAATTTCAGCCAGGCACATTGGCTCACGCCTGTAATCCCAGCACTTTGGGAGGCTAAGGTGGGCAGATCACCAGGTCAGGAGATCAAGACCATCCTGGCCAACATGGAGAAACCCCGTCTCTACTAAAGATACAAAAATTAGCTGGGCGTGGTGGTGCATGCCTGTAATCCCAGCTACTTGGGAGGCTGAGGCAGAAGAATCGCTTGAACCAGGGAGTTGGAGGTTGCAGTGGGCTGAGATCGCGCCACTGCACTCTAGCCTGGTGACAGAGCAAGACTCCATCTCAAAAAAAAAAAAGATAAATTTCCATATAAGTTAGTTTCCAGGAAACACTGCCCAGCACCCTTGAAATTTGATTCTCTTTTCCACAAAAACTTTCAAACTACAGATGCCATCATAAGTGCAGGCAGCATACTTGGGAATACAAAATGTAAAGTGGGGAAGATTCATGGGCAGGAGAACCTTTGTAGTGATCCAAGTCCATAAATAAGGCTGATCTATGTCTTAAAAGCTTTCTCCATCATATTCAGACTCAGCATGGAATCTGGAAACCCTGCTGTTCCTGTCACTTTCAGCCAATTGTTGGTTATAATCAACAACCATCAAGTCCTAATGACTGTCAAGGTCTGTGTTAGGGCCACACAACACTCAAAGAGAAATGATGTGTCTTTTCTGGTATCCCCATTTGTTTTCCCGGGTTTCTGACCATAAAGACAACTAAGGAAAGAAAAAGGGCACTCCCCTTCCAGGACTTTTCAAAAAATACATGATCCTGTTTGCTCTTCACAGCAACTCTCTTAAAATTCTCACCTTAATAGATGAGTTATTCAAGACTTAAAGAGACTGGAAAATATGCCCAAGGTCACATAACTAATAAGTGCAGATGCTGGGATTCAACCTAAATCTGTCTGATTCTAAGATATCCAATACTCTATGCTGCCTCCCAGATGGAAAAGTCTAAATAGTGGTTATCAAACAAATTCCCATCAATTTATTAAAACATACCTATTGTGGGAGACCAATAAAAGTGACCATTTATGACCAAAATATTTAGCTCATTTATCCAAACTAAAAATTTTAAAATATTTACTGATTAGAATGTAGTGGATACGTTTCAGGAAAATAATTGGCAACATGCACCAAGTTTAAAAAAAAAGAAATTCCACTCTCAGGAATAAAGTCTTACAAAACAATCAGCAATGTGCACAAACAGGTATGTATAACAGTCATCCTAGGGTTGTGTTTAAGAGTAAAGCCTTGGGGAAAAAAATGACGCCTAAATGCCCCACTAGAGGAAAGTGGTTAAGTAAATTCCACCACAAGTATGCAACTTCTACACAACAGTCACTAAAAATAATGATGCAGATTCATAACAGGGAAAGCTATTCATAATGCACTGTTAAGTGAAAAAAATAAAAATGTATGTGTATATCACAAAAGCACAGGAAAACTGTCTGGAAAAATATATCCAAAAATGTAGATATACTTTTAAGTGGCTTTCTAAATTTAAATAATGCAAGGAATGTTTTTATAATCAGAAAGGGAGAAGTCTGAAACCACAACTACTGGTTACATAAATATGCATATTGTTAATTTACAGCCCTATTCTAAAAAGGATTTAAGTCAGCTGTGTGTATGTAAGCATATGCGTGTATAGATGTACAATATAAACATTAAACAAACTTGACAGAAGAAACTTTTTTCTTTTTTTTTTTGAGACAGAGTCTTGCTCTGTTGCCCAGGCTGCAGTGCAGTGGTGTGATCTTGGCTCACTGCATGCTCCGGCTTCCAGGTTCACGCCATTCTCCTGCCTCAGCCTCCTGAGTAGCTGGGACTACAGGCACCTGCCACCATGCCCAGCTAATTTTTTGTATTTTTAGTAAAGACGGGGTTTCACCGTGTTAGCCAGGGTGGTCTCCATCTCCTGACCTCGTGATCCGCCCACCTCGGCCTCCCAAAGTGCTGGGATTACAGGTGTGAGCCACCACGCCCAGCAAAACTGTCTTATTAAACTCATCACCGGGCCAAAAAACAGTACTTAATGTTTTCTGATTTTAATGTATGCATGAGTCTAGTCATGCATTTTCCATGAGTGATAGAAGATTATATGCATTATAATTAATTTATAATTTCTGGTAGAAAGAAAGAGTACTATGCATCTTCAAGTGTCTATAAAACTTTCTAAAAAAAAAAGTCCTTTGGATGCATGGGAACATACTGCCCTCTGCTGGAGATGTAATTCTACACCATTAGATAAAGTTTTCTTTTTTTTTTTTTTTGAGACGGAGTCTCCCTCTGTCACCCAGGCTGGAGTGCAGTGGTGCGATTTCGCCTCACTGCAACCTCTGCCTCCTGGGTTCAAGCAGTTCTCCTGCCTGAGCCTCCCAAGTAGCTGGGGCAGGCGTGAGCCACCATGCCCGGCTAGTTTTTGTATTTTTAGCAGAGATGGCTTCTCACCATGTTAGCCAGGCTGGTCTCAAACTCCTGACCTCAAGTGATCCACCCACCTTGGCCTCCCAAAGCGATGGGATTATAGGCATGAGCCACCGCGCCCAGCCCCGTTAGATAAAATTTTCTTTATTCATCAGTATGTACATAAAACACTGCATTGGGCACTGTGGGATCCCTACAAGAAAAGTCAAAATTACTTTTGTGCTTAAAAAATGCAAACCGTAAAGAAAGAAAAGAAAAAGTATATTTAAGAATTCTTCCTGGGCCCTCTGATATCATGGTACTGCTACTAAGACTATCATCATCATCATCCTGAAAAGAAAATGGCTCCATCTCATTTATAGAACTCAAAAGCACATTAGGCTACAATAAACAGTTTAAAATTTCCTAAAAGTTTCTTCACACAATTGCATTTAGAACATGGATGCTTCCTGAGTTAAAGAACCTGACTTGTCAATGTCCATTCAATACTTATGAATACTCTTACCAATACTCTCTCCCTAAATCCCAATCACCAGACTGATTTGAGGGCTACTTTCCTCCCTGACTCCTATACTCTGTCACCTGATTACAACTTTAACAGTAAAGACTCATTCCCTTCTTTCTTACTCCTCTGAGGCTTATACCCAAAATGCTTTTCCGTTTCAACGAACTTAGTTCAGCCTCAGAGGATCTCTTCCTTTGTTTTTTTTCTAATTTTGACTCAAAAATTATTTCCACTATCATAACTATTGAAACTGAATAAATACTATAAATTTCTAAAATTATCTGAAGCATCCAGTATCTCCTCAAATAATCTGAGCTCTTCATTTCAACTAAACTGGTTATCAAGATTCATTTTATACCTATATACAATCGGTTATCATTATCCAAGGTAGTTATGTTCTATAAAGTTGCTGAATTATACCAAATACTGAATAGTGAATACTGAACCATTGCTCCAGGAAAAATATAGGGCTAGGTTCCTGTGAGCCTATGGTCACAACATTTTCCTCAACTAATCAATACAGAACGTTATTTTCTGTGTGTTTCTTTTAAAAGATATTTAAGGCCAGGCGCTGTGGCTTACACCTAATCCCAGCACTTTGGGAGGCCAAGGCGGGAGGATCACACGGTCAAGAGTTCGAGACCAGCCTAGCCAACATGGTGAAACCCCATCTCTACCAAAAATACAAAAATTAGCTGGGCGTGGTGGAGGGCGCCTGAAATCGCAGCTACTTGGGAGGCTGAGGCAGGAGAATAGCTTGAAACTGGACGGGAAGTTGCATTAAGCTGAGATCACGCCATTCCACTCCAGCCTGGGTGAAAGAGCGAAACGCCATCTCAAAAAAAAAAAAAAAGACATTTAATATATATCGATTAGTTAACTTTGAAGTTAGCCAACAGCACTATAACTCATGCCTGAACAAAGCTTATCAAGCTTATCTAACACATATTTTCTCCAGAAGGCACATCACAGCCTGTTTGCCCTTTGGAACACCTCGACAGCACTTTAGCATTATACTAGGGGGCCATCTTATACTGCAATCAACAAAGCACAAAAATACAAAAAATACGGCACTAAATAGACTGCAAAACAGACACTCGATTACAGCATGAGGGCTGAAACAAGAAGGCAGAGTGTTGCCTTGTTCAATCTCAGCTGGGAATATGTGCGCTGGGTGATTCTAAGTTTTTACCACTCTGTGTCAGTGCATATCTGTGAATAACCACAAAAGCACCACAAGTATTGATTTTGGGGTTATGTATAAATTTTAGCAAGTAAGTGAATTCACAAATAAGGAATTTGCAAATACTGAGGATCAACTAACTGTATCACATAATGCCAACTATTTTTTTATTTTGCTTGATAACTAATACGACAATTTAACTGTTCACTGAATGTGTATAGTATTTACATCTTAGAACAGGTTAAATGGGCTGCTATGTAACTACAGGTACATATCATTTTTATCATGCTTTGCTTTATTGGGCTTTGTAGATATTGTGTTTTTTCCAAATTTAAGGTTTGTCCCTGCTTCCAGATTGACCCTGCTTCAGGCAAATCTATTGGTGTCATTTTTCCAAGAGCATGTGCTTACTTCATGTCTCTGTGTCACACTTTGGTAATTCTTGCAATATTTCAAACTTTTTCACTGTTATGGGGACCTGTGATCAATGATCTTTTTTTTTTTCTCTCTCTTTTTTTTTTTTGAGATGGAGTCTCACTCTGTTGCCTAGGCTGGAGTGCAGTGGTGCAATCTCGGCTCACCGCAACCTCCACCTCCCGGGTTCAAGCGATTCTTCTGCCTCAGCCTCCCAAGTAGCTGAGATTACAGATGTGCGCCACCACACCCGGCTAATTTTTGTATTTTTAGTACAGATGGGATTTCACCATGTTGGTCAGGCTGGTCTCGAACTCCTGACCTCAAATGATCCCTGCCTCAGCCTCCCAAAGTGCTGGGATTATAGGCGTGAGCTATTGCGCCCGGCCAATCAGTGTTCTTTGACGTTACTATTTTAACTGTTTTGGGGTGCCACAAACCGTGCTCGTAAGAGATGAAAAATTTAATCTATAAATGTGTGTGTTGTGACAGCTCCACCAACTAGCTATTCCCCCATCTGTCTCCCTTCTCCTTGAGCCTCCTTATTCCTTGAGACACAACAATAGTGAAATTAGGTCAATTAATAACCCAAGAATGGCTTCTTAAGTGTGCAAGTAAAAAAAAGGGTTGCATGTCTGTCACCGTAAATCAAAAGCTAGAAATGATTAAGCTTAGAAAGGAAGGCGTGTCAAAAGCTGAGACAGGCCAAAAGCTAGGCCTCCTGCACCAAGTTGTGCACACAAAGGAAAAGTTCTTGAAGGAAATCACAAGTGCTATTCCAGTGAACATATACATGATAAGAAAGTGAAACAGGCTTATTGCTGATATGGAGATGGTTTTAGTGGTCTGGATAGAAGAGCAAACCAGCCACAACAACATTCCCTTAAGTCAAAGCATAATCCAGAGTAAGGGCCTAACTCTCTTCAATTCTACGAAGGCTGAGAGAGGTGAGGAAGAGGCAGAAGAAAAGTTGGAAACTAGCAGAGGTTGGTTCATGAGATTTATGGAAAGAAGCCATCTCCATAACATAAAAGTGCAAGGTGAAGCAACAAGTGCTGATGGAGAAGCTGCAGCAAGTTTTTCAGAAGATCTGGCTAAGATCACTGATGAAGGTGTCTATACTAAACAACCGATTTTCAATGTAGATGCAACAGCCTTCTATTGAAAGAACATGCCATCTAGGACTTTGACAGCTGGAGAAGTCAATGCCTGGCTTCAAAGCTTCAAAGGACAGGCTGATTTTCTTGTGAGGGTCTAGAAAAAGTTCAAGTCAGTGCTCATTTAACATTCCGAAAATCGTAAGGCCCTTAAGAATTATGCTATATCTACTCTGCATGTGCCCTACCAATGAAACAACAAAGTCTGGATGGCAGCACATCAGTTGACAGTATAGTTTACTGAATATTTTATGTCTACTGTTGAGAACTACTGCTAAGAAAAAAGATCCTTTAAAAACATTACTACTCATTGATAATGAACTGAGTCACCAAGAGTTCTGATGGAGATGTACAAGGAGATTAATGTTTTTGTGCTTGCTAACACAACATCCATTCTGCAGCCCATGAATAAAGAAGTAATTTCAACTTTCAAGTCTTATGGCTATAGCTGCCATGATAGTGATTCCTTTGATGGATCTGGACAAAATAAACTGGAAACCTTCTACAAAGGATTCACTCTTTTCTAGATGCCAATAAGAATATCTGTGATTCCCTTGAATACAAGAGACCCTAATAGTTAGGCAGGAATATCATCATTCCTATTCAGCCTGAAGAAGTTATGGAAGATGGAGCTTCATCCTTCTATAAACCTTAGGACTAGGGTTGTCTTATAAAAGGGAAGGGGGAAAATATGTCAGAGGTGTTCGACCCACAGTGACTCCCTCTTGAAGAGGGGCTGGGTAAAATAAGGCTGAGACCTACTGGGCTGCATTCCAAGGAGGTTAAGGCATTCTTAGTCACAGGACGAGATAGGAGGTTGGCACAAGATACAGGTCATAAAGACCTTGCTGATAAAACAGACTGCAGTAAGGAAGCCAGCCAAAACCCACCAAAACCAAGATGGTGATGAGAGTGACCTCTGGTCATCCTCACACTCCTACTAGCGCAGTGACAGTTTACAAGTGCCATGGCAACGTCAGGAAGTTACCCTATATGGTCTAAAAGGAGGAGGGAACTCCCCACCCCTTTCCCAGAAAACTCATGAATAATCCACCCCTTCTTTAGCATATAATCAAGAAATAACCATTAAAATGGGCAACCACCAGCCCTTGGGGCTGCTGTGCCTATGGAGTAGCCATTCTTTTGTTTCTTTACTTTCTTATAAACTTGCTTTCACTTTAAAAAAAAGAATGTTTGTATATCTGTGATTCATGAGAAGAGGTCAAAATACCAACATCAACAAGAGTTTGCAAGAAGCTGATTCCCATCCTCAAGGATGATTTTGAGGGGTTTAAGACTTTAATGAAGAAAGTAGCTGCAGATGTGGTGGGAATAGCAAGAGAACTAGAAGTAGAAGTGGAGCCTGAAGATGTGACTGAATTGGTGTAATCTCATGATATAACTTGAATGGGTGAGGGGTTGCTTCCTAAGGATGAGCAGAAAAAGTGATTTCTTGAAATGGAATCTAATCCTGGTGAAGAGGCTGTATACATTGTTGAAATAACAAAAAAGGATGTAGAATATTATGTAAACTTCATTGATAAAGCAGCAACTGGGTTTAAGACAACTGACTCCAATTTTTGAAAGAAGTTCTACTGTGGGTAAAATGCTATCACTGACTCCAATTTTTGAAAGAAGTTCTACTGTGGGTAAAATGCTATCAAACAACATTGTGTGCTACAGAGAAATCTTTCATGAAGGAAGAGTCAATAGCTGTGGTAAACTTCACTGATGTCTTATTTTAAGAAAATGCCACAGCCACCTTCAGCAACCACCACTCTGATTAGTCAGTAGCCACCAACACTGAGGTAAGACCCTCTACCAGTAAAAAGACTATAACTCACTGAAAGATTATGACTCAGATAATTGTTAGAATTTTTTAGCAATAAAGTATATTTTAATTGAGGCATATATTTTTTATACATAACGCTATTGCACACTTAACAGACTACAGTATAGTATACATATAACTTTTGTATGCACTGGGAAACTAACATATTTGTGTGACTCACTTTACTGTGATATTAGCTTTATTGTGGTGGTCTGGAACAAAACCAGCAATATCTCCGAAGTATGCCTGTATCTGAGAAGACTATACCATTTCAATATTGTTTCTATGGAAAATGTCTTTTGGGTTCTAGGCCAACAATTCACAAATAAGCTGATTTTTTGTTTGGTTTTGAGACTGGGTCTTGCTATGTTGCCCAGGCTGGAGTGCAGTGGCATGATCACGGCTCACTGCAGCCTTGACTTCCTGGGCTTGTGTGATCCTCCCATCTCAGCTACCCAAATAGCTGAAACTATAGGCACATGCCACCACGCTTGGCTAATGTTTTTATTATTTGTAGAGATGAGTTCTCACTATGTTGTCCAGGCTGGAGCAGAGTGGCACAATCTCAGCTCACTGCAACCTTTGCCTCCCAGGCTCAAGCCATCCTCCCACCTCAGCCTCCTGAGTGGCTGGAAGTAGAGATGCACACCACCACACTCAGCTATTTTTTTTTTTTTTTTTTTTTTTGGTAGAGATGGGGTTTCACCATGTTGCACAAGCTGGTCTCAAACTCCTGGGCTCAGGCGATCTGCCCATCTTGGCCTCCCAAAGTGTTGGGATTTCAGGCATGACCCACCACGCCCAGCCAGCTTTCAATTTAAAATACATCATATGACTGACAACTTACATCACAAATCTTTCTATTCCAAGAATTCCTTACCCTCCAAATCTCTAATTACATATGTAAATAAACCAGAGAAAGAATTCTTACAATTTTCAGAAGAGAGCTGCAGCTTTACCTTAAATATGATGACAATGGGTATATCTTCTGACAAAGTATTATGCCTCAAATAAAATCGTCCTTGTTTCACAGCCATATTGGTTCTGCTTTTTTTCTCATGGGTAGAGCTATGAGTAAATACAAGTTGGTTAAACTGCATCCCCACTTAGTTTCAAGCTAGTAACATGCAATAATAGCAATGATCATTAATCAATAAGGGTCAACTGATCAACAACAATCACAAGGTCCTTTCTAATAAGTACTTTAAAAAGACAATTCCTTTCCTGCCCTGCTGCCACTTCAGTGAACATTTAAAAACACTATAAATTTTTCTTTGACTTTGAGATTATGATGGAAGTTCTGTGTGTGAATGAGTGACAATTACTTTCTGACCAACTTCACTTTGACTCTACCTTGAATTACTTTGATCCAGTGTAGAGCATATATACAAGGCCAATTTTATATATGGGCCTTAAACATAATGAGGAAATTAAAAAGAAATGAATTTATATACGAGTTTTTAAACTAGTAATTCAACAAAATATACCCACAGTCTTGGTATATAGTAAAGCCAAAAGAAAGGAATATCCTTCTGTTGGTATCTGTGTTAGTTATAAAATTCCTAATGGATTTCAAAGCATTTTAAAAGCTCTAATCAACCACATTAGTAACACACACAGATTACCTGCTACTACGCATTGTTACCCATGTTACTTACATTAGCTCTAATCTTCTACATAGTCAAACTGAAGTATTGTCTCAAAATCACTTATGAGGAAACCAAGGCTTAGAGAAGCTAACTAACTGCACATTCCAGTGCCTCATAACTAGAAAACAAAGCTTTAGGATTCAAATTCAAATTGCCTTGGCTCCAAAGTTACAGATAGTGGGAAGACATGGATTGTAAAATTAACCGTATCTGGGTTCAAAGGCTATCTACCTCTTACAGTCAAGGTACCCCTGAGCTTAAGGCCTGTTAGTTGTAAAATGGAGATGTTAATAGTACCACTTATCTTGGAGGACTGAGGTGACAAATAATATACCTAGTATTTTGCCTGGCTCCTAGTAAGTACTCCATGAATGACCATTACTGTTAGCTGCCTCTCCATCAGAAAGAAAAGTACAGAAATTCTGAGTTAATCAGTTCGTTGTAGGTTATCAAACAGGAAACTACCGCACTCTCACATCTTATCTATGCCACAAATCTTTCTATTCCCAGAACTCATTAACCTCCATATTTCAAATTACACGTGAAAATAAAAAGAAGTTACAGAAGCCTCGAAAGGGAGACTGTAGTAAAAATGAATACACTGTGAAAGAGGCTGGTCTAGAAAACTAACAATAGGGTGTTAAGTCCATGATACAGGTCATTCAATATTAAGTGTCAAATAGTCCCTGATCATACTGATGCAGGAATACACATGTAAATGGTAAAAGGCTGAAAAGGAGCATAAAAGGCTGAAAAGGAGTGTGAAAAACTGAAGAGTGGTTTTATTTTTTTTTTTTTAAATCTCCTTTCATGCTCTATAAGCTAACATAAAATTCAGCTTAAACAGTGACTTTTCAAACAATGTCTCAGACTCCCATCACTGAAATTTTAAAATCAGTACCCTATGCTTCCAGACTTTCATAATAAATTGAATGCAGATAGCTTAAATATTACAATGCCTGCTTTTAGAGGGTAATAACTGGCTCCCTCTGTATTGAAACATAGCCATTTAGGACTAATGGAATGACCAATATTGCTTAAGGACACCATCTCTGCTTTCCATACCTGGTAACTGAAGCTCCAACAGCCCCTTTTCTATCAGCCTCCACGATGATCCTGTTCTTAGACAGCTGCTCTTGGATAAGAATAACTTTTTCTACTCCTTTAACAATGAAGTAGCCACCTACCCAAAGGAAACAAGAAAAACTTCATCATTTATTCCTCAACCAGTGTTGATTTAGTAATGGCAGGAATCTTGTGAATCAGAGATTACCTTTTCTACTACTGCTTCATGGCACTGGCTAACACTTGATTCAAAGGGGTTGCTGATTTTATTTTTTATTTTATTTTATTTTATTTTTTGAGAAAGGATCTCCCTTTGTCGCCGAGGCTGGAGTGCAGTGGCACAATCATAGCTCACTGCAACCTCGGACTGCTAACCTCAAGTGATTCGCCCGCCCCAGTCTCCCGAGTAGCTAGGACTAGAGGCATGTGCCACCACACGTAGCTAATTTTTAAATTTTTTGTAACAACAGGGTCTCACTATGCTTCTCAGGCTGACTCCCTGTCTTAAGCCATCCTCCCGCCTCAGCCTCTCAGTGCACTGGGATTACAGGCAAGAGCCATTGCGCCCATCTGATATTGTTTTATGGACTGAAGATCAGCACGTGATTTTATACAAATGAGCTACAAGATAAAAAATTTCTTGAGGACAGGAAATGTATCTTATTGGTCTATGAATCACCCGCCCCTGACATATGTAAAAAGTGAATGAAAAAAATAGTTAAATAAATTAGTTGTCAGAGCTCTTAAGTACAAGTGTAACTGACAATTTTCAATATAAGCTCAAATTTACTCTAAGTTTTCTAACAAATCAGTGGTAATGGTAGATTAAGATTAGGTTTCCAAAATAATATTCCATATTCAAAAAAACTCATGCATCATCATGTATTTTTTTTGCACACAATTCAGAGTAGGATAAAGTAATACTTCATTTTATACCTGCAGAATATAAGCAAAAACAATACAACATATTTGACTTATGCAACATTCTGTTATAGTCTAGTAAAGTCACATTCTTCATTAACTTCTTTCCAAAACTTCTGGGATTCTAAAACAATGCAACTTTACAGGAATAAGATTAAAGCAACTATAAGTTCAAATAAATCAATGTGAAATACGAGTTAAAGAACTAAGAGAAACTTTTTGTTAAGTTCTAAGTTTGAAATTTTACAAAAGAAATTGCCTAGAAATAGGTACAAAAATAAAATTTTTAAAAATGTAAACAAAAAAATACTTTCATCTCCCTACTGCTTTACTGCATTTAAAACACCCTGAAGTGTGATACTTGATTTTTTTCAACCAGGCAAGGCCAGTAACTCTGGAAGATTATTCTTGAATTTTTAGGCATACCAAAAGAAACTCGTGGGCAAAGATAGAAAGAAAAGACTGACAAATCATGGCAATAAACAAGAATGTGTCATATTAAAGTCTTAAGCCTGAAATAAAAGAGGAAACAGTATGTCTTTGAGAAATATAGACTAATAGGGCTAGGCGCAGTGGTTCACGCCTGTAATCCCAGCACTTTGGGAGGCCAAGGTGGATGAGTCCAGGAGATCAGCCAGGATGACATAGCAAAACACCATCTCTACTAAAAATACAAAAATGAGCTGGGTATGGTGGCACAAGCCTGTAGTCCCATCTATTTGGGAAGCTGAGGTGGGAGGATTGCTTGAGCCTGGGAGGCAGAGGTTGCAGTGAGCTGAGATCACACCACTGCACTCCAGCTTAGATGACAGAGTGAGACACTATCTCAAAAAAGAAAGAAAGAAATACAGACTAGTAGCATAAAGCTAGAGACAAATTTCTGGGTGTTTTGTGAACAAGTTCATTATAAAGTAGAAAAGCTGGTACTGTTTTTGAGACAAAATGTTAAAACCACAGCAGCAGCAGAATAAAAGAATAAGGAAAGTGGGACAAATCCAAGACTTCACACATACCTGGATCTAAGGGACATTCGTTCAGTTTGGCAAATTCTGCTGGCGTTTTTCCTGTAAGAACACAGTTTGAACTACGTAGCATTATGGGCATTCTGTATAAAATAAAACAAAAGAAAATATCACATGTAGGCTGTCAATGATAAAAGCTGCAAAAAATACAAAACATGCAGTGCACACCACCTCACTAAGGGTCTATCTATGCACCATGTTAGAAAAGGCAGAGAAATAGCAATTACATGGAAGCCAAGCAAAATGAAGTATTTTCTCAGGCACGCTGCTCGTCTAGTACAGATGATAAAAACTCAGGCTGGGTGCAGTGGCTCATGCCTATAATCCCAGCACTTTGGGAGGCCAAGGTGGGTGGATCACATGAGGCCAGGAGTTTGAGAGCAGCCTGGCCAACATGGTGGAACTCCATCTCTACTAAAAATACAAAAAATTAACTGGGTGTGGTGGTGTGTGCCGGTAGTCCCAGCTACTCAGGAGGCTGAGACAGGAGAATCGCTTGAACTTGGAGGTGGAAGCTGCCGTGAGCCAGGATCACACCACTGCACTCCAGAGTGAGGCTCTGTCTCAAAAAACAAAACAAAAAAACAAAAAACTCAAATGTTTGGTTTAAACTTTGCATACAGGCTTTAGTGAGAGTCAGAAATGACAGCAACACTTCCTTCATGGAAGACAAAGTGATTCTCATCAGTTACTTGGCAATAGCACAATGCATCCAAGTGTAAGGAACAAGAGGCTATGAAAACTAACCAGGCAGTCTGGAAAAAGAACTGAGCAAAATGTACTAGAAATGGAAATTTTAAGCACTAACTTAAAAATGTAGAAATAGGTTGGATAATAATAGCTTTGATACTGCTGAAGATATAATTACTGGGCTGGAAAAGACATCTGAAGAAATTACTGAGAATGAATTTCAGAAAGACGTAGAGATGGAAGATATGAAAGAGAGTTTAAGAGTCAGGGAAGGATAGAGAGAGAGCGACTAATCAACACCTAATCAGACTTCTAGATGGCGAAAATACACAGAATAGGTGAGAAGTCCTATTCAAAGAGATAAGAGCCATAAATTTTTAAAGACATATGAAAGCCATAAATCCTCACGGTAACATCTGCACAAGATAAAAAGAAAGCTACACCTAAGCAGATCACAGTCAAGATACTAAACACCAAAATTAGAGATAAGGTTTAAAACCCAGCCAGAAAAAAAGAGAGGCTACCAAAAAGGGAAGGATGACTGGATGCACAATAACTTCACAACAACCAATGACACAGAGCAGTGTGCTCGAAGTGTGTGTCAAGCACACAACCAATGTGCTTGAAGAGAAAATAACTGCCAACCTCGATTTGTGTATTCTGCTACGTATTCACTCAGAATGAGGTCAACATAAAGATATTTTCAGACAAAAACTGAGAGAAGTTACTAATGTACTAATAGGCCCTCACTAAATAAATTTCTAAAAAAAATTCATCTTCAGGAAGACGGAAAATAAACACTAACCAAAAGTCTGACGTGTAAAAATGTATGGTGAGCAAAGAAAATGGAAACTAATGTGTGTGGATATAAACAAATGCGAACTTCATAAGACAATAACAATTTCTAATTTATAGGTGAAAAAAACATGCCAAGGAGGCCAGGTGCGGTGGCTCACGCCTGTAATCCCAGCACTATAGGAGGCCAAGGCAAGTGGATCACAAGGTCAAGGGATCGAGACCATCCTGGTCAACGTGGTGAAACCCCATCTCTACTAAAAATACAAAAAATATTGGCTGGGCGTGGTGGCGTGCGCCTATAGTCCCAGCTACTCAGGAGGCTGGGGCAGGAGAATCACTTGTACCTGGGAGGCGGAGGTTGCAGTGAGCCAAGATCACACCACTGCACTCCAGCCTGGGCAACAGAGCGAGACTCCATCTCAAAAAAAAAAAAAACATGCCACAAATGGTGGCTCATGCCTGCAATTCTCAATGCTTTGGGAGGCCAAGGCGGGTGGATGACTTGAGCCCAGGAGTTCGAGACCAGCGGGGGCAACATGGCGAAACCCCGTCTCTACAAAAAATACAAAAATTAGCCAGGTGTGGTGGTGCACTTATAGTCCCAGTTACCAGGGAGGCTGGAGGTGGGAGGATCACCTGAGCCCAGGAGGTTGAGGCTGCAGTGAGCCATGAGTGTACCATTGCACTCTGGCCTGGGTGACAGAGTGAGACCCTGTCTCAAAAAGACCAAAACAAAACAAGATAGAACAAAAATTTGGTACAACAAAAGCATGTAAGTCAAAGTGATTGATTTGATCCAAGTTAAAGCTTTCTAAGGTCTTTGTTGCCAGGAAGAGAATAAAGGTATTTTTTATTTTCAAACTTTGTTAAGTATGCATTTCAAAATTTCTAAGGTAAACATAAACAATCAGAAATACTGTATATGACTTTTAAATCAGTTGGGGAAGGGTGAGAAAAAAAAAATCTTCCATTATCCAAAAAGAAAAATGGAAAAAAACCTGAAACATGAAAAGCTAGACAGTTTTAAAATATAGAATAAGTTGACAGATATACACTCCAATATATATGCATATATGTATGTATATAAAACAAATAAAAATAAACTACATTCTCAAGACAATTTTTTAAAAAATCTAACCATATGCAGTTTACTTCAACTAAACTCAAAACATAAGGACATTTAAGAGATTTTTTTTTTTTGAGATGGAGTCTCGCTCTGTTGCCCAGGCTGGAGTACAGTGGCACAATCTCGGCTCACTGCAACCTCCGCCTTCCGGGTTCAAGCAATTCTCATGCCTCAGTCTCTCAAGTAGCTGGGATTACAGATATGTACCACCACACCCAGTTAATTTTTGTATTTTTAGTAGAGGTGAGGTTTCACTATGTTGGCCAGGCTGGTCTCGAACTCCCAACCTCAGGTGATCCACCCGCCTCAGCCTCCCAAAGTTCTGGGATTACAGGTGTGAGCCACTGTGCCCAGCCCATATAAAAGATTAAACAGACAATAATTTTTTTAATGATATGCCAGAAATATAACCAAAAGAAAGCAAATGTAGCTATGCTAAGAGCAGACAAAATAAGATTCAAGGCAAAGAATATTATAAGAGATAAAGAAGATAAATGTACAATCATCAAAGGTTCAGTTTACTAGCAAGATTTAACAATTCTAAACTTCTATGCACCTAATATCATAGCTTCAAAAAAGCAAAAATACACAAAACCATAAGGAAAATGGAAAAATCCACCATCATAGTGGGAGATTTTAACATACCTATTGTAGTAATTGATAGAACAAACAAATCAAAAAGCAATGCTGATACAAAACGTCTAAACAACACAATTAACAAGTCTGATCTGAAGGAAATACACAGACAATGGCACAAAACAACTGGAGAATACCTCTTGTTTCCAAATAAACATGAAACATTTATAGAAACAGGTCTCTACAAAGTTCCAAAAATTGACATAAAGCACCAATTGGGAAATCTTAAGTCTTCTAAATAACTCACGTTAAAAGGGAAATCGTAATGGGAAGATAGAAATAAGAATATTCTCATTTTATACCAAGGGAAATGAACATACTGACTAAAGTTATGTAATATGACATGAAGATATAAGAATATTTCAGTTACTACAGTAACCAAAAAGATAATTAAAAACAAGAAGGAAAAATTGGAAGACGAAGGGAGAAGCAAAGTGGGTGACACAGGTAAGCTAAGCCACATCCCGTATATCAGGAGGGAAAAAATAATGTCTACAGTTAATGTATTAAGAAATAGAGGTCAAAGCATCGCATTTAAAGTTATGGATATTGGCCACGCATGGTAGTTCGTGCTTGTAATCTCTGCACTTTGGGAGACCGAGGCGAGTGGATCACATGAGGTCAGGAGTTCATGACCAGCCTGGCCAACGTGGTGAAACCCTGTCCCTACTAAAAATAAAAAAAAAATTAGCCAGGCGTGGTGGCGGGCACCTGTAATCCCAGCTACTCGGGAGGTTGAGGTGGGTGAATCACTTGAACCTGGGGGGCGGAGGTTGCAGTGAGCTGAGATCATGCCACTGTACTCCAGCCTGGGCAACAGAGTGAATTCCATCTCAAAAAAAAAAAAAAAAAAAAAAACACACACACACAAAATAAAGTTATGGATGTAATAACCCCCAGAAAAAAATAACAGAAATAGTTATGAAGTTGGGAATGGGACGAAAGGTGAGGAAGGGGAGAGAAGGAGGGAGGTTACTGTTTTGAATCAAATGTTTTTATGTACTGTTTGATTTCTAACCAAGTACAAATATAATTTGGATTAAACTAAAATCTTTTTACTCCAAAAAATAAATGAGATTATATATGTAATTTAGGTAATGCATAGCACATATAAGCATTCTAATGACTAGAGGTCTTTTTTATGAATGCGGAGCTAACAAACAACATTGCCTATCATAGTATGGCACATAGCAGGTATTCAACAAATGCTAGTTACATGCCCCCTCTTTTTATTTTATTTTATTTTATTATTATTATACTTTAAGTTTTAGGGTACATGTGCACAACGTGCAGGTTAGTTACATATGTATACATGTGCCATGCTGGTGTGCTGCACCCATTAACTCGTCATTTAGCATTAGGTATATCTCCTAAAGCTATCCCACCCCCCTCCCCCAACCCCACAACAGTTCCCAGAGTATGATGTTCCCCTTCGTGTGTCCATGTGTTCTCATTGTTCAATTCCCACCTATGAGTGAGAATATACGGTGTTTGGTTTTTTGTTCTTGCGATAGTTTACTGAGAATGATGATTTCCATTTTCATCCATGTCCCTACAAAGGACATGAACTCATCATTTTTTATGGCTGCATAGTATTCCATGGTGTATATGTGCCACATTTTCTTAATCCAGTCTATCATTGTTGGACATTTGGGTTGGTTCCAAGTCTTTGCTATTGTAAATAGTGCCACAATAAACATACGTGTGCATGTGTCTTTATAGCAGCATGATTTATAGTCCTTTGGGTATATACCCAGTAATGGGATGGCTGGGTCAAATGGTATTTCTAGTTCTAGATCCCTGAGGAATCGCCACACTGACTTCCACAATGATTGAACTAGTTTACAGTCCCACCAACAGAGTAAATGTGTTCCTATTTCTCCACATCCTCTCCAGCACCTGTTGTTTCCTGACTTTTTAATGATTGCCATTCTAACTCATGTGAGATGGTATCTCATTGTGGTTTTGATTTGCATTTCTCTGATAGCCAGTGATGGTGAGCATTTTTTCATGTGTTTTTTGGCTGCATAAATGTCTTCTTTTGAGAAGTGTCTGTTCATGTCCTTCGCCCACTCATGCTCCCTCTTTAAACCAGGATTTAAACCCTCAATCTTATGAATTTATGTTTTCCTCCAGTCTCTCTTGCCTTTCCTTCACAATAGTCAATCTAGTTCATAATTTAGCTATGGTCCAAAATTTAACTGGACACAAGTATGGTCCATATACAAGAAAGAAAGAAGTTCTCACCTTAACACTGATAGGCCAGGCGCGGTGGCTCACGCCTGTAATCCCAGCACTCTGAGAGTCCAAGGCGGGCGGATCACCTGAGGTCAGGAGTTCAAGACTAGCCTGACCAACATGGCAAAACCCCATCTCTACAAAAAATACAAAAATTAGCTGAGTGTGGTGGCACACGCCTATAATCCCAGCTACTCAGGAGGCTGAGGCTAGAGAACTACTTGAACCCGGGAGGCAGAGGTTGCAGTGAGCCAACATCATGCCACTGCACTCCAGCCTGGGTAACAGAGTAAGACTCTGTCTCAAAAAAAAAAAAAAAAAACAATAAAACAAAAAAAACACTGATAAACAGTCCTGCTAAAACCAAGATGAACATTTTAATATCTTACTTATTTTTCTAAGTGAAGACTAAGGAGAGAAACAATACAAATTACCCCTTCCTTTGAGGGAAGTATAGGAGGATTTGTTAAACCTGCATGTTTCCATAAAAATCTGGACTTCTAGACCCCTTACCAAATGGTGCCATAATTACATATGCCTGTCTTCCCTGATAGCTGTGAATGAAGGTAGCCAATAGGAACTGTATTTTGTATATCTTTTACTCACCTAAGTACTCAGCATCATACATAAGAAGTGATAGGCAGTTGGTATATATTTATTGAACAAATGGATGTTTGTTCAAAGTGCTCTTAGCACTTTTGAGAGGGGGAAAAACACTTGAACAGAAATTATGTGGACTGAGTTTAAAGTCTAGTACCATTATTGACCACACAATATTGTGGGTTTTGTCCATTTCTAAAGGAGAGTCAATATATTTCCCTAATCAGGAAGGGCAGATTGCAAAAACGCAAGTGGATGCTATCATTTCCAAACTTGTACCAGGCAAATAAGTAACTTCTCCCTTAAATACTTGTAGATGAGAAAAAGTTAAATTCCAGGAAAACTCAATCTCAGAATATACCTATCCACCAAGAAGACCTGTCCAGGAGAGTTCACTGAAAGGCTATTGTATCTAGTGGTTCCCTAGCAGCTCAGAGTTATAGTAGGAAAGGGAAACATTTTCCTCAACTTCTTAGAAAAGGTTTCACAATTAATAAATAGTAACAACCACGACTATGTGCTGGACATTATTCTAAGTGCTTTACACATGCTGACTCATTGGACCTATGAAATAGGCAGCATTTCCTGCATTTTTCAGATGAGGAAATGGGATCACATCATGGGGCTGGAATCCAGGCAGTGTGGCTCTAATACGGATTTCATTTCTCACCTGCCGATAGGTAAGGCATTGCGGATGATCCTCTGGCTGCCTCGGGTATATTCAATATCCACTGTAATAGGGGCAGAGTATGTCATGTCTCTCAAACGGCACTGAAAGAGAATCAGGAATCTGACAGTTACTGCTCCTCTCTGCAACAGGGTCCTGACCACTTCAAAGTGCTCCTTCTGTAGTAGAATTATGGTCCACATTGAACTTTAATCCCTTTTTCTCCAAAGAATGTCCCCCCCCATCCCATTTTTAAATGATCTTTTAAGAGTATATATTAAGGGCAGACTCTGAGTTAAAGCAAACAAGTCCAATTAAAGTAAGGTTCATAATTACCTCATGAGGGGACACTGGTCTAGTTACATTGAAGCTTTCTTCAACATCAGGAAGCCCAACATAGATATTAAGATATCTGAAAAGCAAATTAGTGCGGTATGAATTATACTTCTTCGAAGATCATAAAAGCAAACAAGCTATTTTCCTTCCAAATACAAAGATTATGTTTTGATAAATGCTTATCTTGGTAAGGATGACAAATTAAATATTAAAATTGGAGATCTTCTTGAAGTGATAGTACATATAGCTTTACAAAGGAGGGAAATATTATCAAAGTATCTTTTAAAAAATATTACAAATCTCTTTACAAAAATACTGGAAATACAGCTCCCTAAAAATGATACTTAATGAAAGAGCAAAGTGTAAAGAGTACTGATGATATGCTATCATTTGCAAAAGAAAGAAGAGGCCATAAAGGCAAAAACAAACAAAACAAAAAAACAAACAAAAAAAAAACGCTCATTTGTGCAAAAGAAGGATGAAAAGGATAAAGCGGAAACTAATGAGATTGGTTACCTATGGAGAGTGGCTGGGAACAGGGTGGAAAGAACTGGAAGTGGAACAACTATTTTCTGAATATACTTTTTTGTGCAAGTCTAACTCTTAAACCATAATAATGTCTCACATACTGAAAAAATAAAGAAAAGAACTAATGTAAGTAACCCTGGGAGACAATATTTTGATTGGACATTGAGAGGCTAAAGATAAAAACGACAGTGCACAAATCCTACACTCTAGTAAATTTTATCTCTCAGAGGTATGAGTTAATAATTCTGAAACTTTATTTATAGTCTAGGATTGAAAAATTTTTTTTTAAATTTTGCAGATAATGGGAGCCAGATTTCTCATTATTGGGATAAAAGTTAAATAAGGAAAGGGAAAAGGTTAGAATGAGTCCTGCAGTGTCGAACTGAAATTGGAGGTATCAGTCTGCATGGTTTTTAATATATGTAAAAATGGATAGGATAAAGAAATACAGATGTGTCTGCACATATGTGTTCGTATACATACACATATTTCTGAGCTCTACCTGCTGAAATCTTAGTGTCCATGTCTTGGAATCTAAATACTATTTTCCAATAAAAGGGAGACTCTAGGGCTCCTTGGATTCCCAATCTGGGATGGGGGCATACCAGATGAACCATATCTTACGGTCCAAGAAAGCAAAGGAGTGCTCAAAAAATAATGGTGGCATCTTGAAAGGACACCAGAGTCAATCTGAAGGGTCTCCCTATGGTCAAAGCTGAAACAGTCTGAACAACAGAAAAATGACAGGACTGGATATATATATATGATAGTACTCATAGAATAAAATAAAACATCCATGAGTCCAAATTGATATAAATTAATATAGAGAGATATGTGAGGGGAAAAGGAAACTATTCTGTACAGAATTCCAGTATCACTGCAGAAGGAATGATAGAAATAAAGGTTCACCATTAGATAAGCCCACAATAATAACTGTTATAGGTAAGAATCATCAATGTATGCTAAAACTGTTGGTGAAATTATGATGAGAAACGGTATTTGCATAGTCTCAAAGAATGTCCCTATAAGATACTTATTAATTACAAAAGGAAAAATAGTAACCTTTCAGTGGAGAAATCTGGAAGATCCTACCTTAATCAAGTGAACAAAGTTAAAATCATTAGTAATAAAATATATTGGCATCTGTAACCCCAATACGAATCAGTGAGAACAGCATAAAACATTGCTTCTGTGGTATTCTTGCCAAAAATGTATAACCCAATCAGACGTCATACAAACTCAAATTAAAGGAACTTCTACAAATACTGACTAGATTGTTCAAAAGTGTCAATGTCATGAAAGACCAAGAAAGATTGAGGAGACTAAGGATACAAGACAACTAAACATAACACGGAGCTCTGGATTGATTCCTACACCAGAAAAAGGACATTTGTGAGAAAACATCAAATAAGGTCTACAGATTAGTAGACAACATCGTATCTGTGCTAACTTCCTGGTTTTGATCATTGTGCTATGGTTATGTAAGATGTTAATATCAGTGAAGGCTTGGTGAAAAATATTGAAGAATTCTTTGTACTACTTTTGCAATTTTTCTTTTAAGCTTAACATTATTTCAAAATAAAAATTTAAATATTTAAAACCTAATAGTTTCAAAATTTTCCCAACCATAGCTCATTATAATTTGCCAGTTAAAAATTTAATTTGAGCACTTTATAGTTAATAAAAGACAATGATTTATTTTTTCATTTTTTATTTTTTTGAGTCAGAGTCTCACTCTGCTGTAAAAGATAGAGTGCAGTGGCACAATCTCAGCTCACTGAAATCTCCCCGTCCCAGATTCAAGCGATTCTCCTGCCTCAGCCTCCTGAGTATCTGGAATTACAGATGTGCACCACCACGCCTGGCTAATTTTGTATTTTTAGTAGAGACAGGGTTTCACCATGTTGGCCAGGCTGGTCTCGAACTCTTGACCCCAGGTGATTTGCCCACCTCGGCCTCCCAAAGTGCTTGGTATTACAGGCATAAGCCACCGAGCCTGGCCAAGACAATGATTTTAAAAGAGTTTTGATAGCAACTTCACTCACTTTAAAAAATGTTAGATGTAACCCACATAGCAAATTAAGAATGTTGGTTCCTTACTTTAAGTACCACATAGGGTCAGCGTCACTTGTAACCTTTTCATTGGCTTTCATTATCTTCTTTATCTGCAGTGGAAAATGCAACATTAGCAAAGACTCTGGCTTCCAATTAATCCTTAGTTTATGTCTATTTCTAACATCTGATGCTTACCTCTACATTAATGAAATAGTTAAATGAATCTATATGCTGTTTCACAAGGCCTTTCACCTAAACAGATAGAAAGAGAAAGTAAACAGGTTAGCAAAAGTGCAAAGAGTACTGATGATATGCTCAAATAATAGATCATATAATGGAATCTAATAATAGGTGAACATCAAATTTTTATCAAAATCAAAATGAGAAAAATAATCCATGAATTTTATTTAATAAATCTTTTCATTAATGCATTCTCATTCCATTTCTGCATCGTCTTACTAGCATATCCTCGAGAGTTTTCCTCCTTGAGAAGCAATCTGACTCTCGGAAATCAAAATATGAGTACATGAATATATGGTCATGTGCCACATAACAACATTTCATTCAACTACAGACCACATATCTGACAGCAGTCCCATAAGATTATAATGGAGCTGAAAAATTCCTATCGCCTAATGACTTACAACTTGATTTGATTTCATAGAGTGTATTTCTGAAAAGAATGACCCCTCCTCAAGAAGAGCCTCCGGCAGGTCCTTCAGCAAGTATTCTAGAAGAAGGTATTGTTATCATAGAAGATGACAGCTCCATGTGTGTTACTGTCCATGAAGACCCTCCAGTGGGACAAGGCATGGAGATGGAAGACAGTGATATTGATGATTCTGGCCCGGGCTAATGTGTGTATTTGTATCTTAGTTTTTAACAAAAAAAAAATTTTTTTTTTTTTTTGAGACAGAGTCTCGCTCTATTGCCCAGGCTGGAGTACAGTGGTGCGATCTCGGCTCACTGCAACGTCCGCCTCCCTGCATCAAGCAGTTCAGGTGCCTCAGCCTTCTGAGTAGCTGGGATTACAGGTGCCCGCCACCATGCCCAGCTAATTTTTGTATTTTTAGTAGAAACGGGGTTACACCATGTTGGCCAGGCTAGTCGGTCTCAAACTCCCAACCTCAAATGATCCGCCTGTCTTGGCCTCCCAAAGTGCTGGGATTACAAGCGTGAGCCACTGTGCCCAGCACCCAGCACCTTCTTCTCCATTTATGTGCAGCTCCTTTTAAAAAATAACAAAAAGGCCAGGCAAGGTGTCACATTCCTACAGTCACAGCTACTCGGGAGGCAGAGGCAGGAGAATCACTCAAACTCAGGAGTTCAAATCCAGCCTGGGCAATGTAGCAAGACCTGGTCTCTTAGGGGGAAAAAGAAACTTCTTGACCTTACGACCATTTTATTTGATTCTTGGTCACTCCCCAACTTAGAAACTCCTCAATAGCTTCCTACGGCTTTTAGAAGAAAAGCCAAATCCTTAACACGGCTTTCAAATCTGATCAGGAAACTGGCCCTGACAACTCCCAGCCTCGTTTCCCAGCACTCTCCCCTCTGCCCATAACACGCAACTGAACTCTAGAGTAGAGTCCAAAATGAGTAGAGACAAAACTCTACTCATTTTTCTTTTTTTGAGACGGAATCTCACACTGTCGACCAGGCTGCAGTGCAGTGGCGCGATCTCGGCTCACTGCAACCTCTGCCTCCCAGGTTCAAGCTATTCTCCTGCCTTATCCTCCCAAGTAGCTGGGATTACAGGGGCCCGCCACCACACCCAGCTAATTTTTTGTATCTTTAGTAGAGACGAGGTTTCACTATGTTGGCCAGGGTGGTCTCAAACTCCTGACCTCGTGATCCGCCCACCTCAGCCTCCCCAGGTGCTGGGATTACAGGCGTGAGCCACCGCGCCCGGCCTCATTTTTCAAGTCTCCATTCTTTCACTTAGCACAATGCTTTCAAGATTCGTCCATGTTGCAGCGGGTACCTGCTTTCTTTTTATTGCCAAATAATACTCTGTTGCACAGATACATCCCATTTTGTGTATCCATCCAGCAGCTGATGGCCATTTGGGTTGTTTCCACTCTTGGCTATTATGAATAATACTGCTATGAGCATTTGTGTACAGGTTTCTGCATGGACACATGTTTTCATGTCTCTTGGACAGATATCTAGGAGTGGAATTGCTGGAGGATGTGGTAACTTTTTGTTTAACCATTTGAGAAACTGACAGCCTGTTTTCCAAAGTGGCTATAACACTTTACGTTCCCACCAGTGGAGCATGATAGTTCCCATTCCTCCACACCCTTATTAACATTTGATTTTGATTATAGCTATCCTAGCGGGTGCCAAGTGGTCTCTCACTGTGGTACTCATTACTTCTTAGCATAAGCTCTTGGAAATTGAATTGAAGCCCGACACCACATCATATCATATTCAGCAGCTCCTCTTGACTGGTCGCTATTTCCTGCAGACTCTGTGGAGGCTCCTCTTGAACACCTTGATTGAGCCACGCTCTCTGCACCCAGCTTTCAGGCTTAAACCTTCTTCTCTTAAGATGTGGTTTATGTCTCACTTCATTTGGGTGGCCCTCTCTGACCATTGCTCTTTTGCTGATAGCACTTTGGTTTTTAATCATGTGCCATGCTACTGTGCATGTACTACTACTTCTCTCTAAAATTAGACTACCACTCTCCAAACCAGCACCTTTCAGGCAGGGATTTTACCTTATAATTCCTTGTATTTCCAAACACAGCTATACAAAATCAAAAAATGTTGATGACAAAAATTTAATCTTTAAAAAATGGCTTATTTCTTGACTTTTTCATCTGAAAAATAACCAATTATTATTAAATGTGAAACAATTACCTTTAAAAATGCTGGAAGCAGCCTCCATTTTTCCTGTGAGCCAAAACAAGAAGAATATCAGAACTCTGTACCAGCAACAGTACTTTCATAAGTTATTTTAATGTTCCAAAATAAGCAAAGGAAAGTAAATCAAAACAAAAAGAATAATTTTTAAACATTTTTATGGAAATCACATGTGTGCATATGCATATAAATATGTATACACATACATACATACACTACAGGTTTCCTAAACAGAATATAACTTAATCTCTTCCTGATGACTCAAGATTTTAAGCACTTTTCAATCCTTTATTTTATTCTCATGACACTTCCTAAGTGAAGTTTGCCAGTTTGAGAAAAGGAAAATAAGGCTCAGAGAGTCTGGTGGGAGAGCTGGGTCTCAAGACCCAAAGGGAGTTCTTTCTCCCTCCCATTCTCTCTCAACTACTGTCTGGTCAGAGCTCATCTCAGGGCTACAGAAGGATGACACATATGGTGATTGCTTCCTACATTGCCTGAGCAACTAGAGGGATAGAGTTAAAATTGATGGAGGCGAGGAACATTGTAGGAATAGCAGGTTTAGGTGTGGAGGGGCTACTAGAAATTTGGTTTGGGTGTGTTAAGCTTGAGATCTCCATTAGACATTCAGGTGGAAATGTCAAGGAGGCAACAAATGAGTCTTGAATTCGGGAATGGAGTGGCCTGGAGATATAAACTAGGAAGAGATTAACAAGTGGATGGCAATTAAAGGCACGTGATGGATGAGATCACCTATGGAATGTAGATGGAGAAGAGTTCCACAAAGTGAGACCAACCAAGAATAATCCAACAATCAGAGAGGAGGAGCAGGAGGCAGCTCCAGCAAAGGAGACCGAGGAGTGGCCAGGGAAGGTGGCAGACCCCTGGGTATAGTCAAAAACAAGAGAGGCAGGCAAAGCTAATCTATGATGACGGAAATCAAAAGGTGCTTGGGGGGATAGACTGAAAAGGGTCATAAGGGAACTTTCTGGGGTGATGCAATGTCCACATAGAGCACATAACTATAAAACCAATGTAACTGAATATCTAGTATCCATACATTTTATTATATAAATTACACCTAAATTTAAAAATAGAAGAATGACAATGATATAGGTTGAATTGTGTCCCTCTCAAAATTCATATGCTAAAGTCCTAATCCCCAGTATCTCAGAATGTGACTGTTTTTGAAGATGGGGTCTTGACAAAGGTGATTAAGTAAAATGAGTCATTAAGGTGAGCCCTAATCCAATACAACTGGTGTCCTTATAAAAAAGGAGAAATTGGACATAGAGATGCACACAGGGACAATGCCATGTGAAGATGAAGGTAGAGGTCTCAGTGAAGCTTCTGCAAGCCAAGGGATGCCAAAGATTGCCAGCAAACACCTGTAGTAGGGGACGGCCCAGAGCAGATCCTCTCTCATAGCCCTCAGAAGGAGCCAGCTCTGTTGTCACCCTGATCTCAGACTTCTAACTTCCAGAACTATGAGAAAACAAATTTCTGTTGTTTAAGCCACCTAGTTTGTGGTTACTTTGTTACGGCAGCCCTATGAGCTAATACTCCCACATCTTCAAATTCCTCTCTCTACACCCCTTCTTATACTCGTTTCCTCCCACTTCAAAGGAAGGACCATCCATTCCTTGGTCTAAGGCTAACCCTTCCGCCACAGACACAATCCTGCCAACCTTCTCCTGAAGACTGGAAACCTTGCCCCAGTTCAGTCCTTGATATTCAACCTGTTCTATTTAAAACGAGTATTCAAATCCTCCCATTAAAAAAAAAATTTAAAACTTTCTTGACTCAGCAGCTCCTCTGACTACTTTCTTCCCTGCCCTTCAGCTTACGATCTCTCCCAAATTACTCCATATTTAGCTTCTCTGTTCCTCACTTCCCACTCCTTCATTCCGTTATAGTCAGGACTCTGACCTACCTGCCAGTGAAAGAGCTCGACAGAGGTCACCAAGGCTGCTACTTCAAAAGACCTCCCTTGATGCCCCCTCACATTCCCTTTCCACAGTATTTGGCCATGCCGATCACTGTCTTATAACACTCTGTGGTATCATTCTCTTATGTCTTTCCTTCCTCCGGCCGGGCCTTGTCACACCTCTTTTTCTCTGCCACCCTGCAAATTTTGGTGTTCTTCAAAGTTCTATCCCTGGCGATGTCTTTTCTCAAGTAGGGCTGGGAATGGAGGATTTCAAACAACACTGTTTGAAAGTGTTGTTTAGCTTCCCCCATCTCATCCCACAGCCCCCCAGTTCCAAATGTGGGCTCTTTCAAGGGCAGTGACCCTGTCTATCCTGTTACCACAGTGCCTGGCACATAAAAGACTCCAATAAATACTGAATAAATAAATGAGTGAGTGAATATCACTGTTGCAGTAAGCTACTGGGTATGGGCCTGTCCCCTCCAACTATTGACTGGGCAGTGATACCTTACAGCCTCAGAGGCTACTTAAGATCAGTATGTCCAAAATTAAATCTTCCCCCAGCTCCATTCTCAATCTCAATGAATATCACCATTTATCCCAGTCAATCCCAAATTAGATACCCGGGAGTCCTAACTTTCTGACTCTTCTTAATCAACAGGAAAACAAAAATTCTACTGAGTCGACCTCCTTTTAACCTTCCTCGCATTTATCCTCTGCTCCTGTGCCAGTTGAGGCCCTCATAATCTTTCAGCTGGTCTGCGGCAATACTTCCTTACTACTCTTCCTGCTCGTCCCTTTCAATGCTCAGCACTAAAGCCAGTGTACATGTCCTCATGTGCACAGCTGAGCACCTCATTCTCTACAACTCTTCAGTGCCTCCCCACCCTCTTCACCATGTCTTAACTCCACAGCGAGGCATACATCATATGCTGTGCTTGCAGCTGTACTTGTGCCTACGCCTCCTCCTTCTATCTGGAATGCTTCCGCACCACCACACTTCATCCACATCTGGCAAACTCAGTTCAGGCATCACATCCTAGCTACCATTTGTAATACCAAAATACCCCTCGCCTACTTGTATCACAGTACCTATTGCATGTTATTCCACTTGCTTACACGTCTCTCTCTATAAGCCTATAACACACTGGGAGGCAGAAAACACATTTTTTGAACTTGTATAAACCCTGTGAATAATACACCACCAGGTAAGTACTCAGTAACACTGACAAATATTTATTCAACAAGTAACTGATTAATTGGCTCCAAAGCTTGTGTTGTTTCTACCATACTACCATGCTGCTGTGCTACCATAAGCACAAAAAAATACACACCAGGCATGGCCAGTTCAAGTAAAACTGAGCTCCTAACTAGAAAAAGTTGCAGCGAAAACACTGAAGTTGGAAAGTTTAAGTAAATATTTTAATATCTCAATTTAAAAGGAAATGGCAGCAAGTAGCAGAGATCTACCATCTTCTGGGAGAATCAGGAAAGGCCTTCCTAGGGAAGTTATATTATAGATATGTGGGATTTAATCTACAAATAGGAAGGGGAGAGCGATCCAGAAGAAACTGAGCAGAGTAGAAAGATCTCAGGGGAGGGAGAGGGGGGAACCATGGGAAAAGAGACTAGAGAAGTAAGCACTGGTCAGACTGAGGAAATTTATTACAAACATGGTAAACACTAGATTTTGCCCTAAGAGCAATAGGCAGAGATTGAAGAACTTTAACCAAGGGAGCAACATAACCATGTTTGTGTGTTTAAACGGACAGCTCTGGCTGCAGAGCAAGGAACAGACTGGATTGGGACAAGTCAGGTGCCAGGTAGGCCAGTTAGGAAGTAAGAGAGGACAGTCGTTCTGGGCTGGAAAACGGTGGGAATGAAGTTTCAGATATGCATAGATTAAGAACTCAGGACTTTTTAGAGGTGATGGTGGATTGGATACAGAGTGCAGGAAGAGGAACTGTTATTCTTCAATCAGAAGGCTGGAATTATAGCACTGTTCACTTCATAGCTGTGTAAATTCAGATAAGAAATAGAAATCTCCCAGGCTTATTTCTTCAGCTCTCTGGAGAAGCGGTCCGATAGCAGTTAGGGATGAAGACTCGAGTCAGACTGACAAGAGTCCAAATTCCAGATTAGCCACTACCAGGCTTCTAATGCAAGGCTATTTACTTAACATCTTTGGGCCTCTCTGGCAAAATGGGGGTGAAAATAGTACTTATTTCAGAGGATTAAATAACATAATGCATGTTATGGTTAAACAGAACCTGGCACATTAGCAAGTGCTCAGTGAATGCTGGCTCTTTGATATTCACTTTTCACGGTTAAAATACAGTTTTGCAGCCGGGCACGGTGGCTCACGCTTGTAATCCCAGCACGTTGGGAGGCCGAGGCGGTGGATCACGAGGTCAGGAGTTCGAGACCAGCATGGCCAACACAGTGAAACCCCGTCTCTACTAAAAATACAAAAATTAGCTGGCGGTGATGGTGGGCGCCTGTAATCCCAGCTACTTGGGAGGCTGAGGCAGGAGAATTGCTTGAACCCGGGAGGCAGAGGTTGCAGTCAGCCGAGATTACACCACTGCACTCCAGCCTGGGCGACAGAGCTAGACTCCGTCTCAAAAAAAAAAAAAAAAAATAGTTTTGCCTGATGATCAGCAGCCTATTGCATGCACTTATAGACTGAATCTGTTGGAACTGCTAATTCAACTTCCTTAACTTGTCAAACTATTATAAAGAGGTTTTGTTTTGTTTTCCTTGAGACAAGGTCTCAGTCACCCAGGCTGGAGTGCAGCAGCACAATTACGGCTCACTGCAGCCTCGACCTTCCAGGCTCAAGTGATCCTTCCACCTCAGCCTCCTGAGTTGCTGGGACAAGTGCACGCCACCACACCCAGCTAATTTTTGTATTATTTGTAGAAACAGGGTTTTGCCATGTCGCCCAAGCTGTTCTCAAACTCTTGAGCCCAAGTGATCCGCCCGCCTTGGCCTCCCAAACTACTGGTATTACAGGCCACCACGCCTAGCCAAGGAGGTTCTTATAATCCGATAGACTTACTGATCATGTCACTTTCCTGCTTAAACCCTTCAAAAGCTCTGCTCCAAGACAAAGTCCAAGCTCTGTCAGATGTTTATTGAAACTTTTCATAATCAAGACCCTTACTTAACCCTGTCTTTTATCTCTTCTCCTCTATTTTTCTTCACTCTAATACTACTGGATTTACTTTCCTTCCTCAAAAACATCCAATGGTCTTGCCGAGGAGGTTTCAAGTATCCTGTTCTCTTTCCCTGAAATCTCTCCTTTGCTATCTTCTCCGGCCACGTCTCCACTTCCCTATTCCACGTCAGTGTAGATTTTGAGGCTCAGAGAGATTACAAAATGTGCCTTATCAGATAACAAAATATGTCGACAGCCGCACTTCACTGGGCAGCTCGCTGTGGGGCAGCTGTCCTTAACTTCCGAGAAGCTGATGAAAGCTGTGGAGTCTCTCCCCCAGAAAACACACAGGCAAATTCTTTAGTAAATATTGAGGGCGTTTAAAATTCCCCTGCAACCCAAACTGGAACTTCAAGTTAAAAGGAAAGATGACTAGCTTGGAATTCAGACGATCTGGTTTTACCCCCACAGCCGGCTGTGGTGCCTCATGCAAATGGCCTGAGCTCCCTGGCCCCGTGTCCTCTGTAAGACTGCAAACATGCAATACGTCCCCCACAGTAAGTGCGAGGGTCAGTCCTCCCCACGCACACCTATGCTGGAAGAGCTCCAACCCTAGAGCCAGCAGCGGGGCTTCTCGGCCCCCGCAGCGGCTGACAGCTCCTCTGGGATCAGCCTTCACTCGCGCACGCGGAGGCCGGCTCTGGAAAAAAGACTCGCAAGCGCGACGCTCTGGGCATGCGCAGAAGCCCGGCGCATGCGCACAAACCGCCAGCCCGCCCCCTTGGCGGCCCGAGCACTCCGGGCAACGCCCCCTCAGGGCGCATCCTTGTCCCTGACGCTCCCTGCGTGCCTGGCACTGACCTCTACAGTCGGGATCGGCGCCGCCAGCTGCTCCGGAGTCAGGTTCCCAAACTCCTCCGCTAGCACGTCCATGCTGCTCACGAAGGAGGAAGAAACAGATAGAACCTCCGCGCCCGCCTTCCCTGCACCAAGCAAACTGCAAGACTCCCGGCGAACGGTGCGCGGAGGCCTAAACTGTCCCCGCCGTGCGTGTTAGCTAGAGACGCGGTAGAAAGGTTCCGCCCGCTCCCTGCCCGAATCTGCGGTGGAACCCGGATGTGGCCGAGGCCGAGTAAGGAAAGTACGCCCTCTGGTGTAGCTCGGAGGTCTGGCGCAGGGAATCCTAAGCCCCAGCTGTCAGGTTTCTTGCCAATTCTCTGGTAATTGAGACCAGCAAAACATAGTGGTTGTCATTTTAAAAGTAATCCGAAGAAAAGTGTAAACGCATAATTTACGCAACTTGAACCACTGAGGCAGAGAATTATTTAATGTAGTCCAAAATTCTATGCATTGTTTAGTATGGAAGAGCAGGAAACGTCCCAAATGCCTACCAATAGAAGATTGATTAAATAAATGATGGTACATGCGTGTAATGGAAGAGTGTTGAAAATTCTCAAAAGCACTAGATGGAAGATGTAGGAGTAAATACCCAGCGCATGGAGAAATTTAATATGAAAAGATGACATTTACGTTAGTAGGGGAAGGATGGCCTGTCCAGTAAATAATGTTTGAAGAGCTGATTACCCATTTGGGGAAAAAATACATGTAAGTGAATCTTTTGTGGATTAAATATTGAAATGTTAACAAAAACTTAGAAGAAAATGTAAGTGCAGATATTCATAACATTGAGATGTTGAAGACTTTCAAGACGGCAACAGTCAAATCATAAAGGATTTTATAATCTAAACACGATTTTATGATTCCACGGAAAATTTTTAATTTTCTGAACAGATTTTAAAAAATCACCAACAAATAGAATTAATAAAAAATAAATTGGCAGAAGACAAAGGGCTGGTCTCTCTAATTTAAAATGAGCTCATACAAATCAACAGAAAGAAAAATCCTATTAGAAAAAACAAGGCAAAATGCACCAATTAATTAATGGGTACGGAGTTTCGGTTTGGGAAGATGCAAAAGTTCTGTAAATGGAGAATGGTGATGGTTGCACAACAGTGTGAATGTATTTAATGCTGCTGACCTGTACATCATTTTAAAGGGTTAAAATGCTAAGTTTTATGTATATTTTACAACGATAAGAAAAGTTATGAAAATTTGTAAGTACATATATGCTTTCCAATTTCTCCCTCATAAAGGTAGAACCCTTGCACCAGGTTAATTATTCTTATTTACTAAAGAGCTACTTAAATTTCAGTACTTGTATTTTCTTTTTTTTTTTTTTTTTTTTTTTTTTTGAGACGGAGTCTCGCTCTGTCGCCCAGGTGGGACTGCGGACTGCAGTGGCGCAATCTCGGCTCACTGCAAGCTCCGCTTCCCGGGTTCACGCCATTCTCCTGCCTCAGCCTCCCGAGTAGCTGGGATTACAGGCGTGAGCCACCGCGCCCGGCCGTATTTTCTAAGTATTGCACTGATATCTGAAATACGAGAAGAATGGAAAAAACACCAAAAGTAGAATCAACCCTGCCTTTGAAGTTCTTACAATTTACTTATTACAGAGACAAGATACAACTTGTGTCTCATCATTGTGCATTACCAGATTGCAACCAATTTAGCATCTAGCCTAGAAGGGACTGTGAAAGTGATTTATAGATGGCAGAGGATCTCAAGGTTGGCTCAAGTGTGTTGGTTGTCTGTGCCAAAGTCTTCTTTGCTTTCCATTATCAAGGTGATTCTCCGACTTTAGGGTGTATCAGAATCACCTGGAGAGCTTGTTAAACTAATCTCAGCTTTCTGATTGGTAAATTGGGGCTGAAATTTTGCTTTTTTGGTGGGGGGCGGGGATGGAGTCTTACTCTGTCGTCCAGGCTGGAGTGCAGTAGTGCAATCTTAGCTCACTGTACCCTCCCAGGTTCAAGCGATTCTCCTGCCTCAGCCTCCCGAGTAGCTGGGATTACAGGCGCGTGCCACCATACTCAGGTAATTTTTGTATTTTTAGTAGAGACGGGGTTTCGCCATATTGGCCAGTTTGGGCTCAAACTCCTGACCTCAGGTGATCCGCCTGCCTCGGCTTCCCAAAGTGCTGGGATTTCAGGCGTGAGCCACCGCGCTGGCTGCAAATTTGCATTTTTTTTTTTTTTTTGAGACAGAGTCTCACTCTGTCACCCAGGCTGGAGTGCAGTGGCTCGGTCTTGGCTCACTGCAACCTCAGCCTCCTGGGTTCAAGTGATTCTCCTGCCTCAGCCGCCTTAGTAGCTGGGACTACAGGCATGCGCCACCACACCCGTCTAAATTTTTATTTTTAGTAGAGACGGGGTTTCACCATGTTGGCCAGGCTGGTCGCGAACTCCATACCTCAGGTGATCCGCCTGCCTCGGCCTTCCAAAGTGCTGGGATTACAGGCGTGAGCCACCACTCCCGGCCTGCAAATTTGCGTTTCTAGTAAGTTCCCTGCTGTTGCTTTCCAGTGATTATGCTTTGGAAATCACTAACCTAAGACTTATCACTCAATGCCATATCCTCTTTTTATGTGTCTCATTATCCAGACTGAGCTCTTGGTACGGGAACTATCTTGTTTGTCTTTGTGTTTCCAACTTCTAACCCATCAGTTGTTCCTGAATATATTTGTGTTGAATGAGTGAGTTGAAAGAAAAAATGCAACGAATGGGTGATGTTTGATATTATACTCACTTTTTAAGAATCCTGATTGTTTTTAGTTTCTCTTCAAAAGCAGGAGGCTCTGGTAGCCATGGTCCCAAAGTCCTATACGGCAACAATCGGCTAATGCTGAACGGTGTTGGCCCTTAGACCATAGCTGCCACAGTCCCTCATAGTCCTTCCCCCAGATCAAATCTATAACTTCTTTCTGATACCCTAAGGGACTGGAGTTTTGAAACCAAGAAGCCAGGAACAGTCTCAGCATTTCTTTGTTTTCTGCTGCCATGTCCTTTTCCTGAGGTATTAGTACAAAAAGACCAGTGGTTTGAATAGAGGGGTGGGAAATTAGGGAAAAGAGATCACAAGGCTGGGCGCGGTGGCTCACGCCGCCTGTAATCCCAGCACTTTGGGAGCCCGAAGCAGTGGATCATGAGGTCAGGAGTTTGAGACCAGCCTGGCCAACATGGTGAAACCCTGTCTCTACTAAAAGTACAAAAATTAGCCCGAGGTGGTGGCGCACATCTGTAATCCCAAATACTCGGGAGGCTGAAGCAGGAGAATTGCTTGAACCTGGGAGGCAGAGGTTGCAGTGAGCCGAGATCACGCCATTGCACTCCAGCCTGGGCGACAAGAGCAAGACTCCGTCTCAAAAAAAAAAAAAAAAAAAAATCACAGAAGGAAAAATGGTTAACATGTTGGAATACTATCTTATCACTTAATGTACAATGGCTTATGGTAGCCAGATGAAAAATTGACCAGTGCCATGGGGGAATAGGGGATCTTGTTTAAGGGAGAGCAAGGAAAAAGGAAAGGCAGAGGTGTCCAAGCTGGGCCTTGAAATATTAACATTTACCGAGTGTTTACTCTTAGGCATTGCAATGACCACTTGATGTGCATTCTCTAATTGAGTGCTGAACCCCGGGGATAAGTATGATTATCCCCACTTGAAAGGTAAAGAGACTAAGGCTCACAGGGGTTAAGACACTTGCCCAAGCAGAGCTGGAATTTAAATCCATAATTATTTGACCCCAGAACCCATGCTTTTAACCACTCTATCATAACGCCATACCAAAAGCATGGGGTAGCGGAAAACGTTTCAAGTAGGGAAACACAGCGTGAGCAATGGCATGAGGGCATTAGAGTACATTATACCACATTCTGACAATTGAGTGTGGTTCTCACATAGGGCTTTTCAAGGGACGTGTCTGTAGATGACACTAGAAAGATCCACTGGAGCTGTACCATCACGGACTGTTATGCCCTGTAAAAAAAATTAGACCATGCTCTGAGAGGCTTCAACATGAAGGTGCTAGAAACAAAAGAAAAAGATTATCTTCCTTTCTTGAAACCTTGATGCATTCAGACTGGGAAAAAAGATACATATGGTTCTGATTTCTATGTCTCAATTAATTCATAATAGAACTAGAGAAGACCAGAAACAATGTCAGAGAAAGAATAAGGACTCTTCAGTCTCAAAAGGCAACAGCAGAGGGAGAGCCCTTGAAGTCAGAACATTCTGCATTTTAGGCAAGACTGGATAGTCCAAAAACTTTCAGCTGCCTGCCATGCCCCCAGACCTTTCTTTGTGGATGTGATCTTATTATCCTATCAAAACCAATAGGGCCGGGTACCTGCCCAGGACAGCCATGTGGGCTGGATTTAAGGGATGAAGTGGCTTATCATGAGAACCCTATCTAATGTGGGGTTTGTGGGTCATCTAAACTGACACGTGGCGAGCAAACTCAATCGTATTCCCTCTCAGGACACGTTTAATGAAGACACCCCAAAGGGGAGGGCAGCAACAGAAGCTGAGAAGTAAATGCCAAGTCAGCATTTGGTAACAGCACCACAGAGATATCTTTTTTTTTTTTCAGATAGGGTCTTGCTCTGTCACCTAGTTCACTGTAGCCTTGAACTCCTGGGCTCAAGCAATCCGCCTGCCTTGGCTTCCCAAAGTGCTGGGATTACAGGAGTGAGCCACTGCGTCTGGCCTGAGAAATACTTTTCTTTTCTTTTTTCTTTCTTTCTTTTTTTTTTTTTTTTGAGACAGCATCTCACTCTGTCACCCAGGCTGGAGTACAGTGGCGCGATCTCGGCTCACTGCAACCTCCACCTCCCAGGTTCAAATGATTCTCGTGCTTCAGCCTCCGAAGTAACTGGAATTACAGACCTGTACCACCACACCTGGCTAATTTTTGTATTTTTAGTAGAGATGGGATTTCACCATGTTGGCCAGGCTGGTCTCAAATTCCTGACCTCAGGTGATCCACCTGCCTCAGCCTCCCAAAGTGCTGGGATTATAGGCGTGAGCCAGTGTGCCCATGGCCCTGAGAAACACTTTTGATGGATGACACACATTCCAGGGTTAGACTCCTTGGGTTCAAATACACTTACCAGCTCTGTGACGTTGGGCAAGTTCCTTAGCCTCTCTGATTCTCGTTTTCCACATATGGAAATGATGGAGCCTGCCTCCCAATGTGCTGTGCAGTTCTGTGATATTTACATAAAGTGCTTCGGGTAGTCCCTGCCATAGGGTAAGTGCTCAGTGGCTATTAATATTTTTTTCTTATATTCTGAAAGAGAAAAGAAACTATATTCAGGTTCACCACACCTACAAATACAGCTGCTGAGACAAATTCCTGGATTTCCTTTCTTCTTCATAGAAGTTTGCAATAAATACCTCTGTTCCTTTCCCTTGAAATCTGAAAGGAGCTAACATAGTAAGCTTAGAAATGAAAAGGTAAGGCCTCACTCCAAAAACAGAACAAGAGGGCACAATATGATAATACAAATATACCTTTTAAAAGATTGAAGTAAATCATAGAGGATAATGTCATAATTGATTACTAAATGGAATTAGAACATGTTGGGTTTTGTCGCTAGCCTTTGACGTTGACATCAAGGACAATAACCGCAGCCTTCTGCATACCCTTGGGTTTCTCTGCCAATGACAATATTGGGCTTAATGAACCATGGTTCTGATGAGATATTAAAATTTTTGTTCTTATGTACTTAAGTACTTGATCATCACATCTCCAAATACTAAAACCCCTTGAAGCTTGAAAGAGATTTAGGACTCATAAATTACAGTTATTATAATGTATTCTGGCTACATTATGCCTTAGAGTTTACAGACAATTTCAAATATGACTCACTTTATTTTCACAATAACTGTGAGGTAGGAAGATAGTAGGGTAGGGAAGTAGGGTGGAAAATTGAGGTTCAGCAAGATTAAAAGATTGGCTCGCGTTCATATAGCTATGAAGTAGTAGGAGTGAATTCCAACTAAGTTCTTACAGCTCTTAGTCCCATGCTTTTACAGAACAATTAGTGGAAAATTTTTGGAATTGAACATCCCCAGAGGTAGAACAGGCTGAACTTTAGTCTTGAGAGATGCAACTGAGAAGCACAAATATGTTGCACAAAGGAGGTACTCCCCATTCCTATAGCACACTTTGCCAATCAACTACAGAACTCATTAGTGATTCTCCTGGGTCTGGCTTTCAAATCCTCCCCTCTTTCAGTTACCCCCTCTTTCAGAAAGATCAGGCACATAATTTTAAACCTATTTTCGGGAAGAGAAGGTTCACTGGAAGGGACCCGAAGTGGAGACGGCTAATGCTTACCCATATCCATGACAGCCTTTCTCCTGGGCACTTTTTCCAGCCTCCCTTGCAGTAAGATGAGGCCACATTATTGAATTCTGGCCAATGGAACATGAGTGGAAGTGGGCAGTCTTTTTCTTTCCCTATCAGCTGAGTGAATGAAGATTTAGAGGGCAGCAGAGTCATGACATGGATGACGTTGGGTCTCTGGATGGCTAAATGGAAGACCCGCCCCCCAACGCCACTCTACCCCCCTGCTTTGAACTATGCTTTGAGAAATGAGCTTATGAGACCACTGAGACTTGGGGGCTGTTTGTTCAGCAGTTCACCTACACTTATTAGGAAAGGTTGACTTCTTGTAACTACGCCTTTCCTTAAATCATCTTTTGTATAATTCTCAGAAGCACTGCTGGTTTGGGTGGTCTCACACATTTCTCACATCCAAATTTTAAAGATTTCATGAATGTTCATTACAGTGGATTTATTTTTCTCTTTCTGCTTCTCGGCATGCCCTCTCAATTTGGGAGAAATCTCTAATTGGATGACTTTGGTGGGACCACAGGAGTGTAAGGATCGTAATTCCCTCACTCCATCCCCTGCAAATTAAAGCCTGGGCACTTAAGACTCACTCAACTGAATCTTGATATGTGGGACTTTAGATCTTAAGCAAATGAGGCAAAGAAGGAAAGACAGTTGAGAAATCAATCTCTGAAGTTGCAGCACTGATTCCAGCGTGGACGGACTCCTGCAGCTTGCATCGCCTTGGTTCCTGTCCATTTTCCAAACCTGGTTCCTCTCTGATTAACTAGATTCTGTGAGGTATTTCATGCCCATCCAATAAACTCCTTTTCTGCTTCAGTTAACCAGAGTCCATTTAAATTGCTGGTATCATGTCTTCACGTGTGAGTGCATGTAAACATACATACACTAGACGTAGGAATATTCTAGCATCAACAAGTGTTGTCAGGGCAATCTTTCCAAAACATAGATTTTGTTTGTGACCTTCTCATGTTTCAAGAGATTCAATGATTCTTCTTCCTTTTCAGGACAACCCCTGCCCCCCGCCCAAATTTTAGCATGGCATCCGAGAACCTTTTCATCTTTCTTGTTTCACCTCTCATCACTTTTTTTTTTTTTTAAAGACAAAGTCTCCCTCTGTCGCCCAGGCTGCAGTGCAAGTGGCACGATCTCGGCTCACTGCAACCTCTGCTTCCTGGGTTCAAGTGATTCTCCTGCCTTAGCCTCCCGAGTAGCTAGGATTACAGGTGTCTGCCTCCACATCCAGCTAATTTTTGTATTTTTAGTAGAGAGATGGGGTTTTACCATGTTGGCCAGGCTGGTCTCGAACTCCTGACCTCAAGTGATCCACCCACCTCGACCTCCTGAAGTGCTGGGATTTCAGGTGTGAGCCACTGCGCCTGGCCACCTCTCATTCATCACTTTCATTCTTCCAACTTACTCTCATCCCTGGCTCACCATTTCTCCCTACTGTTGTACTTACTGTGCACTTGGCCTGTTTTGTGGCCTCTTGGCAAGTTCCTATGTATCTCTCAGGTTTTAGCTAAAGAATTATCTTCTTTATGAAATAGAGTTTGACCATCTTCTCCCTAGCACTATGCTTATTTATTATTATTATTTTTTGGAGACAGGGTCTTGCTCTGTTACCCAGGCTGGAGTGCAGTGGCAAGATCTTGGCTCACTGCAACTTCTGCCTCCCAGGTTCAAGTGATTCTCCTGCTTCAGCTTCCCAAGTAGCTGGGATTACAGGCATGTGCCACCACACCCGGCTGATTTTTGTATTTTTAATAGAGATGGTGTTTTGCCATGCTGGCCAGGCTTTTCTTGAACTCCTGGCCTCAAGTGATGCACCTGCTTTGGCCTCGAAGTGCTGGGATTCAGGCGTGAGCCATTGCGTCCAGCCCCGGCCTTATTTTTTAACCCTCATTACACTTTATTGTAACTGTTCACAAGTTTGTCCTTCTCACTAGATTGTAAACTTCTTGAAGACAGTATGTTTTATCATGTATGTATCACAACCACTGGGATACTTCTTGGCAGGCACACAGCAGATGCTCAATAGGTATTTGTTGACTCAATGAATGAATGTGTGAATAAACATGATTTGATGTCTGTAAGGCTCTGATGGTCAGCACAAGAATCATTCTAAAAAGACTATCCAATAAAGACTATCCAATAAAGACTATCCAATATTCCAGCCCCAAGCTACCCAGAAGTGGTTTAGAAAACAGAGACACTGGCTATTTTGAAATAATTTTTAATGCTTTAAAATTTAGTAAGTGCACACAATACATGTTTTAGCAGAAGAATGAAAATGTGTGTATGGCATTTAATACAAATTTACATTACAAAATGAGACCATGTTAGGAAAACATTAGAAGTAAACATTTAAGTAAAAACCAAATAAACAACATGCTAAGGGATACAATTTAAAAAATCCTAGTAAATGTAGTTGCCTAAATCCAGACTTGAAACATTGAGATTGACTTTGCCACTAAAAAAAAAAAAAAAAAAAAAAAAAAAAAAAAGGCAGAATGCCCTTCATTTTAAATGCATTAAAAAAAAAAAAAGTTTGTACATTGTTTTCCTGCTGGCCACTGTAGTATAAAAGAGCATCAGCTGGATTCAAATCTGGTAATAAAAAAGTACACCACCTGTTAAGTATACAGTTCACCCCAGAAAGCAACAAAAAAATCACACTACATAATACCTTTCTACTGTCAGAATCTCCCTGATGCCCATGCCCCAAAGACAGAACAGCTGAGAACTCCTTCAGCTTAAGAGAAAACCAAATGTCTTCAGCACCTTATAGTTGCTGTGTATAGGAAAACATGGGCAGAAGAGGACTGCAGGAAGAGAAAAAAATAGCTAAGACCAATGGTGTACTCTTCAGTAATACTCCACTTGCATGCAGCAGCTTACGTGGAGAGAATGGCTGATGTATTGGGCATTGTGAGAAAAAAAAAAACTGACGTTTATACTTTCCTCAAATTTTGGCAGATTTCCCCAAATATAAACAATGGAGACAATTTATTCACACAATCATTTCCTAGAACTTCATAAAATAATGAAGTAACACCGTAATGGTGAAGGTTGTGGTGAGGAAAAGAAGGTTGGGGAAGAAAGGAATGCTTCTTTTTATTTTCTACCCACTCGACCTCACCAAATTACTAGGGCTCAATTGAGTCCTTAGCAAACAAAACAATCAAAAATGTATTTTATGCAAATGAAGCTCTTTTTAGACCAAGTACCTCCCAACTGCAGTGCTTCCCGCAGCACTCCAAGAAGAGTAATTCCAGGATAAGCAGATTTCTCTAAAGTCTCAGTGGCAACTAGTGCCCAACTTTGCAAGGTTTGATTTAACGCTCAAGAATGGCAAATGAGGCCGGGCGCAGTGGTTCACGCCTGTAATCCCAGCACTTTGGGAGGCTGAGGCGGGCGGATCACGAGGTCAGGAGTTTGAGACCAGCCTCACCAATGTGGTGAAACCCTGTCTCTAGTAAAAATACAAAAATTAGCTGGGCATGGTGGTGCATGCCTGTAATCCCAGCTACTCGGAAGGCTGAGGCAGGAGAATCACTTGAATCCGGGAGGCAGAGGTTGCAGTGAGCCGAGATTGTGCCACAGCACTCCAGCCTGGGCAATAGAGTGAGACTCCATCTCAAAGAAAAAAAAAAAAAAAAAGAATGGCAAATGAGGCCGGGCATGGTGGCTCACGCCTGTAATCCCAGCACTTGAGGAGTCCGTGGTGGGTGGATCACGAGGTCAGGAGTTCAAGACAAGCCTGGCCAACATGATGAAACCCTGTCTCTACTAAAAATACAAAAATTAGCTGGGCGTGGTGGCGGGCGCCTGTAGTCCCAGCTACTCAGGAGGCTGAGGCAGGAGAATTGCTTGAACCCAGGAGGCAGAGGTTGCAGTGAGCTGAGATCACGCCACTGCACTCCAGCCTGGGCGACAGAGTGAGACTGCGTCTCAAAAAAAAAAAAAAAAAAAAAAAAAGGCAAATGATAATGATCCTTAGGAGGGCATCTTGGTCATAACACGGTAAAGCTTTCATCAGCACAAAAGACATCTGGTAGTTAAGTTATATGGGTAAGAAATCCAAAGTTTAACTGTTTCTTTTTCAGATATGAACTTCATGGAGAATGGGATCTCATTTTATCATTGACTCCCTTTCTTCTTCTTACAAGTAAACCAAATGAGCCCTGCCTCACATAAAAATATTAAACTCTTATATAAACCTTATCAATGGCCTGAGAACTGCAAGGACATTCACTAAGAGATTTGTGCAAAAATTGTTTTTCTTGGAGAGCAGACTAAATTGTAAGAAGAAACAAACTTCTAGAATAATTTGAGAAGGGAGTTGCTTCTATTTTCACTAAACAAACAAGGGAGGTTTTATCTGAAGTTTGTATATAGCATGAAAATGTACTTAATACATTAAAATTCTAAATAAATACTGACCATTGGTATTATAAAGTGTGATTTGGTACATTTGTGGAATTTGAGGACTTACTTTGAAAGTTTCTATTAACACATTAATAAAATGTAATTGTACATTTCAAATACAATTGTGTTTACTTCACATCATTTATTCAGAACATCAGTTCCCTCAGTTATTGTCACAACCTTCAACCCTTTAAGGAGTTGTACCAAAATTAAAAACCATTAGGTTTGATAATAACAAGTGAGAAAAACAACTCCTTAGGGGTTAAATGTCATAAGCCAAATATAAATGGTTAAGAAAACATTTACAAGTATTATATAGGTAATATAATTAATTACAAATTGTTTTCTGTTCATTACAAATATTTGTTTTAAACTTGAAAATGATGCACAAATAGGGTCTATGTGATGTTTACGTCTTCTGAGGGTCTATGTGATGTGTGTGTCTTCTGTAATGCTAATATTACCCATTACACAGATTTGGGCTAATACTGCACCACAGTACTGAGAATGTGCTGGATCTCTAATGCCATCAATGGAAGTGGACTGGATACCAAAGTACTGGATTTCCAATCTCTCGTCCAATGTCAGTTCTTCTTTAGTTAGTAGGAGGTGAAGCATCTACCTTCCCCATGGCTTCCTCATTGAAGAGCAGCTTTCGAAGTATATTTGCATAAAATGGTCCATACACTTGTTTGTTGAGATTCACAATGTTTGCATATTGAGAGCCTAGGGCTTCTAGCTCCTGCTGAATGACAGCTAGGCCTCCTGGCATAGGAGGCATGCATTTTTGAGGGCTTGGAAGACAAAGTAGCCTTCTCATGTAAAGCTTAATTCGTTTATCTGAAGGGGAAAAAAAGATACTTTTATCTGTCCATTATTAAAGTACATAATTTTTAAAAACAAGAACAAGTAATTGTAGTAGGTTGACTGCAATAATGTTCCCAATTCTTTACCCCTCCCTGCACCCATCCCCTTTCCAAGGTAGCTTTGCAGTTCCTCCTATCAAAGCTGGAGTGTGTTTTTCCCATCCTTTCCATCTGGGCTGGCCCTGTGACTTACTTTGGCCAATACAGAATGCGGTGGAAATGCCAGAGTACCAGTTTCATGCCTTGGCCTCAAGAGGCCACTCTTGTTCATGTCCACCGTCTACCTACTACCGCCATGAGAATAGGCCTGGGCTTGCTGGAGGATGAGAGACCAAGGAGAGGGAAACCCAGCTGTTCCATCTGAGGCCATCCTAGACCAACCCATAGCCAACCAGCATTCAAACACCTGAGAAAGTCCAGCCAGGATCAGCAAAGCTTCCATCCTGAGTCACAGCTGAACCACAAATACATTAGTGAGTTCAGCAAGACCAAAAGAGCCACCCGGTCGCCTCACAGACTGGTGAGTAATAATAAATGCTTATTTTTTTTAAGCTCAGGAGTTTTGTGGTATTTTGTTATGCAGCAATAGCTGACTGATAAAAAAAAAAAGGCAGAGCCCTATTTGGGGGGAATCTTCTACAAAAGTTAATCCTAAATGTTCATGATTATAATTACATACACTAAAGCTGAGTTTGTAAACTGGCATTGCCAGTCTGGCCCATGCAGTGTCTTTTTTAAAAACAGAAGCCATTTAAAATCAGGAGATTTCACATAGAAATCCATATTTCTGCTTTCTCTTGAAAAATCTAGAGATCTGGCAAACTTGGGGGCCCAAATTACCACATGGCAAGGGGGACCACACATCTAGGTTTCCCCAGGACAGTCAAAATTTACACCTGTTGTCCTGGCATAATTTTAAAAAGAGACTCTCAAAAGTACCCTGGTTGAACAATAAATTACATGGTGCCAGGCGTAGTGGCTCACACCTGTAATCCCAGCACTTTGGGAGGCCGAGGTGGGAGACTGATTGAGCCTAGGAGTTCGAGACCAGCCTGGGCAATATAGTGAAACTTCATCTCTACAAAAAAAATTTAAAAATTAGCCAGGCATGATGGTGTGTGCCTGTAGTCCCAGCTACTTAGGAGGCTGAGTTGAGAGGACTGCCTGAGCTCATGAGGCTTCAGTGAGCTGTGATCATGCCACCACACTCCAGCCTGGGCAACAGAGGGAGACTCCATCTCAAACATAATTAATTAATACTAAATAAGTTACAGGGTACTTCACACATGGCCAAGAATCAGGAGACACTGAGGAAGGGACATCCCAACCAGCACACCATTGTGCCACCTTCCCTGCCCTTCCTGCATCACTGCCTCAATGTATTTGACTTTGAGACGACTACACAAAAGCATAGAAATGCATATGGAAATCAGGCTGCAATAGTATAGGACAACTATTAATAATACTGGACAGAAAAGACCTGCTATAGCTCAGGCTGCTCCAAGGGCTTTCTCTGGCTTTGGGAACAGAAACCTCACCAATAAGAAGGTTTACTAAGGAAAATATGCCACATTGAATATAGACAACTATGATACTACTAAAATTCTTATCACCAAAGAATGCTCACAAAAATCATACATTCCAGCTAGGTCTGACCTAGAACTTGTTTCCAATGTCTATGTCTTAGAATTCTTTCCTTTTACTAGAATGCCCTTCAATCTCATCTCATTTCATCTCATCTCTGCCCAGAATCAGAGGCATCCTTCAATGTCGTGCCAAAAGTTACCTCCTTTCTGTGACTTTCCTTAGCATCTGTTACCAGACTATCGTGACATATGATTGCCAGTTGAGAAGGTGTCTCTCTCCCTTCTTGGACAGTGGACTCTCTGAGCGTGAGGTTTATATCTTTTTTATCTTTATATTCTTGGTCTGTCATGTGACAGACACATTGTAAATGCTGACTGAACTTAAGTGAGAATGGACTGAAAAGAGTCTATAAAGATAAATAACGAACTGAAAACCGTGGCAGCCAGGGGAAAATGGGGACTGAAGAAGGCAAACAAAGGTGACTTAAGCCTTATCTGTATTTTTTTTCTTTTTTTATATATAGACAGGGTCTCCATCTGTTGCCCAGGAGAGTCTCAAACTCCTGGCCTCAAGCCATCCTCCTGCTTTGGCCTCCCAAAGTGCTGGGATGACAGGCATGAGCCACCGTGCCTGGCCTTTGTCTGTAATTTTTCTACAAGGAGAAATTATTGTATCACCTGTGCAACTGAAATTACTTGTTAAAAGTGTAGATGGCAGGCCAGGCACAGTGGCTTAGGCCTGTAATCCCAGCACTTTGGGAGGCCAAGGTGGGCGGATCACGAGGTCAGGAGTTTGAGACCAGCCTGGCCAATATGGTGGAACCCCGTCTCTACTAAGAATACAAAAAAAATAGCTGGGCTTGGTGGTCCGCACCTGTAGTCCCAGCTACTAGGGAGGCTGGGGCAGAAGTATTCTTCTTGAACCCAGGAGGCAGAGGTTGCAGTGAGCCAAGATCACACCACTGCACTCCAGACTGGGCGACAGAGCAAGACTCCATCTCAAAAAAAAAAAAAGTAGACGTAGGCATGCAAATAATTTACACAGCAGGTAATCCATAATTTTTACTTAGTATGTATTCGACAGAAAAATCCCTTTCTAATATCTTTTCAAAAGGTTAAGAATTGTAATGGGAATTGGGGATTATGATCCCTTCAGTAAATAAATAGCGCATCAACTGAGAACAAAAGAAAGCATACTGTGGGTACCCTTAGCAGAGGAAAACCATGGCCAACACTGATCAAGCCCTTCTCAGGTTCCAGGAATCTCTCTGTTTAATTTATTCTAACTCCTCTGCAGGCATACATTTAGAGTTAACTGTGTACTACTTTCCCTTTAGACTAGTTGCCTGACCTTCAGAGGCCCAGGTCTATATCATCACAGATATGATCCAAACGCTTTCCCATAAGAAGGTTTAAAAATGAAACCCTTTCAAAATCCTTATTATGTCAGCAAGTGGTTCTGCCTCTTTTGCCTCTTTTGCAGATGAGTCTGTTTTTAGGCAAAGGCTAAAGTGACCGGAGTGTTTGTAAAGTTAGGAGCAGCCACACGGAGTCCCTGCCAAAGGCGTGTCCTTGGCTTCCAGAGTCGAAGAAGAGACGTTCAAGTGAGTCACTTAAGTTGCTAGGGCAACAGTACTTTGAATGAGATTAAAAATGCTTTCAATTTGCAAAAGGACAGGAAAGTTGGACTGGGGAAAGCTGGGTGGACAAAAGTTGCTTTACCAGATTTTAAGAGGAATCTCCTAGCCCTCAGCTTCCCTCTTCCTTCTGATACTGCAAGCATTTCCCTTATCCAAAGAAAAGTCACAGAGTACACTCTGACACTCTGGCCACTCTGCCAGCAAGCAACAGCGCTCCAGCTCTGACTGACGTGCCAGTCAGAGCAGTTAGGAACATGAGCTCTGGAGTCAGACAGGCTGGGGAAGACAGACTCTGCCCCCAGCTTGTTATGGGACTTTGAGTGAAAGTTATTTAACCTCTCCAAGTCTCCTATGCATTTACCCATTTCACAAATATTTATTAAATATATGTGCACGTGCAGCATTGCACAAGAATATAGCAGTGAACAAACCTGCACGCTGTCCTCATGAGGCCTGCACACTACTGGGGATCTGGCAGTATGCTGCAGAGACTGCTGGGCAGTGTCTCAGTCCCTACTCTATCCCTCTTCCTCCTAGAACACCATCTCTCAGGTTTTACCTGTTCAGCTGGGGACAACATGCTCTGAGGACAGATGCATGTCAGCATGTGAAGGTATATAGATAAGGGCTTGGCCACAGGTGACAGTGGTCATAATCTGTTATTGTTATCAACTGTCCCCTCTTAGGAGCAGCCTCTCCAGCAGCCCACAATGTCGTATACACCAACACTGTTCCTTTCTGGGGGCAAAGTTGAAGCTTGGATCCCCAGCATTCCATGTCCCCAGGGATAAGGATGAACAACACCATTTGAAAGCCTCAAATCAATAATAAAATGTATTTGTATTCTTAAGGCCGTCAATGTTGTACTTTGAAAATTTGCAGATTAGTCCTAGCAGGTTAGTACATTCTAATTCTACACTCTTCTACTTTTGGTTTTCATCCTTCAACCTCTGTAGTAGACAACTGCTTTGTACCACACGGCAGCTTCTCCCCTTCCTTATGGCCACAATACTCTGATTTTATTTGGGGGTAACCATCTCCTCCCTACTCTCATCAGGTGTTACAGAGAAAACTGACTCTTCCTTGGCTCCAGGAGGTGAATACATGTCTCAGGCTTAACTTTCTTCCCCTCAGGCCACCATGACCAATTCAAGAATGGGACATGAACCATAGTCAGGCTAACTGGAGCCACTGAGACTCAATGATGGGGTCACTGTTTGAGCCAACAGGGAGGCAGATTCCTTGTTTTTCACTGGACTTAAATATGGAAGGTTGTAGGCTGGAGCTAAAGCCATCCTGCTGTCATGAGAAAAGTCTGCCTGTGAAGGCAGCTGGCCCAGGAGAAGGTAGTGTTGAGAGCTGGAGGCGGGAAAACTAGTGCCAGTGACAGCTGGAACTCTCATTAGGCTGTACCAGAAGCCAGTCCTACCCCTGGTCTTTTCAGTTAGATGAGAAAATAAATGATCATTTTGTTTAAGCTAGTTTAGAAGTTTAGATTCTTGTCACAGGTAGCAGAAAAAGTCCTAACTGATACATTATCCATTTTCCCAACTCACCAACACAGCTTGACTTTGAGACAGTCAATTTCCTGGCTGACCATTACAAAAAGAAGCCTACACACTATGTCTCCCGGATCCACACATTTTTAGTCTTTGTCTCTTTAAGCCTGACCAAGTTCCTTCAGAGCTGCTCACAGCAGAACTCATATCTACTATCTGTGAACATACTGCCAGCTGGTTTGAATTACTGCATTGATCTAGGATTTTAACATTACTCCAGCACTCTGTTATTCTTGTCATAAAATCTATTGGCTGAATAGATAATAGGCCCTGAAACATCCCCCAACTCCATGACACACAGAAGCAGCAATGAGTCCTAGGCCTTTGAAAACATTAATATTTCTTGATATTTTCAATATTTATCCTCCAAAAGTGGGTAATGTGTTTAAGATCAAAATTTGACTGACTTAATGTTAGTCAAAATCAGCAAGTTAAAGCAAATTGGAATTGAAGCAGAAATCAATAAAAGGACTCACCAATCAAGGACCAGATAGGATTGTCCTCCTCTTCAATGCTTGAAAATTGACCTATAAGATTAGCTTGAATCTCAGCATTTAAAGTGGGTAAACCTCTTTCCATCAGGGTCTTGTTAACCTCAACACAAGTCTGAATACCAATAGAATTCAGGACTTCCTTCAAGTTAAAGGTCCTATGAAACATAAAATGAAATTCCACCAGGGAAAGTTTTTGTTCATCAAGTTATTATTTTTAATATACAGACTTGTTTTAGATGTCTACCAAATTTCTCTTATACAGACAATAATAACCTCTATTAGAATGAACTCATAAAATAGTAACTCCTCCCAACCACCAACCTTCTGATGTAGCAGACTTCTAAATGCTTAAAATCATTAAATTGTGTAGCAGTGTTTAAATAGAAAAGCATAAGCAGAAAATGTGGTCCCCAAAAATGCACCTGCAACCCCATTTATATTGCAGGGCTATCAGAAAGGGACAGAAAACACCAATTTACTTCTTAAACTTGTTGGTCTGAGTGGATTCATTCACACATTTTAAAAAATGCACTTGATAAATGAAGTAGACTCAATTCATCTATGCCTGAGCAGTAAATCTATAACACCAATCAAAAACAACAAATGAAGATATTCAGAGGTCAAATACCTAGAACTTTTGGCTGATCATGACCAAGGATAATAAGCTCCTTCACATTATTCAAGTAACTGATAAATAATCTCCAATATATAGAGTCCAGAAAGTTGTAAAGGTAATTAAAGAGTGAGTTATTTAGTAGGTAAGGAAAAATAGGTAATTAGAAAAGGCATTTGTTGGGTCCACACTATTAGGGAAAGATGACTGAAAATTTTATCTCACTATCCAGAAAAGGTCCTTAAGATAACTCTGCAAAATGGGAATTAAAGGATGAGAGAAGGGCTCAATGATAGGAAGCAGTATAACGGAGCGAGTTGGAACATAAGCTATGGTGTTATGTGGAGCTGGGTTCAAATCCTGGCTCTACCACTGAACTTCTATGTGTCTAATATTTAGCTCTTAGCAGATTATCAGGCACATGGAAGAAGGAAAAGAGAAAAATAGGTTATCATGTTTATCATCATTAACAGCAATAAGAAATAAGTTCTTGGCATTCTGCCTTGACTGGAATTTGTTATAAGCCCACACTGGACCTGACGTTGGAATTCTGTAACCCAAGGATAGACTGATTGTAATAAAATTTTTACCTTCCGACTTTTTATCCACTACAATGTACTGCCCTAGATTTTTCTTGCTTTTAATCAGTGAGTTCTTAGGCTAAAGGGAAACTGGCTAGCCATATGCAGAAAATTGATACTGGACTCCTTCCTTTCACCAGATACAAAAATCAACTCAAGATGGATTAAAGACTTAACTATAAGACCTTTAAAAACCCTAAAGGAAGACCCAGGAAACACCATTATGGACATAGGCCTTGGCAAACATTTCGTGATGAATTACCCAAAAGCAAATGCAACAAAAGCAAAAATAGACAAGTGGGACCTAATTAAACTAAAGAGCTTATGCACAGCAAAAGAAATTATCCACAGAGTAAACAGCCTATAGAATGGGAGAAAATATTTGCAAACTATGCATTCAACAAAGGTCTAATATCTAGAATCTACAAGGAACTTAAACACTCGACAAGCAAAAAACGACCTCATTAAAAAATGGGCAAAGGACATGAACAGATACTTCTCAAAAGAAGACATACATGTAGCCAACAAGCATCTGAAGAAATGCTCAACATCACTAATCATTAGAGAAATGCAAATCAAAACCACAGAGAGATACCATCTCATACCAGTCTGAATGGCTATTTTTTTCTTTTCTTTTCTTTTGAGACGGAGTCTCACTCCGTCACCCAGGCTGGAGTGCAGTGGCACAATCTCGGCTCACTGCAACCTCTGCCTCCCAGGTTCAAGTGATTCTCCTGCCTTAGCTTCCTGAGTAGCTGGGACTACAGGCATGCGCCACCATGCTCGGCTAATTATTTTTTGTATTTTTTGTAGAGACGGGGTTTCGCCATCTTGGGCAGACTAGTCTTGAACTCCTGACCTCAAGTGATCTGGCTGCCTCGGCCTCCTAGAATGCTGGGATTACAGGTGTGAGCCACCGTGCCCAGCCTGAATGGCTATTATTAAAAAGTCAGAAAATAACAGATTCTGGCAAGGTTGTAGAGAAAAGAGAGCACTTATACACTGCTGGTGGGAATGTAAATTAGTTCAGCCACTGTGGAAAGCAGTTTGGAGATTTCTAAAATAACTTAAAACAGAACTACCATTCAACTGAGCAATCCCATTACTGGGTTTATTCCCAAAGGAATAGAAATCACTCTATCAAAAAGACACATGTACTCATATATTCACTGCAGCACTATTCACAACAGCAAAGACATGGAATCAACCTAGATGACCATCAATGGTGGACTGGATAAAGAAAATATGGTATATGTACACCATGGAATACTATACAGCTGTAAAAAGAATAAGATCATGTTCTTTGCAGCAACATGGGTAAAACTGGAGACCATTATCCTAAGCAAATTAATTCAGAAACAGAAAACCAAATACCACATGTTCTCGCTTATAAGTGGGAACTAAACACTGAGTAAACATGGACATAAAGGGGAACAACAGATACTGGCTCCTACACTTAAAGGTGGAGGTCTGGAGGAGGGTGAGGGTTGAAAAACTAACTATGCTCACTACCTGGGTGATGAAATCACTGGTACACCAAACCCCAGTGACCCTCAATTTACCCACGTAAAAAACCTGTACATGTGCCCCTACACCTAAAATAAAAGTTGAAAAAGGGAAAAAAAGCAAAAATCAATTAATCAATAAATCCTCTTTCAGCTCTTCAAAAAAAGTTGTCTTAGCATAAGCCATGCCTTCTACTCACAATGAAGAGGGAAAAACTCCTTCTAGTTTTCAAGATGCATCATCAAACCCAATATAAATGACATCTTGGTCTATTATTTAGTACTATCCCTTTTTTTAATACTATGAATGCTATTGCCCCATCCGTAATGAGGATAATTGAGAATTGATTGTATTGATTTCCTAACACAGGAAAAAAATTTAAACAATGAAACAACCAGATAAACAACCAGATACAATTATAAAGAGGATGATTTAATGACTAGTTATTAATAGCTAGCATTCATTGAGTACATATTACGTGCCACACATCTGTACCTGAATCATCTTAAGTTCTCACAACTCCAAGGTAGATATTAATACAATTATTATTCCCTTCTTACAAGTGAGGAAGTCAGGCTCATAGTAATTTGAGAACATATTCAAGTGTTCATAATAAGTCAGTAGCAGAGCTGGGATTTAAACCCTGGTCCATCTGACCCGAAAGCCTGTCTTCTTAGTAACCACTTTCTGTATACTTTATAATAACATTTCAGCAGCACTGGGTATTCCCTAAAGGCTTAATAAATAAAAGTTTCTGGAAAGTAATGACTACCCATGCAGGGAAATCATAAGATAAGACCAACTGCAAAATCAGAGGTTTCCTTTCATTATAGGTCTTGGTCCTGGAATATTAATGAGCATCAGAATCAGGAGAAAGGTCAGATCAGGGCTCAGTCCTTGGTCTGCCCTTTTCTGTTTGCAGCCCAAGGCAAATTCTATTCTATCTGTAAGCTTCAGTTCAAAATGAGAAGTTGGATTCTGTAACTACATGGGCTCCTTTTGGCTCTTAATAGTCTAGGATTTCATCAAGTAATTTATATGCTCTCTGAATAATAGGTGGGAGGATGAGAAGACAGGTGCATTTCCCTTCAATTACAGGAATAAAGAGGACATGCCTCTGAAGACACCTGAAAGGGGAACCAGCAGAAGCTGATCCATAAGAGACCCATAGAACCATCTGGCCATTCACCAAGACTAAGAATTTCTGACTTAGATAGGAATTCCTATTGGATGATGTAAATGCAAAATCTAAATGGGATTCTAGCATTCATGAAGGTGTAATACTGGAGATAAATTTAGCAAAAACCAAAATCTTCACTGGACTGTGTCACATCTCTGAAGGGCAGAATTGTCAGCACTTCTGAAGACTTCGTAGCAAGGTGGATTTGTGAAGTCAGTAAACATTTCACTGCAGAAAAATGATGAAGTCAGAACAACTGGAGGAAAGCCCTCTTCAATAGCACAATTCTAGGGAGGCCGAGATGGGTGAGTCATGAGGTCAAGAGATCGAGACCATCCTGGCCAACATGGTGAAACCCGGTCTCTACTAAAAATACAAAAATTAGCTGGGCGTGGCGGCGCATGCCTGTAGTCCCAGCTACTTGGGAGGCTGAGGCAGAAGAATTGCTTGAACCCGGGAGGCGGAGGTTGCAGTGAGCTGAGATTGCGCCACTGCACTCCAGCCTGGTGACAGAGCGAGATTCTGTCTCAAAAAAAAAAAAAAAAAAAAAAAATTGCGCAATTCTAAACATCAAGCTTGGCAGATTTCTGTGTTTCATTTGTTTTTTTCCAAAGCACTGTCAAAGAAAAGCTGTTGTACACATTCATTGTAAGTGGAAATACTACACTCACCCTGGCACTTGTCATGGAAAACACCTCTCCCTTCCTATGAGAGGACATCTAAGCCTTCAGAGATATTAAAGGAAATTCTAGAAAAAGGTGTAAGATAAGCTTCTCTAAAGCACAGTCCTGAATCTCACATCCAGATGTCCAAGGTCATTCTTGTTCTCTGAGACACATGCAGAGCCTTAATACAAGAGGGAGCAGATGCAAAAATTTGGAACTTACTCTTTGTTCATGCCTTCAAGTAGAACAGCTGAAATCCTTGTTAACCTGCTTGCAAGCTCAGGCAGGCCTCCTGTAATAGCACCCACCATGTTGTTGGTAATTAGGGACAGGCAGGCAATAATTTTCAATTGATTCAGCTTTTCTGTTAGTTCCTGAAGACGTGCTCCATCTGTCATAAGTGTCTAACATATTTATTTAAAATATAAAAATAGAAAGGGTAGCTCAATAGCATGAAAATACAAAACAGGCAATGTCATTTCCAAATTCCCATTTTTATCTGATTTTTGTAAAGTCATTAAACCACATGAAACACAGACCAGATGATTCAAAGTTAGAACTTAAGAATAAAAATACTGGGAAATTTGGGTGAAGAACAAAACCACTCACCTCTGGTAATTCTTTTTTCTGATAATCCCACTGTAACAGTTTCAAGTAACTATTATTTAGCACCAAAGTAGGGCTCAGGCTTGGCTTGGAGGTATTTTCGGCCCCAGGAGTTAAAGCACTCTCAGAAAGAGAAAATAATTCTTCATTTACAGATTCTTTTATCCATTCTGTAGTCTGATCAAGAGCACCTAAGAGTGAAAAGGCCACATATTTGTTCTACAGCTGATTGATCCCTTCACTGGTGTATTCCACTTGACAGATGCTGTGTTGGGTGCTGGGCATGAATGAGAAGACACAGCCATGCCCTGCAAGGAGTTTACAGTCCAGATGGAAAGGCAGACCTGTAAACTAACAATTATAACAGAGTACAATGAATGCTAGTAATTGTGGGAAAGAGGCTGTCCAGGAAAGAATCTAAGAGGAAGAGCTCTGTAAGTGCTCTGGAAAAGACAGCATATGGCACATTCTAGATGTCACATTCTGGATGCCACAAACAAATCTGTATTGCTGGTCCATAAAGAACTAGGGGTAAGAGGGTTGTAGCAAATGGCATTGGATGGGTGGTTAGAAGCCAGCCTTGAGTTTGTGCAGAGAAGGTATTTAGAGAAAAGGCATTAATTTTCACACATTTTTGGTAAAAGGTGAAAGATTTATACAATCTGAAGAGAAAATAGAGTATAATTATTACACATTTTTGGGTCTTGGACCACTTTTAATAACTAATTGGAGATATGCCTTTCCCAAAGTGAATGTGCACAATCACGTGCACATGTCCACAAACAATTGTCATTCTCTCTTACCAGATTGACAGTCCCCAGGTTACAAACACCAGCGATGGGAATGGGGAGTTTTGAATAATATTATTTTCTTTCTTTTCTTTTTTTTTAAGACGGGGTCTCACTCTGTCACCCAGGCTGGAGTGCAGTGGGGCAATCTCAGCTCACTGCAACCTCCACCTCCCATGTTCAAGCGATTCTCCTGCCTCAGCCTCCTGAGTAGCTGGGACTACAGGCGTGCACCACCACACCCAGATAATTTTTGTATTTTTAGTAGAGATGGGGTTTCACCATGTTGGCCAGGATGGTCTCAATCTCCTGACCTCATGATCCACCCACCTTGGCCCCCAAAAGTGTTGGGATTACAGGCGTGAGCCACTGCGCCCGGCTGAATAATATTATTTTCAACATGGAACCTGTATGATCAGATATGTATGTCAGAAAAATTGCTTGGAAAGAAAGACTGAATTAGTGGAGGGAGAGTAAATTATTGCAGTGGTTCAAACAAGAGAGTGAATGGATAAGGGCAGTGGAAGTGAGGGGTAAAGAGGGAAAAAGTGAGAAATATTTAGGGGGAGTACCCACAGGTCTTGGTGACCACTTACATGTAGAGAATAGGAAAGGAGTATTCTAGGATGACTCCCAGATTTGCACCTTGGACATCTGAATGAATGCCTGTGCCATCTACCAAGATACAGAATATAGGCTAGAGAGGTTCTGAAATAAATCCTTCCCATAACCTTTCTAAGGCCACCACCTGGTTGTCAAATCCAACAAACATGTCCTTCCTACCTTTTTTAAACATCTCTGTAATACAGACATCTCTTAGTACAGCCCTCCAGAAACTCTTTCCCTGGCTTTTCTGACACCACTTTTTCCTGGTTTCCCCTAGCTGTGCTTCTGCATCTCATACTTGGGTTGAGAAGACAGGTGCATCTCCCTTCAATTACAGGAAGATGTTCCTCTGCCTGTTCATTAAATGTTGATACTTCCAAGCACTCTACCCAATCCCCACTGATTTGGTACTCTTCAATCTCACTAGACCATCTTACTCATTCCTGTGGTTTCTATTTCCGCCCATACCCCATAAGGCTCCTAAATCTGTATCTATAGCCCTCACTTCTCTCCTGAGCTTTTGATTTCCTCATTTGTAGAACGAGCAAGTGGGAGGAGAGTCATTAAATATGAAGTTGAGCAGAGATGCCCAGTACAGAACACTGCTACATAGTGTTTCCATCATCCAGATATAACAGGTACTTTATACCTGTTATATGTACAGTCTTGAGATTCTTTAATGTCAAGACTATAGACAATAGTAAGATAATTTGGAAGTGAAGCGTTTTTAGTATTTGTTTACCTTTACTTTTTATAATTATTTTGTTTTTTTCACATATATAAATATGTTTATATTTACAGACATAATAAATTCATACAATAAAATGTTCAGCTCTTAAGTGTTCAGTTTGGTGAGTTTTGGCTATTCTATATACCTGTGCAACTACCACCTAAAACAAGATATAAACCATATCCATTACCCAAGAAAGTTCTCTCGTCTCCCTTTCCAGTCAATGTGCACCTCACTCAACTACTTTTAACTCCTAACTGCATGAATCAGTTTGCCTTCTAGAAATTCATATAAATGGAATCATAAAGTACCTAGCATAGTGTTTCTGACATTTATCCACACCGACTTATGTATCACAGTTCATTGTTTTTTAGGGCTTTAAAAATAACTTTTAAATTTTGAAATAGCTTTAACTATTTCAAAATAAAAGACTTAAGAAGTTGTGAAAATAGTACAGACAGTTACTGTATACCCTTCACCCAGCTGCCCCCAAGGACAGCATCTTAAATAACTATAGTATATTGTCAAAATCAGGAAACTGACATGGGTACAATACCACTAACTTATACTGATTTTACCAGTTTTTGCATGCATCCTTTGTGTGTGTATAGTTCTAAGAAATTGTGTTACATATGTGGATCCCTGTAACCATCAGGATACTCAACTATTCCATCACCATAAAATATCTCCTCACGTTACCTCCCAGTAGTCACACTCTCACCTCAACCCTAAATTCTGGTAACCACTGATCACCAAAACTATGTCACTTCAAGAATGTTATGTAAATAGAATCATACAATATGTAGCTGTTATGGACTGTTTGTGTCCACCTGCCACCCAAATTTCTATCATGAAGCCCTAACTTCCACTGTGATGACATTTGGAGATGGAGACTTTGGGAGGTAATTAGGGTTAGATGAGGTCATGAGGGTTGATACCCTTAAAAGAGGAGACAAAAAAAAGAGCTTCCTCTTTTTCTTTCCATCTGCACACACTGAGAAATAGGCATGTCTGCAGTGCCAGGAAGAAAGCCCTCATCAGGAACCAAATCAGCTGGCACCTTCATTTTGGACTTTCAGCCTTGAGAACTGTGAAAAATAAACTAATATTAAGCTACCCAGTCTGTGGTACTTTGTTATGGTAGCCTGAGCAGACCAGCAAAATAACCCTTTGAGATTGGCTTTGTTTTCTAAGCATCCATCCAAGTTGTATGTATCAATAGTTCATTCCTTTTTATTACTGAGTGGTATTCTATTGTATGGATATACCACAGTCTGTTTATCTACTTACCTGTTGAAAGCCATTTTGGTTGTTTCAGTTTGGGGTTATACAAATAAGGCTGCTACGAATATTTATGTATAGGTTTCTGTGTGAATGTAAGTTTACAATTCTTGGGGATAAAGACTCAGTATTGCAATTGCTAGGTTGTAACTGCGTTTAATAAGAAACTGCCTAATGATTTCCCAGAGTTTTACCTTTGTTTTTAATATAATGTATTTAATTGTAAATTTATATAATTTAATTTTTAGTAATGGCTGTGTTTACTAGCTCACAAAATTCCTTAAAGTATAGCAAATGGCTCCCAAGTCTGTACCGACCACATCCAGCTTACCACTGACAGTGTCCATTTCTAAAACTGATTATCTGTCAAACAGAGCCCAGTATAATTAGGCAGGCAAGTCTTTTACATTTATTCCTTGAAACAGATTTGACAAGAACATAAACATAAGTTGCAGTGCAAAGAGACTGATCAGCAACAGACTGCTGCAACAGTTTAGAAAGCAAGACAGAGAATGAAGAAGCAGCTTGACTGGGGAGTCAAATTTGCATTGCAGATGAATGAATCTCAATTTAGTGCAACCTAATATCAAAGCAATCAACATGTGACTAAGAACTTGTGCTAGGCTCCCCCATGCAGAGCAAGTGGCTGGTGCAGTAGTTGGGAGCCGTGGCCTCTGAGCCAGGCAGTCTCAACTTCGGTCTGGCCTTTACCACTCATTAGCTGTATGTCTTGGGCAGGTTACCTAATGTCTCCTCAGTTTCCTCTGTCTGTGAATTGGGGATAATATTCTTCCTGAAGCTGTGGTAAAGATTCAACAAACTAGTACATGCAAAACACTTAGAACCGTTTCTGGCACAAAGGAAATGTCCCCTAAGTGTTAGCAACTGTAAACTCTGTAAACAACCTTTAAAGACGGGGATTATTGTCTCTAGAGGGCCCAGTCAGGTTCTCTGCCTGATACACAACAGCTGCCTTATTAACAAAGTTGCCTCAGACAAAGTGATCACCCGTGGAATAAAAAGAGTGAGTAGGCTAAGCAGTGGGGTGGTTAAAATGAGCTTTTTTGGGAACTTGGCTTTTTTCTTTTCTTTTCTTTTCTTTTTGTAGATACCAGTTAGCGTGCTAGCTTGAGGGAGCAGAATCTCAGCAGATCTCCTTAAAGAAAAGCCAATGCTTTAAAGGAGATGTTATCTGGAAAACATGCAGACACTGAAAATCTAGTTTATGCAGTATGATCCCTGGTATTTGGCAAGGGCTATTCCAGAAGTCAAGATGGGAAAGGGAGAAGGAAGCAGTGAGGAAGGAAGAAATCACTGAACTTGAGTCTCATACTTAATTTGACCTTAAAGACTATGACCTTAAAGACAATGTCCAGTTAGATTGTCCTTCCACTTTAGACAAGTTTATCAAGTTCAATTCTTCTGGATAAAAAATATGTATCACTGGAAATGAGGTTTTATACTTGAATTCATTTCATTTTTAAGCATATGGCACTTAAATATTACTACAATATAGGTTACTAGGTGCCTAATAGTTATTATTAGCAGAGTTCCCTTGCTAGCAGTTTCTATGACAAACAACTCACACAGAGTTGCTTCAAAAGATGCCTCTGCAAGGGCTCGCTTCTGCAAGTGGAAATGGCTCCCTCTAGACAATGGAAAGAAGGCAAGAAGAAGGAGGCACCCACCAGCAGCCATGACTAGCTGAAATCAGACTGATTCCAAACACAAAACAACCCCCAAGTGCTCAACGGCCACCAGACTTCCTTGCTTATTGAAGCCCAAATTTTCCTGGAGCATAAGATGGTTCCTTGGGTCATCACGAAATGGATTCATTCCAATTCTTTATTTAGGGTGTCTCAACCTCGGCACTATTGACATTTTGGACTGGATAATTCTTCGTTGTTGAGGGCTGCCCTGTTCACTATAAAATGTTTAGCAGCATACCTAAGCTCTACCTACTAGATGCCCTTCCTCAGCCTCCCGCCCTGCCCTGCCAGGATGGGACATACAAGTGTCTCCAGACATGGCCAAATGTTGTGGGGCGGGGGCAGTGGCAAAAATCACCCCTAAGAGAACCACGTTGAGAACCACGGACTTAGATGACAAATAGTTTTTATTTACTTTTGCTCTAAGTAGTTCTTCTAACTTTGAATAAAATGTCTCTTACATCATGAACTAAATGAAATTTGACATGCCAAGGCTATTCCAGGAGGCTGAAAGTTTGGAGGCAGTAATTCTCTACTGGGGCTGTCTGCCTTAGGACAAAATTCACTTTATTTTGCTTTAGGCCCAGTTCTAAGGTTTCCCACTAGAAACAAATTGCTTTTTATACCACAGTTCTTATACAATTATACATTTGGTAGAATTTATAAGGTGACAATTGCCAAGAAATACAGCCTGAACACAGGTGCAGAGTAGAGAGAGACTGAAATTCTTCTTGGACCCAGCACTTGAGCAGGGATAATTTATGAGTAGTTCTGTTTGCCACACTAAAGCAACACCACCCCCAGAATTTCACAACTCTTGTTTCTCCTCAGTTGGCAAATGTTGTTTTTGGTTTGCTAGTTCTGTTTTATAAAGATGTAAAAGACTTGCAGTCTTTCATTTAAAAGACATCCAACTGAGAGAGCGCGAGTGGAAATCATCGTGAATATAATTACAATGTGGCAGTAATAAGCATTTATACTGCAAGTTTAATCATTTACAGCTGACACATTTAAGAGCCCATTTAGTTACCTTGAACAAAAGCAACAGTGTGGCATAGTGGTTCTCAATCCTGGCTGACTTTAGAATCACCTGGGGAGCTTTAAAAAGGAAAAAAAGAGTTCATGGGCACAGCTCCTGGAGACTTTGATTTATTCTGTCTGAGGCAGGGCTCAGGCCTCTGTGTTTAAACGCCCCAGATGATTCTAATTTGTAGTCAGACTTGAGAATGACCGGTAAAGCAGAAGGAGCATGCGTTTAGAGTGAAACGTTGGCTCTTCTCTTAGGGATCGGCAGAGACTTCACTCTCACAGGCTGGCACGGTGACTGCTCTCTCTGGTTCCAAAAGCAAGGTCAGCCTCATGAGGCACCTGCAACCTCGGCTTTTCCTGGGGACAGGATTAAGAATTTTTCCACTCATTCGTTTATTTGACGAAAACCACTGGGCACCTACTCAGTCCCAGGTATTGTACCAAGTACTGGGGATTTAAAGGTAAATAAGCACAGTCCCTGCACTCGAGAAGTTCCTAGTCTAGTAAGGGAGAGACAGACACCAGAACAAGCAATGGTATTACACGTGCTTCTACCCCAATTTTCAGTTGGAAAAATGTAGTTTCCTTATCCATGACATCTTTTTTTTTTGCCTGGCAACATCTCACTTTCCCTTCTTTTGGTGCTGGCTTTCTCTGAGAAACCATTTCCTCTGGTTCCATGTTTTCTTTTGTGAGTCTCAATTCAGAGGCCCCATCTTCCCGACCAGGGGCTGGCCGAGCAGAGTCACGTGCCCAGCAGAGCCGACTCCTTCCCGGGATCTGAGTGGTGAGAGTGTTCAGGGATGGCCTACGTTTACAGCCCACATCAACCATCGTGACAATGGAGCCTTGCTATCCCTTGGTTTTTCCTATCCAGATTTGTGACATTCTTCTGATTTCTGACATTTTGGCTTTTCCTTTGATTCTGCAAACTTCCTCCATCCTTCCATTCACTTCCCTTTGGCTAAGTCAGCTAGAGTTGGTTTCTGTTCCTTGCAATACAACTCAGGTAATATAACACAAAACTGAAAAATTCAAAGAAGGCTGAAAAAGTAGCAGCTTGGTTTAATCTGGACTTGGATTTGGGAGACCTGGTTTCCAGTCCTAGCTCCACTGTTTTTTGTTTTGTTTTGTTTTGTTTTTGAGACAGACACTTGCTCTGTCGCCCAGGCTGGAGTGCAGAGGCGCAATCTCGGCTCACTGCAGCCTCCGCCTCCCAGGTTCAAGCCATTCTCCTGCCTCAGTCTCCTAAGTAGCTAGGATCACAGGCACGCGCCACCACACCCGGCTAATTTTTGTATTTTTAGTAGAGACAGGGTTTCACCATGTTGGCCAGGATGGTCTCGATCTCCTGAACTCATGATCTGCCCGCCTTGGCCTCCCAAAGTGCTGGGATTACAGGCGTAAGCCATGGCGCCCAGCCTCCACTGTTTACTTAGCTGAATGATTCTGAGTCTAAGGAGGTCATCACTGAGCATCAGTTTGCTCTTCTTTAAAATATTCCATAAATATTTCTTGAACCCCTCATGTGACAGGTGAAGGCAATCACAATAGAGTTTCAAATATTCTGAAAGTGATATTTATGTCCCACAGAATTTTTTTAAAGAATAACATGAAATAAAGTTCATGAAAACATTTGATCAGATATGACGTATTGTCTAAATAAAGCCTTTCTTTCTGGGTATCTTAAAAATTACTTATGGCCCCCACCCAGGGATAATCTCTTGCTATTTTCACAGATAATTTACATGTTGGATCTAATGTGGTTATCTTGTTGCTACTTACTTAGTACAGATAATCATTCCTAAGGTTCTCCTGGCTATATTTAAAATAGGCAATTATATAAAATCTCCTCTTAGGCAAAATAAAATATTTTCCTGGAGCCAATTCAGAAATCTAGAGTACTTCTCTGTATTAATTTTCTAATAATTCTTATATAATCATGTGTACACAGAAATCCAACATTTTGAGGCTCTTATTTTGATATTAGGGCACAGGGGCTGACTTTTGGCAGAGTGACTTGGGGACATAATTAACAGCTGACATACACTCTGCTTCTGGGACTCTTGATTTCTCTTGCTAAGCAATAATGACCTATATGCAAAGCTGGGTTTGCTCTATTCTTAAATCTCTGAAAATATCCAAGTCAATAGAAAAGTTGCAAATGGATTACAGGTCACTAAGCCTGGGTTTTAAAAAGAGAAGCAAGCCAGGTGCAGTGGCTCATGCCTGTAATCCCAGCAAGTTGAGAGGCAGGAAGAAGCCAGTAGTTAGAGACCAGCCTGAGCAACACAGACCCCCGTCTCTACAAAAAATGTTTTAAAAATTAGCCAGGCGTGGTGGCACATGCCTGTAGTCCTAGCTACTTGGGAAGCTGAGACAGGAGAATCCCTTGAGTCCAAGAATTGGAGGCTAGAGTAAGTTATCATCATGCCACTGCACCCCAGCCTGGGCAATAGAGTGAGACTCTGTCTCTTAAAGACAAACAGGGGGGAAAAAAAAGAAGGAAAGAAAAAAAACAGAAAAAAAATAGGCAAATAATTTGAGATGAAGAAAATCATAATTCACCCTATTAGAGAATTTGCTCAAGATTCCAAGCTATCTTGATGAAAGATATGGGTGCATTTGTACATGTGCTTACATACACAGGTACACAAATGAAAGCAACCACTAAGTCTCAGAGAAATGCTGCTGTGGACAGTTGCCACAGTTGAGGTTTCAGATCCAGGTTCGATGTAGGGTTCTACTTCACTTTACTCCCTCCCCTTTGAAGCTAAAACAACATAGCCCTTGGAGTCATAGAGTTTTTGTTATAGAACAAAACTTAAAAGTTATCTGACTAGATAACTGGCTATCCAGATGACTAAATAATCTGCCAGATGATGTGAGAGATCCCTCTGCAATATCCCCCACAGTTGATATCTTGTTTGAAGAGAGGCAGGGTTGCACAGTATCTAAATGCACACGCTTTGAGTCAGAGACACATCTGGGTTACCCAGGCTCTACCCCTTACTAGTAGTCATCTAGACTAAGTACCTTAACCTCACTTTCCTCAGTTGTATTAGGGGGTGATAACAGTACCAACCTCATAGGGCTAGTGTGATGCTTGCATAGACTACTAAAGTGGTACAGTAAGGACTTAGCATGTAGTAAGTGCTCATACAAAATGTTAGCTAGCACTGACTACTGCTATAATAGGCCCATTCCAAAGTTAAAACAGCTCCAACTATCAGGAAGGTCAAAACCAGCTGTCTGCTTCCTCCCTCTCATGAATCCTAGTCTGCCCTACAGAATTTCACCAGTCTCTGAGTTGCTGTCAACAGGGAGGGTGGATGGGGCCATGGCCCACCTGAGTCTCCTTGTTACCAAGCAGAACATGCCCAGCTTCCTCGACGGTTCCTCAGGTGGCCTCCATGATCAATGTGCTCTCCCCTGGATGTGCTCCTGCCTGCCAGGGCCCCTTTAAATGTGGCGCCTGTTTTGTCTTTTTTATATAAGGCCATTGTGTTGATTATCTCGGCAGAAACCACCTAACTCAGCCTTAAATAGTGGTTAATTAAACCCCAGAGGCTGGTGTCAAGAGTTTGCCAATGAGCAGTTAGCCAGCCTCTTGCAGCTGTGCAACCTCTGGCATCTCAGTTTCCTTGCCTGTAAGATAAAGGGAATAACAGTACCTACTTCACTGGGTAACTGGTAATTGTGAAGATTTGATGAGCTAAGATTTCTTCTAATCCTATTTTTCCTTGATCCCCCTCCAGTCTGGTGTGTGTGGGTTTTTTTTTTTTTTTTTTTTTCCGAGACGGAGTCTTGCTCAGCCCCCCAGGCTGGAGTGCAATGATGCGACCTTGGCTCACTGCAACCACCATCTCCTGGGTTCAAGCGATTCTCCCATCTCAACCTCCCGAGCAGCTGGGATTACAGGCACCTGCCATCATCCCGGCTAATTTTTAGATTTTAGTAGAGAAGGGGTTTCAGCATGTTGGCCAGGCTGGTCTTGAACTCCTGATCTCAGGTGATGTGCCTGCCTCGGCCTCCCAAAGTGCTAGGATTACAGGTGTGAGCCACTGTGCCCTGCCCAGTCTGGCTTTAATGCACACAAATCCACTGAAACCACTCTCATCAAGGTTACTGACCATCATCAAACAGTCAAATCCAATGGTCAAGTTGGCCTGTGTCTTTCTTGACCACTTAGCAATGCTTGTCAAATCCAAACATGCCTTCCTTCTCCAAATACCTTCTTCACGTATCTTACAGGACACCCGCCTCTCCTGACTGTCACACTACCTCTCTGGCTACTCCCTCATAGTCTCCATTGTTAGACCCTCCTCCTCATCTCAACTTCAGCTTCTAGCTGCTGGAGTGCCCCACGTCAGTTTCTTTCAGAGTCCACACTCACTCCCCCTAGGTAGTCTCACCCAGTGTAATATAATGGACAGGAACATGGACTATGGAGCCAAGCTGCCTTCCTAGGTGAGCTCCTATACTTTTAAGTGTGTTACATAGGCCAGTGACTTAACCTCACAGTGCCTCAGTTTCCGCACCCATAAAATGGGGGGTAACTTCATATAGTTGTTGCAAGGATTAAATTAGTTTGTACAGGTAAAGTACTTAGAGTGTGATAAGGATTTTCTAAGTGTTAACTAGTACCCAGTTCCATGGCTTTATATATCATACATATACTGATGATTCCCAAATACATATACAGTTTCCATTATTCCTGTAAACTCATAATTCATATCTAAATGCCTACCTAACATCTCCACATTGATGTCAAATGAAATCTCAAAAGTTTACATCACCAAACTGAACTCTTGATTCCATGTCATCTCCCAACCTTCTTTCTCCTGGTCTCACCAGTTTCACTCAAACTGTATGACCATTCACCCGGTTGTACGAGGCCAAAAACCTTAGAGTCACCCTCAACTCTTTTCTCCCTTATCCAATCTTCAGCAAATCTGATTACTCCACTTTCAAAATGTATCCAGAATCTGGTCTCTTCTCACTCCTTCCACCATTACCATCTGGAACAAGCCACCATCATTTCTTGCCTGAGCAACTGTAATACCACCTAATTGGTACCTCTGTTTCCCTCTTTGTTCCCACATGACCTATTCTGTAGCCAGGAACAAGAATATTCTTCAAAAATGAAAATCAGATGTTGCTCCCCTGATTAAAACTCTCTGATGAGTTTCCACCGCACATGGAATGAAATCCAAACTCCTCTCATTTACTAACAATGCTCTATGTGACCTGCCTTTATCTCCTTTTCAGCCTCATCTCTTACCACTCTCCCCTTACCAACTCTACTCCCGTCACAATGTCTGCCCTGTGTTTGTCAAACTCATAAGCAGTTTCTGCTTCAGTGCCTTTGTACCTGCAGTCCCTCAGGCTAGAACGTTCTTTTCCCCATCTTTACATGCCCCTTCCTCATTTCTTTGCAAACTTTACTCAAATGTTACTTACAGAGACCTTCCCAGTCCATCACATCTAAAAAACAATGCTGTCCTCACTTCTGACCCATTACTGTCCCTTTATCCTATTTTTCTTCATAGCACTTAATAATACACCTGACAATATATGTTTATTTATTTGTCATGCCTACTAGAATGTCAGCTCCTTGGGGACGGCAACTGTATTCCATTCTGTTCGCTGCAGTATCCACTGCACCTAAGCAGTGTCTGAAACACAGGAGGCACTCAATAAATATATCTTGAATGAATGAAGAAACGAATAGTGCTTAGCACAGTTCCTGGACAGAATAAACAACTGTAAGTTTGTGATGTCAATTTTGGAAGGTAAAAAAATGTTTAATAGAAAGGCCAAAATTCTTTAGTGATACTATATATGAAGTCAAAAATGAAAACATCACCTAATTTTCATTTTAACCTTTAACATTTTAAATTTTAATTAATTTAAATTAAATTAAATTTTATTTATTTATTAATTTAATTTAATTTAATTTAATTTAATTTAAATTTTAACATTTAAAATCATCATTTTAACCTAATTTCAATATAAATACACATTATATTATACTCACTTGGAGTTTCTTCCAAAATTTCCTGGAACTTGGTTCTCTCATATTCCACCAACTGGCGTTGAAGGTGCGGTCTGAGACTCATAATTGTAAAATTGGCCATGTCCATTTGCATGAGGTCCAGGACATGGAATATTTGTCTAAAAATTTTAGAATTAAAATAGAGAGATGATTAAGAAGTGAAGCTGAAATTCACTAACAATGATCTATGTTCCAGGCTGAAAACAATAAACATCCCCAAAATGGTTTTAAAGTTCCAATTGCCATTTGGTAGGGTCATGTTTCATAGAAGCTCATACACGTGTACTGCAAATGTGTCCTTCCACAGATCTCAAGAGTAATTACTTGAAGCATAAACAATCTTAATGATATAAGAAAAATTCAAGAAGGAATTTTCATTTGAAAACCCCTGAAATTTTAAAGAGCCAGGACACAGGGTATATGGCCTCTATTCCTTAGGGAATAAGAAAAATTAAAAAAAGAAAGGACAAGGCAGTGAGGCACTGAGGAAAAAACACTTCCTTTTAGAGTTAGGCAGCCTCATGCCCAAACCCAGCTTTGCAACTGGCCAGATTTGTGGGCATATACACAAGTAAATCAGTCTCTCTGAGCCTCAGTTTCCTCATCTGTGAAAGAGGACAACCTCAACCTTGTAGAGATGTTGTGAACAGTCAATGAGATAACAATTGTAAAGTGCAGGGGGCAGTGGCACCCAGTGGGCGCTCAACAAATGACCATGATGAACATCACAGATTTGAGATCTTACTAGGGTAATACGACAACTAGAAGCAAGGATCCTATAACTGAGGAATCACAATCTGCCAGAGCCGAGCACGACTCTAAGGATACTTAACACCCATTTGACAGAGAGTGTCACTTTGAGAGTCTATTAACCTGCCCAAGATTGCAAAGTAAATTACCCACTACATGCAGACCAGTCTTTCTCCTACCTTTCCAAAACATTTACATAAAACTCAATTCTCAATGTGGCCACCATACACAAAAAAGAAAACTCTGCTTCAATGGCAAAAAGTGTTGCAGACTCTTCTTCCCTCTTGGATCACAAGGAAGTTATCGTCTATGTAGCCAGATGAGATCCTCGTGACATAATATGCACCCCACTTCCTTAGAGAAGCTCCAGAAGATGTGGCTGGCTGACCACTAAAGGCCCAATCTCCCTCCCTGCAGTGCAAATTTGTGGCTGTGAAAAGTATTTCCAGGCTGTAACTACCTTTCTCAACTCCCCTTTCAATCTAGGTGGGATCATGTGACTAGTCATGGTCAAAGAGAATGTGTCACTTCTGGGCTGAGGTGGCTATATATTGCATATGTCTTCCCCATGGTCTCTTTCCCATTTGCCAGCTGAATGGAGAGGACTGTAAGGACCTGAGCAAGGGTAGAGCCAAGCACAGGAGGAGGCTGGGTCCCTGGATGACACGTGGAGGGTTGTCTGATCAAGGACCCCTGAATTGGACTGTGACATGAGAAACAAACTTTTACTGGATAAACCACTGAGAATTTAGGGTTTATGTGTTATAGCAGCTAGTGACCCTAACTAATAAAGAAGCCTTGACTAAATTAGGTCCCTTGTCGGAGGCTCTATTAAGACCCTCTACTTCCCCTTCCACTTATCACAATTGTAATTAATTGTTCAAGATCTCTCTGCCCATTAGACTCCCTGGAGTCAGGGATTATATCTGTCTTTTTCATCATTGCATCTTCAGGGCCCACTATGTGCCAACTAACAACCTTGTCAGATCATTCTATGTGAAAACTCTCTGCATACAGTAAATAATTGACATGGTCTCTGCTTATATGGTTTTCTTCTAGGGTCAGTAATTTATTTGGGGTACTAGTTGTTATTCTGTGTTCCCTGATGCCCAACTTCCCTTCTGAATGAACTCAAAGATACTCTAGGAAATGCAAACAGCAAAAGTGCTAACCTCAGCACCTCCACGATGTTGCCAGTAGCCTTTAACTCTCTGATATCATTATCTCGCACGGGAGCACACAGCTTTCCCATCGTACTGATGACATAGTTGGCCAGGCCTTGGATGTCAACAGCACTGTGCTCAGCCTGCTGCCTAATGAGGTCTGTGTCCAAAACTTCACAGATTTGGTTGCGAAGCCGGTTGCCACCGGGAGTGAGAAAAGAGAGAAGAATCTACAGGGAAAGAAATAAAAATTAACAGCATCATGATGTGAATAAAAGCTGTCACTTTTCACCTCAGTGTCTAGATGACCAAGCTCTTTGCCCACATTTTAGTGCCTCAGATGCCACAGAAGTTGGCACTGACTGCATGGGTGGATCAGAGGAGCATTCCAGTGTCTCAACCCTAAATAGCAAGGTCTATCTTCTGAATTAAAGGGCCCCCACCATGGGAAACTCCTGCTCCTGTCAGAATAAAAACAGCTAGCAAGGAAGCAAGATTACTGAAAGCACAGTAAGTCCTTACTTAATATTGCTGACAGGTTCCTGGAAATTGCAACTTTAAGTGAAATGATATATAATGAAACCAATTTTAAGATAGGCTAATTGATATAAACAACGGTTAAGTTTCTATGGCATATTTCTGGTCACAAAAAAAATCACCAAACTTCTAAATAAAGACCCCAAACACTTCTAATATTAAACACTGAGATAAATGTGAGCTATACATACAAGAAAAATTAATAAAAACAAGATAATGATTGACCCAATTTTTGGTGAATCAGTGAGTGACAGCTGCCATGGTGGTAGGTTAAACTGGGGAAGAAATGTTTGCAAACAAAAATTCTTAAGGAACACCTCCTACCACCACACAGTTCAAAAATAAATAATAATTATGGCAGGCTCACTGAGCACTTTCACGGCACATTGTTTATTGTTGTGCATCTGTATGACTATCGAAGACTTTATGAATTTTTATGTTACAATAATTTGTATTCATTCGTTTTCCAGCTTGCTTACTCTAGTTCAGGGTTGCAAGTGGCAGGAGCCTACCATGGCAGCTCAGGGCACAAGGCAGGAACCAGCCCTGGACAGGATGCCATTCCACTGCAGGATGCACTCACTCACATACCCACACTCACTCAGACTGAGACCATTTAGACTTGTCAATGAACTTAACATGCACATCTTTGGGATGTGGGAGGAAACCAGAGTACCCAAAGAAAAGCTATGCAGACATGAGGAGATCATACAAACTCCACACAGATGGCAGCCCCAGCTAGGAATCTATCTTTTTTCTTTCTTTTCTTTTCTTTTTTTTTTGAGATGGAGTCTCGCTCTGTCACCAGGCCGGAGTGCAGTGGTGTGATCTTGGCTCACTGCAATCTCCGCCTCCCAGGTTCAAGAGATTCTCCTGCCCCAGCCTCCTGAGTAGCTGGGATTACAGGGGTGCACCACCACATCCAGCTAATTTTTGTATTTTTAGTTACAGATGGGGTCACCATGTTGGCCAGGATGGTCTCTATCCCCCGACCTTGTGATCCGCCCACCTGGGCCTCCCAAAGTTCTGGGATTACAGGCATGAGCCGCCGCGCCCAGCTGGAATCTATCTTTTTTCTCATCAACATTATAAAGAAAAAGTGTTGAACAAATCAATATGATGCGAGGATCTGCTGCATTTCAAAACGTCTACAGGTAAAAGTTCAGGGAAGAAAGAACAAGGTGCAGATCATGGCTCCAAAAGAACTCTTTAAAAAAGGATAGATGAAAATATCCCATGGGGTCGATTAAGTATATTTTACATATAGAATATTTATTATATACAAGCAGCCTATTTATTGATTATTCAGTTACAGAGGACACTGTGCTTATCCATACAGTACATGCTTAAGAGCTTGCGCTCTGAGCCAGTATGGCTCAGTTCAAGTCCCTCTCTACCCCACAAAGTTGTGTGACCCTGGATGAGTCAGAAAACTTGGATTTTTAATAAATAAGAATAACAGGAGCAACTACTGTACAGTGTTCTGATAAGAAGAAATGAACAATCTAGTGCTTGGAATAGAGCAAGCCCTTGTAAATGTTAGCTAACATTACAACTGTCACCTCATTTAGTTCTTATGACTACCCTGTAAGTACTCAGGAAAGAGAGACTTAAAGAGAGAACCCGTCACTAAACCAGAGTCTCTGCGCTTTAGCATCACCCTAAGCTGTGTCCATGGCACTATTTTTCCAGCCTTCACGCTACTCCAGGAGGTGCAGGGGGAAACTCTGCCAGTGAACTTGATCCTTTTTTGAAAAAGAGTGGCCAATACTAAAGAACATAAAACAATCTTTGGGGGGAAAAAACTGCTATAGTTTCAATATTTGTGTTTTCCTCTGTCCCCAAATTCATATGTTGAAACCCAATCCCCAATGGAATGGTATTAGAAGGTGGGGCCTTTGGGAGGTGATTAAGTCATAAGGGTGAGGTCCACATGAATGGAACTGTACTGTTATAAAAGAGACCCTAGGCTGGGCGCGGTGGCTCACGCCTGTAATCCCAGCACTCTGGGAGGCCAAGGTGGGCGAATCATGAGGTCAGGAGATCGAGACCATCCTGGCTAACAAGGTGAAACCCCGTCTCTACTAAAAATACAAAAAATTAGCTGGGCGCGGTGGCGGGCGCCTGTAGTCCCAGCTACTCGGGAGGCTGAGGCAGGAGAATGGCGTGAACCCGGGAAGCGGAGCTTGCAGTGAGCCGAGATTGCGCCACTGCAGTCCGCAGTCCGGCCTGGGCGACAGAGTGAGACTCCGTCTCAAAAAAAATAAAAAAAAAAAAAAAAATAAAATAAAATACAAAAAATTAGCCAGGCATGGTGGCATGAGCCTGTAGTCCCAGATACTTGGGAGGCTGAGGCAGGAGAATTACTTGAACCCGGGAGGCAGAGGTTGCAGTGAGCCGAGATTGTGCCACCGCACTCCAGCCTAGGCAACAGAGCGAGACTCCGTCTCAAAACAAAACAACAAAAAGACCCTAAAGAGCTTCTCTGCCTTTTCTGCCACGTGAAGACACAGCAAGAAGGCACCATCTATGAATCAGGGAGTGAGCCCTCACCAGATGCCGAATCTGGTGGTGCTTTGATTTTGGACTTCCCAGCCTCCAGTACTGTGAGAAGTAAATTTCTATTGTTTATAAGCCACCCAGGCTATGCCAGTCTGTTATAGCAGCCCACCTGGAGTAAGACGCTAACTGACACAGACAACAAAGCAACTTGCCTCTCTGATTTCTTCAAACAGTTTGATGGCATGTTCAAACTCAGGAGGGTCAGCATTTAGTTCTGAATCCAAGACGTCCCAGAAGGCCTGGTGAACAATGTGCTTCACTCGACCAGCCAAACTATGGCAATAAAATGAATTGTTTTTTAAAATAAGCATAACTTTTTCCTGATTATAAAAGAAACATCCTCATTGTAGAAATCTTATAAAATGTAAAAAAAACACAGAATAATTGTCCTTAATCCATTAATCTTTTAATATTTTTCTTGTTGAATGCATTATTTTAACATAGCTAAGAGCATATATACAAAATATATACTTTTCATTTAACATTCTGTCTTGTTTCCCCTAGACCTTGAAAATGCTTTCAATAACTTCATGAAATTCTGTCCTAAAGAGATTTCATAATTTATGTAGCTACCCTTCTATATAGATCTTTAGACTTGTTCTACATTTTTGGGATGAGATGGCAAAGTTGCTCTTCCTCACCAGCTGAAATTTCATGGCATGGAATAGAACAGATTGGCCCCAAGGGCACATGCATTTGAATGCCTGCCAACTTCAGACTTAGGTGTCCCATTTAAAGTTAGCCAGACCAAACTGGTGAAATAGAAGCCTTCCTAGGAAGAGCTCACAATAGAATAATTGGCCACCTTGCTTCACCCCTTATGTCAATCCCTTAAAATAGGTGCACGTTAAAATACACATTCCTACCTAACTTCTCTACCATTTAGCAATAGTTTTTAGAAAACCACATGTCCCTCCACTGTAATTACTGACGAGGCTCTTTCCCCACAGAGCTATATACCTTTCCTAAGCAGAGGCCATAAGTCCTCCAGGTAGGTACTTACCATTGTGCCTAGTACAGTGCCTGATATATAGTGACTGCTTAACAAATGCATGCATGGTGAATGAATTCATAATTTGATAAGTATATCTCTTTTTTTCTGAGACAGAGTCTCACTCTGTCGCCCAGGCTGCAGTGCAGTGGCGCAGTCTCAGCTTACTGCGGCCTCCGCCTCCCAGGTTCAAGTGATTCTCATGCCTCAGCCTCCCAAGTAGCTGGGATTACAGGCATGCACTGCCACACCCAGCTAATTTTTGTACTTTTAGTAGAGACAGGGTTTCACCACGTCGGGCAGGCTGGTCTTAAACTCCTGACCTCAGGTGATCTGCTCACCTCAGCCTCCCAAAGTGCTGGGATTACAGGTGTGAGCCACTGCGCCCGGCTAAGACTTTATCTTTAAACAAAGGCAATGTGTCCTAACTCTGTACTTTGTTTCCCTTGCTCACATTTTCTAGCCATGGCAGAAACTGAAGGGAAGAGAGATTAATATTTTCCATAGTATCAAAGTATTTATGTGCAAGGCACTTTTATGCTAGTGAGTATGCATTTGAAGTGAGTAGTGTAGCCCCCTTCTTATTCTTGGGAAGTGTGAGGTTCAGGTATGGTCTCAGCAAAGCCAGGATTCAAACCCCACAGTCTGTCTGAGCCTAAAATGCCTTCACTATGGCCTGTACTCGCCACTTTTGAATTTAAAGTACAGATATGCCCTGTCTTTTGCTTTACCTCATAAAAAATACAAATTTTAACTTTAAAACAAGACTCCATCTCAAAAAATTCATTTGTATTAGTCAATAAATGTTTATTAAACATCCAATATGTGTAGGGCCCTGTTTTAGGAACTGGGAATACTACAGTGAAAAGAAAGTCTCTGACCTCAAAAAGCTTATATGTTAGCAGGGACAAAAAGGCAAAAAATACATTAAAAATGAATACGACAATTTCAGACCTATGAGAAAGAATAAGACAATGTGGTACACAGTTACAGAGAGGGTGCTGATTTCACTGGATGGTGGGAAAAAGCCTCTTTAAGTCAGTGACCTTTGTGTTCAGACTCAGAAGGGGAGAGCAAAGAGCCATGTGAAGGTCTGGGAAAAGAACATTCAAAAAGAAGAAGTCAGAGGAACAAAGTTTATGAGACAAGATCCAGATTGGTGAACCCTGAGGTAAGGAAGGAAGCCAGTGTGGCTGAAGCACAGCAAGCAGGAGGGACAGCACTGAGATGGGGTCAGGGGAGTGGGGCCATCCAGGCCATAGGAAAATGCTTAGATTTTTGGTCTCTGAGTAAGTGAAAACCATTGAAGAGTTTTTGGCAAAGAAATCATCTAATATAGCTCATTCTTTAAAAACATCATTAAGGCTACTGGATATGGAAGATGAACTGTTGGGGGCTAAGAAAGGAGACACGGCAACCAGTTAGGACTGAAAGGGTCCAGGCCACAGATGACGGTGGCCTAGCCTAGGGCTGTAGCAGTAGAGCTGGTATCAAGGGTCATGGCAAAATGCAAGTTACCAAAGGAAACCAAACAGATACACCCACGATACATGGCAAGCTTAAAAAATGTTAATATTAAATGAACAACATCCCCAAGAGGACTATGATCCACATTTTAAAGAAGAAGAGTTATTACATTGACTTCCTTTACTTTTCCTGCTTTAAAACAAATGAAAAAGTTCTGAATGGGATCAAATATTCTAAGTTGTCTTAACTGATAGAATGCCTCAGGATTTATAATTGGTACTGTAAGGTTGAAAATTCAATCCACGAACCAACTTTGCTTCTAAAGACGACTGATCTGTAATAATAGTCTCAAGCCTCTTCTCTTTGTCTCAGGAAACCTGTGAGCCACTGACTCCAGAAAGGCTGAAGTAGGATCCAAAGGGGTGGCTCCAACTAGAGGTCGGAGGGCGAGGTTAACCAGGAAGTGCCTCTTGCAGCTGTGATTCCTACCTCCAGACATTTCTGGATTGCCTGCTTTTAGCACTTTGACAGTTCAGGTGCATTTATTTATTCTTCAGAACCTGAGTATCAGTTTTCCATAAATCAATGTGCAAATATGTCTTGAGCCTGTACTGTATGTCAGGCACTATGCTAGACAATAGGGATACAGCAACAAACAATACAGACATAGCTCCTCCATAAATAGTGCATTTCAATCAAGTGGGGAAGATGGACATCAAACATAAAATTATAAGACCTCTTAACAAAAAGGAGGCAGCAAGGGCTACAGGTGTCTGTAGCAAAGGGATTAATTGTAGTCTAGGGGGTTCACCAATGTCAGAAAAAGCTTCCCTCAGGAAGTGACATATAAACTGAGTTCTAAAGATTATGGGTAATATGTATCCTAGGGGAATTTTTTTGTTTGTTTGTTTTTGTTTTTGTTTTTTGAGACGGAGTACTCTGTTGCGCAGGCTGTAGTGCAGTGGTGCGATCTCGGCTCACTGAAACCTCCACCTCCTGGGTTCACGCAATTCTCCTGCCTCAGCCTCCCAAGTAGCTGGGATTACACGCGCCCCACCACCATGGCCGGCTAATTTTTGTGTTTTTAGTAGAGGTGAGGTTTCACCACGTTGGCCGGGCTGGTCACAAACAGGAATTTTTTTTTTTTTTTTTTGAGACAGGGTCTTGCTCTGTCACCCAGGCTGGAGTGTAGTGGCATGATGAGAGCTCACTGCAGTCCCTGAACTCCTGGGCTCAAATGATCTTCTTGACTCAGCCTCCCCGGTACCTGTAATTACAGGCTCATGCCACCATGCTGGATAATATTTTTATTTTTATTTTTTACAGAGATGGGGTCTTGCTTTGCTGCCCAGGCCAGTCTCAAACTCCTGGCTTCAAGGAATCCTCCCGCCTCCACCTCCCAAAGTGATGGGGTTACAGGTGTGAGCTATCACACCCAGCGAGAATTTTTTTAAAACAAGTATAAGACCTTGTTAGAGAACTAAATGTTTACCCCTGAGGATATTATACAAGAACTTCCAGGAATCAGTGTAAATATGTGTCTATCTCTCTCTCTGTCTCTCTCTCTCTCTCTCTCTCTCTCACACACACACACACACACACACACACACACACACACACACAGAATCTTCAGCAGTTTATATACAACAAATGCCCCCAGGTTACCTCTTTTCTGGGAGAGCCTCTTGTTTCAATTGAAAGTTCTCATTTACAGCAATCTCATGAGCAAGAGTCAAGTTTGATAAGTTCCTTGCTGTAGCCATCACTTCATCAAATGTTACAACCCTTGGAGGGCTTGTTGCTGAAAGAAAAACAAAAGCCAGTTAATGTTGCAGAAGAAAAGTTGTCATCCAACGAAGCCTCCTGATGCAGATAAGGTTTAATTTATCAGAATGTATATACTTCAGAGTTTTATAGGTCAGGAGACTATATATTAAAATAGGTGAATTCCCTCAGTTAATAAAGGCTTCAAAAATTTAAGAACTCCTTCAATAGCTTCAGTTACCATATTTGATAACATTGTCTCAAATATTTATGAGACCAACTTATTAATATAGGCCCATTATAAGTTACTTTTAAAAATTAAATTACCAGGCCAGGCGCAGTGGCTCACGCCTGTAATCCCAACACTTTGGGAGGCCGAGGCAGGTAGATCATGAGGTCAGGAGATCAAGACCATCCTGGTTAACACGGTGAAACCCCGTCTCTACTAAAAATACAAAAAAATTAGCCGGGCATGGTGGCGGGCACCTGTAGTCCCAGCTACTCGGAAGGCTGAGGCAGGAGAATGGCGTGAACCCAGGAGGAGGAGCTTGCAGTGAGCCAAGATCGTGCCACTGCACTCCAGCCTGGACGACAGGGTGAGACTCGTCTCAAAAAAAAAAAAAAAAAAAATTAAATTACCTCATTTTTAGTGCCCATTGAAATCTGCACTTATTATATGTATTATATAGGAAATTGATAAAATTATTTTTATTCTGTAATTCAGAAGTCTCATTAAGTAAACTCAATATGAAATAACTGATTTTTAAAACCGTAATATTTATTTATTTATTTATTTATTTATTTATTTATTTTTTTGAGATGGAGTCTCACTCTGTTGCCAGGCTGGAGTGCAGTGGTGCAATCTCAGCTCACTGCAACCTCCACCTCCTGGGGTCAAGAGATTCTCCTGCCTCAGCCTCTCGAGTAGCTGGATTACAGGCACATGTCACCATACCAGGCTAATTTTTGTATTTTTATTAGAGACGGTGTTTCGCCATGTTGGCCAGGCTGGTCTCGAACTCCTGACCTCAGATGATCTGCCTGCCTTGGCCAAAGTGCTGGGATTACAGGTGTAAGCCACCGCACCCAGCCAAAAACTGTAATTTTTAAATGTATAGGCAGTATAGTATAAACACTTAGGTTCACTCTGAGTTTTGCCAATTGGTATTTATCATTGGATTTCACTGAGGCATAGCCTTCCTCCTCACAGGGTTGGCCTGAGGTGACCGAATGAGATAATTTAAGTAAAGAAGAAGATAGTAAGAACTCAATAAATTTACATAATTAAAAGTAAAATAGAATAAATCTGAGAAGCCAGATATTTTACTTCTCAGTAGGAAATAGTAAATGAAGAATCTGAGTTATTTCTAAAGATTATACTAAGAAACTATTCTAATAAATCATGTCTTTTAAAAATCACTGTTGGAAATCTTAGCTTCTTTTAATTAAAATCATGTGTCAAACAACAGCAGTGACAGGTAATACTTTACTACCTAATTTATTTTTTTTTCCCAAGACAGAGTCTTGCTCTGTCTCCCAGGCTGGAGTGCAGTGGTGCAATCTTGACTCACTACAACCTCCACCTCCCAGGTTCAAGCGATTCTCCTGCCTCAGCCTCCCAAGTAGCTGGGACTACAGGTGCATGCCACCATGCTCAGCTAATTTTTGTATTTTTAGTAGAGATGGGGTTTCACCATGTTGGCCAGGTGGTCTTGAACTCCTGACCTCAGGTGATTTGCCTGCCTCAGCCTCTCAAAGTGCTGGGATTACAGGTGTGAGCCACTGCGCCTGGCTACCTAATTTTTAGGAGAAGATGAGGAGGAGGATCAGGGAAAGAGGAGGAAGAAGAGAAAGGTGATACACAGAATTGGTAAAACCCTTCTTCAGGATGCCTAGGTACCCTGGTGTCAGATGCAACAACACCACATACAGTATAAAGAGTGAGAAAAGGCACAGAAACCTGGGGTGGCTGCTGTTAATTTCTTTTGCCAGGTCTGACTCAAGATTCTCCTTAAAAATGTCTATATACTTTGGTCCAATAATCCAGTGATATCCAAAAGTCTTTCCAGAAAGGCTTCATGCAGTAAGATGTTCATAAAGCACTATTTATAACAGCAAAAAAAAAAAAAAAAAAAAATGGAAACTAAATGTCCAGTGATTAATCAATGGTTAATTTTACCGTACATTCACTTGGTAAAGTAATAAGTATTCATAAAACCAATGTTTCAAAAACATGTAATCATGAGTAAATGTTTTAGTTATAATACTAAGCAAGAAGAGTCCACACACATATACACACATATGTCTATGTGAAGGATAAAGATACGGCAAAGCACTGCCAGCTGTCGTCTTTGAGTGATATCATAGGCAATGTTTTCTTTTCTCTATTCTTATGTATCTTCTAAGTTTTAAAAAATGAGAATGTAAAAATTTAAAATACAAATGAAGCAATTTGTAAGAAGTGGACAGTTCAGCATATTAAACATTAGTTGCTTTTTCCTGCATTTGCTTTGCCAGTTAAAGCTGTTATATTTACTAAATAAAGTGCCAATTAAAAAAAAAAAGGCAAACACATCTGCTTTACCCATCTCTAGTTTCTACATGCAAAAACGGGAAAAAGATATCTCCTTTTGCTGTGGCCTCTCTTTTAACTCTTTCTCACACCCCTAATGTAGTAATTCTCCTTGTGGGTACCTTCCTGGGGTGATTTGCACAATATTTTTTTGAAATCAACATGAAACCCTTTAGATTATTTCACTTCCTTCCTGACCTTTCAATGAAGGCCAGTTTCCTTCAATGTAAATCAGGAATAATCAGAAAAGACCAATTTGAATTTATCCTTCAGTGGAGATCTAAGAAGTAATCTCAAGGAATGGCTTTCTGCTGTTTGGGAGAAAAGACAGATGGGGTTGAAGTCCTGACTTATCATCAGACCGAAACAGATCGGAAGCAGTGATCAAAATAAAAATCAGCAGGTTGTAAACTTTAGTGGCTATTTCTGAGAATGTGTCCCGGAAAGCTGCAGTGCCTCTGCAGTGCTATTCTGGTGCATCTAGAAAGGAGGGGAAGTCTGTTGCTCTCAGGCGTTTCTGAGTTTTCAAATCCAACACATATCTAGAAGTACCCCTGCCACCCACAACCCCTGCTCCCCCATCGGCTCACAAGCAGGAGAGCTGGATTTGCTGGAGGAGTCACTTGCAAAGCTCTGCCTGGAGCATTCATAGTCACTGAGCGAAGCCATGCTTTCGGAAAACCGGGAAGAATCAGAATCGCTTGGCTGGTCCTCTCCCACACACTGCTTCTCGCCATTGAAGGGCATTTTGCGTCACTTAAGTGTGGGTAAAAAGGTAGCACCTGCACAGACAAACAGACCCTGCGTCAATGTTCTGTGGTACTTCCACAGGCACCACCAATGCTTCTTCCAGTGTAGACAACTGTCCCCACAAGTGTCACTGTGTTGGAAAGGCCCCCAGATGACCTCATCCTTCCCCCAGCACCTTGGCCGGACTAGGCCAGATCACTAGGTCATCGAGATTGCCTTTCTGAAAAGGGATTCCACAGCCATAGGTGTGAGCTTACTCAGGACACACCCACTATAAATGTGAAGCTCTAAGTAATGGCAGGTCCTTTTTAAAAAGATGCAGGACACATGCTCTCTCCTCCTGGGTTGCTGAAACATGAGAAGGCGGGAGTGTGGGACTTGGGTCAGATCTCTCGTTCTGTTCTGCCTTTTGCCATGAGACCTTGGGAAGGTCACTTAACTACCTACCTCATAGTGAAACTGGACTGAAAGACTAACCTCTCATTGGGTTGCCAGAAGATTGAATAGAATTCATCTTAAAGAGCTTGGCACAGTACTCAAATGTTAGCTGCTATTATTGCTCCTATTGCTTTGTTTCAGATAAAATAGCTGTGAAATCAGCCTCTTTACGCTTTCTGTGAACCTCCTGGGGAAAGGGGAAGACCGCATGAAACCTCTGGCTGGCAAGTCTTTAGCTTCTTCCCCCTCCATTTCCACATGAACTGCTGTGATATGAAGATTAAGACCTGATATATGGTTAGGATTTGACAATTTACAAAGTACCCATCACAACCCTATGAGTGCACAAGCATGTAGGATCCTGACTCACAAGTGGGGGAACAGACTCAGAGGGATAAGGGGATTTACTACATGATAAAACCAGTCCCTTGGTGTCTATGTCCAGTGTTTCTGGGACATGAGAATCCTTCCAGGGAAGGGCCGTCAGGTTTGGACACTACCCAGAAAGCAGATCACAGGCACACAGGATGACCAGGCCTTGGTCCCAGGAGCACCAGCCAGGCCCGTGAGGGAGCTGACCTTGATGTGAATATGGTATCACCTGACACTGAAGGGGAAACCCGGGCTCAAGGAGAAAGGCACCTCAAATCCTGGATGGACAATAATGAGAGGAAGAGTTCACTGAATCCTTTTAAACCTAAACCAGCCCATGCAATGAGGGATGCAGTGCTTTTAAAGCGGCCAGAATGGGAAACCACAACTATGTATAGTATGTCTGAAAATGCCTGCAGTTTCTTCAATGATTCCATTAATATTCAACAAGTGCCTACTTGAGCACTGAGCACCGGGGAAAGTAACCAAACAAAGACAATGCCCTATTCTTGTGGTTCTCAAGTCCAGCTACCTAAAACTGTGTACTGAATGCTACTAGATGGGAAAAGGGGGAATAAGGCATTGTTGAGAAAACACAAGAAAGGAGAGGCAGGCTCAGGATTAGCAGAGCGGGAGAAGGGGCACTAGCCTTTGTTGAGAGAAAAAGAGTAATTTTTTTAATTCCTTGGATGGTGATGGGGACAAGGATGAGTCTGAGAGGGATCTAATAAGGGTGAAAGGTCTAAGGTCATTTGCGCCTTGCCTCACCTAAACAACCGTCTTCAATCCTGCCACAGAAATGTATCCTTGCTGAGCCCACCACTTTTGCAAGCAGAAAACCACTAGAGTCCACTTGTGCAGGCTGAAGGGCAAGGAGTGGAGTGGAGACACTCACCTTATCCCAGAATCCCAAAGCCATGAACACTGGCTATAAGATTCTTGAGCCCTTGCATCCTCAGTGGTGAAACAGCCTCCTCTAACTCATGAAGACTAAATTCTACCTGAGCTTAAACTCCAATCTGCTCAGGGGAAGGCGAGAGAAGACAGAAGAAAAGGGGCTACTTCAAACCTTTCACTGCCACCAAACCCCAAATCCTAAATGGAATGTTCACCCTCCCCTCTAGTTTGCTTCCTCTCTTTGCCAACATTTGATGTCCCACTGATGGCATTTCTTGCAAATGCTACCTTCTCCAGGAAGCCTTGCTTCTAGCCAAAGTGAATAGCACTCCTCTTGGTATGTCTGCAGCGCGTCTCCTGTATCTCCATGACAGCGCTTAGTTCCTTGTACATTAGTTCCTTGTTCCTTTCTTCCCATGGCTACTTCTGAATCTCCTTAATAAAGCAGAGTTTGTGTCTTGTCCATGACCAGCGCCAAGTATATGACAAGTATTCATTCAGTGTCAGCTAAATCAGAATCCCTGAATCTCATTTGGTACAGCTTCAACCAGAACATTTGCAACCTGATATCATGACACGTTAACCAGGCTGGTACTGCCAAAGCCCAAGCCTTAGAGCAGAGAATCTACTGCTTAAGCCTATCTTATTAGATTTAAACCTCAAGATTCTCAGGTCCTTGTCATGCTCTTATTTGAATATCTTAAAGTTTGTTTCCACTTTAAGTCATTTTTCCCCCAGTTATTCCCCTGTAATGTAACCGCTGTGCTATGCATGCTCTGCTCTTAATTTTTCTCTACTTCGGTTGCCCTCAAATGAGCTCTGGCTGTTTTTCCAAGTGAAATTGAATAAGAGCTTCCAGCCATGAGAATTTATGAACTAGCTTAATAGTTTTAACTGTCCATTTCATTTTTCTACTTTAGCTGGATAGCACACTTGGTAGGTTTCTTAACTGTGTTTAACAAGGCAGAAAAGTGCAAAGATTAAAATAATTGGGAGTCAGGAGTCCAGGGTTTGTGGCCTGGGTTCATCATTAATGTGCCGTGTGACTTTATGCACATTTTTCTGAGAGGTTGGGCCAGTCATAAGGTTTCTCTCAGCAAGGAATATATGATGCTCCAAACCCAGAGTTCCATGAGGCATCACTAGAAGTTCTGAGAAATTAAATGTGCTTATGGCAGTCATGCTTAACAATGTGAAACTACACTTTCTTCCAGCAATTCACTGGAGGTAGAGTTCCTGGCACAGGGGCTGCAATGGAAAATTTAAAAGCTTCAAAATGTTTAGAAACTCTTGTTTAGTGGGTAGAAGCCTCCACATTACAACTGGGCCTTAGTGTATCCAAACAGAAACCTGTATTTGAAGCCAAAATGCCCATTATTACTCTATTAAAAATTTGTCTGTTTCCTCATATAGGCTTACTAAGAATACCTAATTCATAGGGTTGGTGTGAGATTTCAGGTACCCAATACATGCAGCGTGTTTGGAACAGTCATTGACACAGTAAACAGTATACAAATGTTTTCTATTATTTGCTTTTTTTTGTTAATATCATTGCCTCAGGAATTAAACACTCTGGAGGGAAGAACAGTTTTATGTCAGGATAACACCATATTCTTCAACAGACAAACAAGGCTGGTAGTTAACATAGAACAGAACTCTTGGCACTTGTTTGACAGACAAAAACCAAAAGCGAATGGCCCATCACTGTGTGAATGGTCTTCCGCAAGTTCCTTCATACCTGCTCTTACCTTTCTCGGTCTTGAGTTTCCAAGTAAGTCACCTGGGGACAAACCTACTTGATTCAAAAGGCACTGAGGATATTTAGATTGCTTTAAAAACTATTTTGGATTATCCTTTAGACTGATGATAATGAAACCAGGCTGTATCTTTAAGAAAGGTAATACTCCTTATGCAAACTTAGATCTACCTAACCTTTGCCACTGCAACTCACAAGTAAATCAAACAACTTTTCAGAAACATCACATCTCATCATACCTGGAGGATTTAATCACTGGTCAAAGGTAAAGTCAACAGAAAAGACTGAAGATGACTCCAAGCAAAGCCTCCAACACGATAGCAGGTCACTATTCAAAGAAAAGTACTGTCATATTCACATTTTTGATTGTATTATTCCATCACTTTGTGATAATAAATATAATGTCATTTCTTCTGAGACCATCACTGGAATGCAGCAAGCATTCAAATATTTATTCAAATATTTATTGTTGAATAAATGAATGGTAGTAAGACTACTGACATTTAAGAGGTGTGAATGGGTACAAGGACTTGAAGGGGCTAGTGCTGTATTTCACTACAGATAGAGAGGAGATTGGTTTTTAATTTGCTTGTGATTCCTCAGCTCGTGTGCAGCTTTACTTCCTGATTTCCTTTCTGCAGCAACTCTATCTGCAAATAGTTCTGCACTGGTTCAGAATTGCAAAGATACACTGATGATAATACATGTCACTGAAGCCATAAGAACATTGCCTCTGGAGCTAGGTGGACTGGGTTCTTGATCCCGGCTCCTCTTGATTATTTACTGACTAGAAACAGAGAACTCGCCATTTGTAAAATGGGACAATAATAGTATCCACCTTGTAGAAGTGTTGTGAAGATTAACTGAAATAGTATCTGTCAAGTACTTAAGCTCCTAGTAAGTGCCTGACGGATGTCAACTATTATTTTATTCTTATTAAAAGAAGTTACAAGTTCCGAAAATGTAATGTCATAAAAAACAAAGAAAGGTTGAGAATATGTTCCAAATGAAAAAAAAACACTTGATAACTGAGTGCAATAGGTGATCCTAGAGTGGATCCTATACTGAAGCAAAAATGCTGTAAAGGACAGTATCAGTCAATCAATAGCACTGTTAACAATATTTGAATCTACTGTCTGTTATCCAATGTTAAATATACTGAAGTTGAAATGTACTGTGGTTTTGTATTTAGGAATAAAGGGCCATGACATATACAACTTTTTCTCAAATGATTCAAATGCAAGAGAGAAAAAATAATAAAGCACATAGAGCAAAATGTTAATAGGTGAATCTGAGAAAAAGGTAGACAACATGGTATTCCTTATACTATTCTCACGACTTTATCTGTAAGTTTGAAAGTATTTCCAAATAGAAGGTTAAAAGAGAAGATGACAGGCTGAACTGAAACTTCAAGATTCAAATTCAGAACAGTCCAACCTCTTGCAGTTTTGAAATTCTGATTGTGCCCACTGCTGTGATAGCTTAAATACCACTCTATTACAAGAACTCTTCTAGACAGTCAAACTTGTCCTGATGTCCTTCTTGAACAGTGCCTAAAGAATAAAACAGGAAATAGGCCAGAGCCCTCCAGAAAAGGCAAAATAGATAATCCTTTTTAAGAGTTCATCCCTAGGTGGGTTCCCTTTTCCTAAGTCACTGGGCCATGGTTTACAACCCTCTGTGATCTTAACTCTGCCCACCTTATTCTGCAGTGTTCTCCCACTAACCCTTCATGATCTTCTTTGCGTTCCTCAGACATGCCAAACTTCCTATTTCGGGGCACTCATACCTGCTGTTCTCTGCCCCTGAAATGTTCCTCTCCCTGATCTCCTTGTGGTTGGCTCCCTATTGTCATTCAGATTTGAAATTTAATGTCACCAACTACGAGGTAACCTTCCCTGATTGCTACACTCACTGCATCTAATGAGCCAGCTAGAGCTTAGAACACCGCTAGGGCTAGAGCAGGAGCTCAGTGAGTACAGCTGCATGAACTAATTACGCCACACTCCTATTCATAAGACACCTTGAGTTTTCCTTCTTTTCTGCCTCACTCACATTACTCATATTCCCATTACGCAGTCACTTACAGTACTACACTTGTGTGCATATCTGTCTCCCACTAGATTTTAAGCTGCTGGTGGAAGCGATGACTCTCCTCTCCAATTCCCAGTGCCTACTTCAGTGCATTTGCAAGGCACCAAAAATTCAAACTAGCAAAGACCCACAGTTCCAGGAGGTTAAAGAAACTCACGTGTAGCAAATAACAACAATTACAGCTAACAGTAATTGAGTGCTTATTATTGAGGTAGTAATAAGCACTCAATAACTGTTCTATGATAAGTTCTTTATATATTTTATCTCCTTGAATCCTTATTATAACCTTGTTAGCTAATGTATCAGTATTATCCCCATTTTATAATAAGATCCTGAGGCCCAGAGAGGTTGCGTTACTTGCCCAAGGGTTCACAGCAGTGTAGAGGCACAACTCAAATCCAGGAAGCGGATCCCTAAAACCCATGCTCTCTACCACTCCAGTTTGGCTGGAGAAAATTTGGTGTGCTGCTCATTCTTTCCACTCCCACTCTGCCAAATCCATCTACCCATCACCCTGTGGACACTTGCACATGTGGTAGCAAGCTGATCTTATCCTGGTATGGCTGCTCAAGTGCTATTCTGTGAAGGGCATCACTGAAGGAGTACGTCACCCAAAACAATTCTTCACCACCCCGCTACAGTGACAGAAAATCCTCTAGGAGGGAGCCATTCTTTATGCACCGCAAAATCCCTAGTTAGACCCCACGTATTAGCAAAAAGGTTAACTGCTTACAGTCATAAACATTTTGGAGTGAAATATTCAGATTACCCAGCAGGGCCTTGAGGAATTGAACCCATCCAGTTAAGGTTAGCTCACGCAAAAAAGAAATTTCAAGAAACTTCTAGTGTGTACCATCCTTCAACACTAGATCGAGGTCAGCTGCAAGGACAAGCCTTCACATATGTGTAGTAAAGGGAAGGGAGTCAGAGGACTAAGTCTGGGCTCTAAAGAAAAAAATTGCAGATGATGTGAAAAATTTCCATCTTCTGCAAAATGCTGCTTTAGAATCAGTCTTAAATAGCAGCACTAAAGTTATTCATCCACAGCAAAGCAAAAACCATAGAGCAGAGGGATAGGGGCCCATACCATTCATCTAGACAATACTGGTCTTCATCAAGTTAGAACCAACAAAGAGCTAGATAAAAGCCAACAAGCCAGTCACTGTCCACAAAGCAGATGTTCACGTTACACGTGGCATTACAGCATCAGGGAGAAGGATTCCTGGCACTTTTCACATTTGAAAGCACTCCTCCCACACTTGCTGGTCTGTTTTGTTTTAATACCTGTGCTTCCCCCTCTGGGGCCCTCAACCTCTCACAAAATGGCATTGAAGCTGCTTCCACACATGACTGGGTATCTTCGGCCCTGGGCCTCTTCAAATCAGGCAACTTCCACTGGCTGTCAGGGTGATGCATGAAATCCCTAGAGAAGAGAGGAAAAGGACCACGGCAGGGAGCCTCCTCAAGTGGGAACCACTGAGATTAACTCATTATCCGTTGGCAGGTAAGAAGAGCAAAGTCCCTGACTGGGCTGGTGACCATGGGTGCTGAGACACCCACTGGGGACAAGGACAACTTGTCCAGTTTCTTCACAGTTAAGGTAGCAGGACAACCATCTAAGATTTCCCAAACTTAAGTCGTTTGAGTGCCACTCTTCATGACTATTTCTACGTCTCCCTCCTTACCTTTACTATAATTTAGTAACCGCGTCTCTATCTTGACTAGATTTTTGCATTTAAATATATTTATTTTAAAAGGAAACTCTATCATTGTGAAACTGCTTACTTAATGGAACAGATTTTCTTAATAGTAACGAAAACAAGTAACTATGTTCATCCATATGCCACCTCAAATCATTGCTATTACCCCCAGTGGTGCCACCTACAGTAGCAGCTTTGGGAAGCACAAGCAACACCTGAGGGTTCAGCGTTCGAGCCCAGGCCCAATCGGCTTTTCTCCACCTCTTCCCCTTAACCAAAGGTCCCGGCAAGGGGACGCAGCAGCAGTCTGCACGACCTCACCCACGTCCTCTGGCCGCCCCTCCCCTCCAGCAGCACCAGGTTTCCTGTCAAAACAAACCCTTGGGGGAGGGGACGGCGGAGGCAGAGCTGAGTGCCGGGGAAACCACGGCAACAAATCCCAAACACACGCTGCCGGGCCCGCCCTGCCTCTACCCTGGCTCAGTTCCCTACTCCAGCCCGGCCGAGGAGTGTGGGGGAAGGGGGTGCCCTGGGCCCCTGATGGCGGGATGCCGCTGGTACCTGTCCAGCAGGATTTAAACAGCGGCGAAGCGGCCTCCGAGGCCCGAAGTCCGTGTCCACCCCGACACGCGGGGCGGCCACTCGGTGCCCCGCTCCCCGCTCCCACGCGGGACGGCAGTTCGAGGTCAAACAAGGGGACGCGGAGTGGGAAGACATGAACTAGGAGCCGAGCTTGATGGCCCCTGACCCCGCCTTCCCAGGATGGAGTTCCGAGATAGGGCAGGGGAGCCTTCGGGCTGCAGCGGTGTCCCCTCCGTTGGACCTGGCCGGTCACCTCCGAGCCGGCAACGCCTCCCCCGTGATGGATACGCACCGGGTCCAGCACGTAGACAAGAGGAGAACGGCGACGGAGTGACCCCGGGTCAGGGCTCTCTGGGCGTCCCCTCACCGAGCACAGCACAGTCACCTCGAAAACTCACCAGCCCAACAAACCCCCCCAGCCCCAGTGTCCCCCCCAACGCGGTATTTAAAGGGCCCTGAGGGACTCTAGGGAGGCAGCCACGGCGCGGCCATCACAAAACCGGATAGCGGGGGGACGACGGCGCGACGGGGCAAGGGGATCCAGGGCCCTTCAGTCTCCGAAAGCCGAGCGCTCACAGACTGAACCTATTAGAGAAACAGTCTTCGTCAGTTTGAACCAGAGAGGCCGAGAACAGCTCGGATGGGAGGGTGTTTCGGATGCGAGAGGGCACGGTTCCCCCGCGCGGCGAGTGGTGCGGTCCGGGCTGCCGGGGGCGGGGTGAGAAGTGTTTACGGAACTGAGGCCGCCGAGCCGACGGGAGCGCCCGGCGTTGGGGGCGGGGCCTGCCAGGGCACTGGGGGCGGGGCCGAGTGGGGGAGCGGGGGCTGAGCGGGGGCTGAGCGGGGGCTGAGCGGGGGCTGAGCGGGGGCTGAGCGGGGGCTGAGCGGGGGCTGAGCGGGGGCTGAGCGGGGGGAGCGGGGGCTGAGCGGGGCTCTGGGGAGGTGGGCGAAGCCGCGGGCCAAGCCTCCAGTGGAGTGCCGGACAGATCCCCTGGGCTTCCAGGCGCACTGGCGTGGACCACACTGCGAGCTCCCGGCCGCGCGTGGAACATTGAGTGCCCGCACACCCCTGTCTAGACGGGGCAATCGGAACTGGGTGCCCACCAACACACTGTCCACACTTACAGAGACAACCCAACCAACAACGCTGCTGGTGGGCTTTCCCACGCACGTCAGCCACTAACCGGGTCATCTCCAGTTGCGTCTACACCTCCACATAAACACGGGTCTAGATTTGCACCTGCACGGGACGATTAGCTCCTTGGAGTCACACCCATCCAGGCCCTCTGAAGACTTGGCGTGCGTGCAAAAGATAAAGCGTCTTACTTCCTCTAGGGTTCTTGGCAGCACCTATCTCCGGGAGAAGTTTCCACCTTGGTTAATGTAAATAACCAGTCCCAGGAGGGCTCTGTGCCGTCTGGCCTGCTGCTCAGCTCCTGCTGTGGGCGTGCTTGAGGGTGTAGAGAAACAAGCTTCCCCCAACTGTTCACATCAAAACTATGCCTTCTGCCAGGTGTAAATCGGTGCTGTATTACTTGGGAAATAGTTTCATGCAGGAACTACTTACATGAAGTTTGTATAGACTAAAGTATTTCTGTTTAGTGCCGAAATTATGTCTGGATTGTGGAGGCAGATTGGCCACCACCGTTCAAAAACAACAACAACAAACAACAGGCAACATTTTAAAGCAGGGTAGAAAGTCAGTTGTTCAGTGGTTACAACACAGACTCCTCTATGGTTCCAGTCCTGGCTCTGACATTCACTATCCATGAGATCTTGGTCTCTGGGGATAACAATGATAGCTATTTCCTTGGGTTATTTTGAGGATAAAGTGAAATAAAGCATGTGAAGTGCTTAGCAGGGTGCACAGTAAGCACTCTAAGTATTAGTTATTGAAATTCTTTGGCAAACCACTGTGGCCAAACTTAGCTGGTGATCTGTATAAATTTGTATCTGTGCCTCCTTTTGCCACTTTCCTCTCTTCTCCTAAAATATACAACCTAATAATACAGGTTAAGAGATTAAATAGAAGGTGCTGTCCCCACCTGAGTTCTTCCCTACAAACATGCTCTTATTTGTGTCATTCGTTGGATAAGTAATCAGAATGACAGAAGCCTCCAATTTCAATTCCTGCCAAATGACAACCACCACACAACTGCCATCACCACCCTAAAAACTCCACAATAGAAAGATGAACACCCAAATCCCCCAAACTTCTGGTAATTCTGTGACAATGACACATGGCAACATTACTTCCTTTGTTAGCTTTGTAAGGATTTAAGTATTGTTTTGAGCTATGACATAAGTTGGAGCAGGTGACCATGAGTCAGGGTAGTTGTCCTTTATACTGGAGTGACCAGCTGCCTGATCCTAGGCATGACACTTCTTTTAAAGTTCAGATATGTAGCTCTCAAAGCCACCAGGAAAGCAGCTTTTGTCAAAGCAAGTTCAACTGTAACATCAGAGAACCAAGCTGAGATAAGAAAAGATGCTGGAAATACTATCTTCTGTTACTTTAATGTTAAATAACTTGCTATCTGAAAACCCTTCTGTGAATTACCTGACCAACTGCCCTTGGCCTGACTTGTGTATAAAAGCACTTTGGGCCAGGCACGGTGGCTCATGCCTGTAATCCAAGCACTTTGGGAGGCCGAGGCAGGTGGATCACAAGGTCAGGAGATCGAGACCATCCTGGCTAACACGGTGAAACCCCGTCTCTACTAAAAATACAAAAAAATTAGCTGGGCGTGGTGGCACGCACCTGTAATCCCAGCTACTCTGGAAGCTGAGGCAGGAGAATCGCTTGAACCTGGGAGGTGGAGGTTGCAGTGAGCCGAGATCACGCCACTTTACTCCGGCCTGGGCGACAGAGCGAGACTCCATCTCAAAACAAAACAAAACAAAAACAACACTTTGAAAAAATGGAGTGCTGTAAAATATAAGGCAGTTCCCTCAAAAATGAGCCTTGTATCACATTGTTGCTCAGAGGGCTCAGACAGTCATAACACAAAATCTTCCCTGCTCAGGTTATGTTTATGGCTTTCTGAGGAAAAAAAAAAAACAACAAAATCTGAAAAGGCAACCTCTTTAGAAGTAAAATAATTAGCATTTTATTTGAAGAAGACATATTATTACACCTAGTTTTTCTAACTTACCTTTTTGAACCACTTAGAGAACTCACAGTAATACAGTTTTTTTTTCTCCCTGTAAATTACACGGTAGACTAAATGTGGTCTATCACTCTTGGCAAAAGACTAAGGGCAGATCAAAATTTTTGTTCGATGAAGAAATAGAAATACTCATTTTCTTTTTACACATCTGAAATCTGAGTTTTAAATTATAATAAATCATTGACAAAAATCTAAAAATGTAATTACAGTTGGATTTGCAACCTCTCAGCCTTATAACTTTTCTAGTGGAGTTGCATATTGTACTGATTTAATGTAATGCAAATTTAGCTATACGGGACTCATCTAGGACAGAATATGAGGAACACAAGAGAATAATTTAAATACTTCCAGTGATCTTGTCCCCTATTTCTCTCTATGGGAGTTGTGAGGCTTCTCTTACTGTGTTTATCTGAGTTTCTGAGCTTCTCATTATGTTCCAAGCTTCTTTCCCACGGCTGGCTTCATGTTCGTGCAGTCTGGGCAGTTGCACAAGGCCCCACCCTTGGAAGAGCCCTGTGCTTGGTTTAATACATTGCTGCTGTTGTGTTGAGATTCTTAATACTGTGCTTTTTGAAAGGGGGCCTTGCATTTTCATTTTGCACTGGACCTGGCAAATTATGTAACTGGTCCTGATCTCCCCACACAGAATATGAGTCTAGTGGTTAAAGGTGCTTATCTTCCTGCCCCTAAGTGCCAATCAATTATTTCAACCAGTGCTCACTTGAAGAAACTTATGTCTGTTTCAATGCTGGAAGAAAAGAAATAGCCCCAAACAAACAAAAAACGACAAAAACTTGGTGTATCCCAGGTCTTATGGCTCATTAAAAAATTTTCAAGAGTAATTTTCACTGCACTTTGACCTCATGGTCTTCCTTAAGAGCCTAACCCCTCCTGTAAGATGTGACTCCATTGTAATTGAAAAAAACAAAAACAAAAAGCAAAAAAATGGGCTGGGCATGGTGGCTCAGGCCTGTAATCTCAGCACTTTGGGAGGCTGAGGTGGGTGGATCACCTGAAGTCATGAGTTCGAGACCAGCCTGACCAACATAGTGAAACCCTGTCTCTACTAAATACAAAAAATTAGCCAGGCATGGTGTGCATACCTCTAATCCCAAATACTTGGGAGGCTGAGGCAGGAGAATCACTTGAACCCAGGAGGCAGAGGTTGCAGTGAGCCAGGATTGCACCATTGCACTCCGGCCTGGGCAACAAGAGTGAAACCTGGTCTCACAAAAAAAAATGGCCGGGCATGGTGGTTCACACCTATAATCCCAGCAGTTTGGGAGGCCGAGGCAGGTGGATAACTTGAGGTCAGGAGTTTGAGACCAGCCTGACCAACATGGCAAAACCTCATCTCTACTAAAAATACAAAAAATTAGTTGGGCGTGGTGGCACACACCTGTAATCCCAGCTACTTGGGAGGCTGAGGCAGGAGAATTGCTTGAACCTGGGGGGCGGAGGTTGCAGTGAGCTGAGATTTCACCACTGCACTCCAGCCTGGGCAACAGAGCGAGACTTTGTCTCAAAAAAAATTTTAAACTAAAAATTAAATTAAAAAAAATGTTTTTCAAAGGAATCCCACTTCTTTTCTCTCCCCTGTCCATCTTCAGGTGCTACAGAAAGGGCCAAAAATCAGTGAGGGGGAAAATACAATAGAAAGCAAAAAGAAGAAAATGAATTTGGCTAATACACCAACTAGAGAATTAGGCCCTGAATGTTCAAAAATTAACTGCATACCTCCTACTCAATTTTACTGTGAGCTCTAAAAATAAGGTCTATTAAAAAAAATTAACCACACCTTTTAGGCAATTTTTTTTTGTTCTATATCCTGTGATTTGGAAGATAAGGTAGATTTAGATAATTGACCAGTTTTGACTATTAATTGATGCTTGAACAATTTTCCAAAGCACCAAAACCAGTTTTCTTTTGACTCCACTGAACTGAATTAGTAAAAAAATTAACAGTTATTTCTCATTTCAATTGCCTGTACCTTCACATTTAGGCACTGCCCAGTCCCTGACCCTGTCACATACTAAAAAGACAAATATTCTTAGTGCTCCCTACACCCCACCCTGGGCCCCTTCCTCTTACCTGGGCACCACTGTTGTCCCCTGGGAAGCAGAAAGAGTGAGAACCAGCAGTGAAGACAACTTTGGGGCAGGAAGTGGGAGGGGCCAAAGAGAGTTGAAGCTCAAAGGAACACCTATGGGAGGCCAAACAGGTGATGGCTCAGACCTCTGACCAAGCCAGTCACTCTCTTTAGCTCATCTCCAGGCCAGCAGGCAATCAACCATTTTCTAAATGATTGCTTTTCTAAAGTGTTCATGGATGAACACAGGCCCTCAGTTTTAAAATCAAATGAAATTGTCAAATGGGCATGAGGAAGAGCTACTAAAATAAGATGCAATCTCCAGAAAACATAAAGGAAGGATTAAGAAATGTGACTTTTTAGGTACACGATTCAACATGAAAACATGAGTTACAGAACACTGATTATGGGGTGACACGATTTATGCTAGAGAGAGCTTACACTAGAGACAGTACATATGCATTGTGTGTATATGAAATACATAGAAATGGACTAAAAAGAATCTCAACCGTTTAGAAGGCTATTTAGGCAAGTTAGTTCCTGGTTTATTCCGTACACATTCAAGCAGCTTATTTCTTTTACAATGAGAATGTCATTCATATATTACTAGTCTATTTCACACTGCCATACAATGCAACTATTCTTATTATTGTATGTCCTCCTAAATATACCTTAGTGAAGATAGGCTATTGATACTGCACAATAAGCAAATTTCCCATCTCTTTTTTATTCATATTTAAGAAAGCCATGACAACAAATGGAGCTTTTCATGTAAAATATATGAAAGAATAGATTTACAAAAAGTCCCTCACTATGATATGTCAAAATTATTAATGCTGGGTGGGGGAATATTGATCTTTACTTTTTAAGTTCTTCTCCTCAAGCCCTATTCTTCGATAGCCAAAGTGCATGGAGTTTGCTTTCATTTTAAACATGTTTTTTGCCCCAAACTCTGACCTCTAAAACCTTCCCTTTCTTTGATGATAAACTGGACAAATGTCCTTTCTCAAAGTTATATGGGACTTTAATAATTATACTACCTTTTTTTTGTTGTTTCTTTTTTTTGAGACAGAGTCTCACTCTGTCAGCCAGATTGGAGTTCAGTGGCATGATCTCGGCTCACTGCAACCTCTGCCTCCCGAGCTCAGGCGATTCTTTTGCCTTAGCCTCCTGAGTAGCTGGAATCACAGATGTGTGCCATCACGCCTGGCTAATATTTTGTATTTTTAGTAGAGATGGGGTTTCACCATGTTGGCTAGGCTGGTCTCGAACTCCTGACCTCAAGTGATCCACCCCTTGGCCTCCCAAAGTGCTGGGATTACAGGCATCAGCCACCACACCCAGCCGTACATTTTGAAGACAAAAAAATTGAGAGCTCTGAACATTCAAATGCCTGAATAGTAGCTTTTACCTGAGTTCCTGGGCATTCTAGAGGAAGGTCATATACTAGGGCACTAAGGGTTTATGTTGACTAAAGGGATACTCAGCAGTGACTCACTCAGTTGGCAGGTCAAGAATAGAAACCAGAAGAACTCACTTCATGGCTTCTCTCCGCAAATACACACATATACACGTGCAGTGTCACATGCAAAGTATTACCTATTGGCATAATTATCTAATTTCCATAACAACATATCAACAAGCATACCAGCTCTGTACCAACTAAGTGCCCAAAGTATTTATAATCACATTCCATTACTCTAGAAGGGTGCCTGGACCAGATACTGGGGTGGCTGTGCCTTCTAGAAAGCAAGAATGGAATGCAGCTTTATACAAAAATATGAAGCTGTTTACATAGATATATATTCACCCGCACACATGCACACACGAAACATTTCTGGCCAATTCCCTCAGAGGGATCCCAAGCCATGCCATTGTTTATGTTACATGTACATCTGCATGTATATTATCAGTAAATTCCCACAAAGCTCAGTATAGGCTGGGCGCAGTGGCTCATTCCTGTAATCCCAGCATTTTGGGAGGCCGAGGTGGGCGGATCAACTGAGGTCAGGAGTTCAAGACCAGCCTGGTCAGCATGGTGAAACCCCGTCTCTATTAAAAATACAAAAAATTAGCTGGGCGTGGTGGCGCACTCCTGTAGTCCCAGCTATTTGGGAGGCTGAGGCAGGAGAATCACTTGAACCCAGGAGGCAGAGGCTGCAGTGAGCCAAGATCACGCCACTACACTTTTGCCTGGGTGGCAGAGTGAAACTCAGTCTAAAAAAAAAAAAATGCTCGGTGTAACATAATTATACAAATAAATTTAATTTTAATGCTGAAGCTGAATTCTTTATTTAAAGGAAGACCTCTGTGATGATATGTGGACGTTTAAAAAAATGACTTTTTAAAAGTTACAAGCATTACGTAGATCAAAATTTTCAAAGAATTAATCAACTGAGGTACAAAATAATTGTATATAATGAGGAAATGTGGTATGGTGGAAAGAGGGTGGGCTTTGGGTTCAGACAGACCAGAGGGTTGACAGCCAAGTTCCACCACTCATTATACATATGTCCTTATCCTCACAGGTATAAAATGGGGATAATAATGTTGTGGGGGCCATTTGTCATTTTGGTGATCCAGCTTTCCGAATGGTATTTGAATTGTTATCATTTATTATAGAAGCCAGAGAGGGGATGATATGCTAATCCCATTAATACTTTACTACTGGAGCTGGAAAGGCATTCTGTCTTCCCAGACCCTGGTGGCTGTAGCATGGGCATGGGACCTACGCATGTTCTGTCAGATGCTGACCACCACAGGTAGATAGGGGTGATTCACAGAGCTACAGTGGTGGTGCCCAATGCTGATGACACCAGCTATGGCATCCTTAGCATGTTCTTAGCTATGCCTGGCTTCCTTTAGTTCTTTCCCAAGCTTGGTTCTTCAGTCTAAAATATGTTAGAGTCACTCGATAGCTAATTCCATGAGCTACCAAGACCCTCTGGTCTCAGTTCCATGAGCTACGAAGACCCTTCTGGTCTAGTCAGACTAAGGTGTATTATTTGCCACTAAGAACTTTGACTAGAACAAATACTCCATAACCTGTGGGAGAATTAAAAGAAATAATGTATATGAAGAGTTGAGCAGAGTGCCAGCGACATTGTATGGATCAGTAAACTGTAACTACTATTATTATACTCTTGTTATTTTAATGATTTAATATTTACAGTTTCGACAGGTCCTGGGCAACTTAAAGGTCTGTGACATGCGATAATTTAAAATTCTGCCAAGGAGCAAATTTGAATCTAATAAGTTGGTGGTACAGGAGCCATTTATTTACCTCACAAATGAGCCTAACACATCACCCAGTATTTATATATCAATGTGAGGATTACTATTCTCCACTCATTAGGCCAGTAAGTCAGATCCATTCAGGAAAATAATATAACTTTATATTGTGTTAAGAACAATGATCCAAAAACTTGGATAATTATCCAAACGTTATCCAAAGACTTGGAAATAGGCAAAAGGGATTACTGGATGTCCTTTTAGTAGGGTGCTGTGTAGTGCAGTGTAGTAGCAGACTCGTACAAGGATTCATGCATTATCTAGGACTGTGTACCTTTGTTGGACTTACTACTCGTTATTGGTTCAGATATTCCAGAACTTTGTAAAGGCAGATGTTACTTTATCAAAAACTGATAACAAGGGCCCAGTGTAGTGGCTCACGCCTGTCATCCCAACACTTTGGGAGGCCAAGATGGACAGGTTGCTTGAGGCTAGGAGTTGGCGACCAGCCTGGGCGACATAGAGAGATCCTGTATCTACAAAAAAAATACAAAACTTAGCTGGGCAGGGTGGCATGTGGCTGTAGTCCCAGCTAATCAGGAAGCTAAAGTGGGAGAGTCCCTTGAGCCCAGGAGTTCGAGGCTACAGTGAGCTATCATCATGGCACCTCAGTTTAGCCTGGGTGACAGAGACCCTATGTCAAAAAACCGAAAACCAAAACCCAAAACAAAACACCAAAAAATTGATAACAATGCAAATTATTCTTGTCCATTTCTAATACAAGTAAAATCTTTTCTGTTCTATAGAAAAGATAAAAGCTTACTATTTATTACCTTATAAGACATTAACCAATTTTGTGTCTAACCTAGTAATCTTATTGTAAGATTTTTAAAAATGCATTTCTTGATGGGATATATAAACCCCTATTTCTCAAATATTCCTTAAACCAACTTTACCATTTTACTGGCTAACTCTTTAATTGATGAAATAAATATTTTTTTAAGCCCGTGTTTGTTCTGTTTCATATAAGTCATGTTTTCAATTTGTTGAAAATTATACCTTGACAAATAGAAGTCAATCCAAGGGGCCACATAGAAGGAGCATGTAATCCAGAACTGACGACCCCCAGGTAGGCTTCCTAGAGAAAGGAGTAGCCAAGCAGATACATGTACAAGAAGTTCTCAAGTGATCTCAACAAAACAGATTCAGGCCCCTAAATCAGTATTTAGGTCAAATTCATTGTTGAAAAATAAGGCTGATATGAGCTTAACTGATAAGGAAGAAAATTGGAACTACTTAGCTAAAAATCTGGATTGGTTTAAACTGCTTCAGTGTTGCTTTTATAATTTTCAAAAACGGCAGCTCACTTTGGAACCACAGGTACCTGCGAACTGTGGGAAATTCACCATTCTTGCCAAATGAGGTGAGGAACTCAATTCACTTTCTAAATCTACATAGATGGTTCTGCGCCATTTCTTCAGGAGTCCAAAGCTGAACCATAAGCTTGATGTAGAGGGCATTGCAATGAGTGGCTTTCAGCCCACAGGTGGACTTTGAATTTGAATGCCACAAGCCCACCCCTCTTATATGTAGCCTACTTCATTCATTTACATGGTTCACCTAGCTCTTTAAGCATTTTTGCCATCTCCATGAAGAAAAGTAGGGCCCCAAGCATTGTTTTCACCCATGAAATCTGCTATGCATGACTAGATGCAAAAAAGCAGACTTCAGGAAATCTTTTAAATGTACAGCATGTATCACACATATCCTGTAATTATTGGAGGACATGAAAGTCACTCACTTCAGACTGTTCCTTGGGCACAAGGAATGTCTTCTACTCATGAATACAAGCAATTTAACTGTCTGAAGGCTGAACTCAGAGGCTCAAATTAATTGCCTGACTTTGGACTAACAAGGGTTTCAGGGTTTTTTTTTTTTCCTTTTAGCAGGAGGGGTTGTGCAAAAATTAAACTTCTCCTGAGCACCTAAAGTCTCCAGATGCTGGGCAGGTAGTGTTTACCAACACTCCCCTCAATAGCTGCCTCTTATTCTCAGACTACCTGATGGCTGAGACCACGATGTCTCTTTTGGGCAAAGTCGTTCTCATACTTGCTCCATAAAAGGGGAAAATACAGGTATGGGAGTTCCTCTTCTGGAGTACAGATCTGAGGCACATGCAGCTATGCCCTAACCCAAATACACCTCTTGGTCATGGGTGACGAGAATAGGAGATACTTCTGCCTGTGCATTGGAGCCTGCAGTGAGCAATGCTTGCTCGTGTTTGCCCCAAAACCTTTTTCAGACAATAACTCTTTATATCCATCTTTGTTTCTTTATTTTTTATTTATTTATTTTTTTAATTTGAGACGGAGTCTTGCTCTGTTGTGCCCAGGCTAGAGTGCAGTGGCACGATCTCGGCTCACTGCAACCTCCACTTCCCGGGTTCAAGCAATTCTCCTGCCTCAGCCTCCAGAGTAGCTGCGATTACAGGTGCCCACAACCACACCTGGCTAATTTTTTGTATTTTTAGTACAGATGGGGTTTCACTATATTGGCCAGGCTGGTCTCGAACTCCCGACCTCAGGTGATCCTCCCACCTTGGCCTCCCAAAGTGCTGGGATTACAGGTGTGAGCCACGGTGCTGGGCCTATATCCATCTTTAAATTAATCTATGTTATTTTGCACGGTGCCTGTGACATAGTAGTTTCTCAGTGCTGTATATACTGATTGGTAAGAGGACGTTACAGACACACTTCTAAATACTGGCTGGGAGTGCGGGAAGTTAGTTGGCAGGGACAATCACTGATTAGGAGGGAAGTTAACTCTGACGAACTTTGACTATAACTTCCTTTTTCCTTTTTTCTTTCTTTCTGCTTTGCCTGAAAATTAGGAAATAGACAAGGTAGTCAGAGGGGTCAGAGAGCTAATGGTGAAAATTAAGAAGAAAATATATTCCCTTCTCTCTGCTTAAATTGCAAAGGGATCTCTGTCCCTTTAAAGAAAATCAAAAGCTATATGACCGCAGAGATTCTTGAGGAAAATCTACATAGTTTTTCTGGAGACACGATAAGCTGAAACAAACTCCAGGCAAACCAAGAAAGATGAAGAATCATTTAGGACTACCCAGAATTCTGCAAAGTACGGTGATTAAGCAGTGTTTCAAACAATTACAGTCATGGTTGCTTAATGATCAGGATACACTCTGAGAAAGGCATCATTAGGTCCTTGTGCAAACATCACAGAGTGTGCTTACGCAAACCCAGGTGGCATAGCCTACTACACACCTAGGCAATATGGTCTAATCTATTGCTTCTAGGCTACAAACCTGTACAGCACGTTACCATACTGAATATTGCAGGAAATTGTAGTAACACTATGGCAAGTATTTGTGTGTCTAAACATATCTAAACATACAAAAAGTAGAAAAAATATGGTGTAAAAGATAAATTATGGTACATGTATCTAGGGCAGCTACACTGTAATCTTATGGGACCACCATCAAATATACTGTCCACTATTGACTGAAACAGTTATGAGATGCATGACTGTATAATTATTTACAAAGACACATAACAACATAAACATTTCTTTTGGGGAATAGTAGCAGGGTTGGGAAAAATAGCATACAGGCAGTGGAAAGAGGGTAGATTTATTAAAAAAAAAATCAACCTTCTGTTTGAATTGCAGCACTACTATCTAAATGCTGAAGGATTTTAGGCAAGCTGCTTAACCTTTCAAAGTCTGAATTATCTTGTCCATAAAATGAGAATGATCAGGCCTAACTAATTGGGAATCCTGTGAAAGTAAAATGAAATGAACATATGTAGACTATGTGCCAGAGAGTGACTTATCTACTTCCTTTACCTGCTGGTCACACAGCCTCCCTTATGGTTAGATATTGACTTACTACCGGATTTACTGGATTCTGGCCAGTGAAATAGGAGGGAAGTGATGGATGGATCTTCACTCACTTTCTTGGGACTCCAGATTCATTTTTTGTGTGTGACAGGGTCTTGCTCTGTCACCCAGGCTGGAGTGCAGTGGCACGATCATAGCTCACTGCAATCTTGAACTCTTGGGCTCAAAATATCCTCCTGCCTTGGACTCTTGAGTAGCTGGGACTACAGGTACATGCCACTGTGTCCAGCTAATTTATTTTATTTTATTTTATTTTTGTAGAGACAGGTTCTTGCTTTGTTGCCCAGGCTGGTCTCGAACTGCTGAGCTCAAGTGATTCTCCTGCCCCAAGCCTTTAAAAGTGCTGGGATTACAAAGGTGAGCCACCGCACCTGGGTGCCCTGGACAAAATTGTACCAATAAAATTGATACCATCACTGTTTCATTTATATATCTGGTTACATCTCTTCCTCCCACTGGACTCTGCGCAGATAGGTAATCTTCTTCATGGCTGTCTTTCTAGTGCCTGATGTGGTGTCTGGTACAAAATTTGGTTCTTCATAAATATTTTGTAAATAAATAAACAAATGAGCTACCCCAAAGCTGAGTCTTGAGGGGTGAGTTAGCTAGAAGAAGAAAGGGAGTCAGAGTGTTCTAGGTAAGGGGACAGAATGACAAAACTCAAAGAGGTGAGAAATGGCAGTGTGTACCTAGCGGGGAAAAGCCAGACTTAAAGAGCAAGAGGGATGATACATTTCGCATTATTTAGTTGATTTCTCTTTGTATAAGTCTCGCCAATCTAGTTTTTTCTTAATCCCATTGAAAACGAGGGGAAAAAAAGGCCAGGTGCGGTGTCTCACGCCTGTAATGCCAACACTTCGGGAGGCCAAGTCAAGCAGATCACTTGAGGTCAGGAGTTTGAGACCAGCCTGGCCAACATAGTGAAACCCTGTCTCCATTAAAACTACAAAAAAATTAGCTGGGCATGGTGGCTGCTGCCTGCAACCCCAGATACTTGGGAAGTTGAGGTAGGAGAATCACTTGAACCCGGGAGGTGGAGGCTGCAGTGAGCCAAGATCGTGCCACTGCCCTTCGGCCTGCGCAACAGAGCAAGACTCAATCTAAAAAAAAAAAAAAAGGGAGAGAGAGAGAGGAAGAAAAGAGAAAACTAGCTTTTGGTGTAATATTCAGGTCCTGAAGCAGTGGTTTTATACATTGGTATATCTTAGATATTCCTGCCCACCATGCTTCTGTTTTCATATTTCTCAGGATTTCTCAAGGAGATGAGAGAAAGCCACAGAGACCGATGTTTCTGCTTCCATACCACTTCCCTGAATCATGGACTCCATATCTTGCTCTCTTCCTCCTCTCATCATGTGTCATGTCACATACCTACTCAAAAACCATCAGTGGCTCCCCATTACTCCCAAGTAAAACTCAAACTTCAAGGCCTTCATTGATTGGGAAGCAACCAATTCTTTCTGCCTTATCTTCTAGCAAGCTTTCTCTAGTTATAATGATTGTGCAACAAATTAGTCCCTAAACTTAGTGGCACAAAACAACCTTTCATTATGCTCACAGATTCTTGTGTATCAGGAATTTGAACAGGATTCAGCAGGGAAGGCTTATCTCTGCTCCACAATGTCTGGGACCTGACCTAGAAGACTTGAAAGTGGAGGGTAAGAGTCACTGGAAAATCTCCACACTTGTGGTGGTGGTTGATGCTGGGAAGACTCCAGTAGCTGGGCCTCTGAGGCATCTCTCCATCTCGCTATGTGGCCTTTCCACGTAGTCTCTGCAGCCCAGTAGCTTCAGGGTAGCTGGAATTCTCACACATGGGTTCCCAAAGCACATGTTATGAGAGCATGCCAGGTAGAAGTTGTATCACCTTTTCTAGCCTGGCTTCAGAAGTTGTGAAGTGTCATTTCCACTACATTCTCTTAATTAGAAGCCTGTCATTAGAGTCGGCTCATATTCGAAGGGAGGGGCATTAGACTTTACCTTTTGTAGGAAGTGTCAAAGAATTTGCAGACATGCTTTAAAACTACAGTGGTTCCCCCTTATCTGTGGTTTCGCTTTACAAGTTTTCAGTTACTTGCTGTCTACTGCAGTCTGAAACTATTAAATGGAAAATTCCAGAAATAAACAATTCATAAGTTTTAAATTGTGTGCCATTCTGCGGAGCATGATGAAATCTCGCCCCATCTTGCTCCAACCCGACCAAAACATGAATCATCCCTTTGTCTAGCATATCCATGCTGTGTACACTACATGTGAGTCACTCAGTAACCCATTAGATTGACTGTGGCAGTATTGCAGTACTTGCGTTCAAGTAACCTTTATTTTACTTAATAATGGCCCCAAAGCACAAGAGTAGTGATCCTCACATATTGTTATAATTATTCTATTTGATTACTAATTATTGTTGTCAATCTTTTACTGTACCTTATTTATAAATTAAACTTTTTCATAGGTATGTATGTACAGGAAAAAACATAGTCTGTATAGGGTTTGGTGCTATCCATGGTTTCAGGCATCCATTAGGGGTCTTGGAATGTATCTGCCACAGATTAGGAAAGACTACATACCACAAAACCCCACCATTATTTGTCACACTTTAGGAATGCTAAAACACTTATTGATACCTAAATTTGGGGTCCTGGTTTTACTTATACACTACTCTTTTCTCACGGTATCTTTCACCCCATAAATCTATCTATCTCCCAAATTTCTACTTGCCATTTAAGATTCAGCTCAGATGCTACCATGCAACCTGTATCATAACCTTCCACGGCTCCACCTTTGGAAGTAATTATGCCCTTCTCTGTACTCCCCACAGACCTCAGTTTCAATTTCCCCTGGGTGACCTGAATACATATTTGTTGAATGGATAAATAGAATAGGATAATAAAATCTTAGGTGTGAAAGTGACATTAAGTGCTACTGAGAACATCCTTTTTGAGTTTATTTATTTCTATTCATGTCTGTTCCTCCTTTAGATTTTTAGTGTCTGGAAGGCAGGGACCAAATTTCACTCACCTCTGTAACCACCCCCCAGCCCAACCTTTAGTTCTTCCAGCAGTGATTTGGCCTAGTAGGTCTTCAAAGAAAGTCAGTTAAAGGAAGAAACCTACCTCCCAACACACACACCCCCTGCAATGCACATTTGACTAATTTGCTATTTCTTTACTAATCAGGTAATATTTGGTTTGAGGCAGGTTGGAACAGTTCGAAGAAATGATCTCCAAATGCTCTAAGAGCATAAAATGCTCTTAAACCACAAGAAGCCACAGGTCAGAATTAATAGTCTTTGTTATGGCTACCTTCCCACCAACAGCCACTTTTCTGGAGAAGATTGATGCTATTGTTTTAAACAGACCTGTGAAGGGTCACAGGTTGTAGCCTCATTCTCAGCCACCCTTCCTAGCCCCTTACCTGTCTTATTTTCTCTTCTGCAAAAGCAGAAATTTCTGGGCCACAGCAAGCAGATGAATCAAGATCATTTTGTGTATAGTCGATATCAGCACTTAAAAAAGCAACCCACTGTTGAGCAATTTATGATTTTTTTTTTTTTTGAGATGGCATCTCCCTTTGCTGCCCAGGCTGGAGTGTAGTGGCACGATCTTGGCTCCCTACAATCTTTGCCTCCCGGGTTCAAGCGATTCTCCTGCCTCAGTCTCCCGAGTAGCCGGAATTACAGATGCCCGCCACCATTCCCGGCTAATTTTTGTATTTTTAGTAGAGACAGGATTTCACCATGTTGGCTGGGCTGGTCTCGAACTCCTGGGCTCAAGTGATCCACCCACCTCAGCCTCCCAGTGTTGAGATCACAGGCATGAGCCATTGTGCCCAGCCCAATGTATGATTTATAAACAAACGACGTCCCAGTAATTATCAGGGATTCTTGGCAAGAATACCTAGTTGCACATAGGAAACTTAGTTCCTTAGGTGGCTCATAAAACACGATTCAAACAATAATGTCTTTGAAATACCAAATAGTTAAGCTGGGCGTGATGGCTCATGCCTGTAATCCCAGCACTTTGGGAGGCTGAGGTGGGTGGATCATGAGGTGAGGAGTTCGAGACCAGCCTGCCCAACATAGTGAAACCCCATCTCTACTAAAAATACAAAAATTATCCAGGCATGGTGGTGCGTGCCTGTAATCCCAGCTACTCGGGAGGCTGAGGCAAAAGAATCATTTGAACCTGGGAGGCGGAGGTTGCAGTGAGCTGAGATCGTGCCACTGCCTTCCAGCCTGGGCGACAGAATGAGACTCCGTCTCAAAAAAAAAAGAAATACCCAGTAGTTGCAATGAAAAAAAAAATGATACAATGCCAGTAATTAAACAAACCTGAAAAACAGTGAATATAGTTTTTCTAAAGAACTTCTTCAGCATGTTGATGTTTGGGGGGAAAAGCAAACTGAAGGAAAGAAAAATAAGAACATAGTTGGAGAATTTGGAAGTATATTTACTAAAGACTGACCCCATCCATGATTTGGATAATTAATTTACCTGGTTCATTTTTACATCTAACTCAGATTTTCAACTCATGTTTTACTCCTGGTCTCAGTCCACACAACCTTGTGAGTAGAAAATGAGGTCATACTTCCTTTTTGTATTCAAATTATGATGGCATGAGTGCATACCAGCTGTATTGCTGGAAATCAGTCTTCTTTAAACCATCCCGCAGTTAGTTCTGAGCACTCATGCATGTCTCTGAGTTTACAAACACTGCATGCCATTAACCTTGTTTGTCCTCTCTTACTCGGATTATCGCGTGTGCAGGTTTGCTGTGCATAGAGATGCTTAGACACCTTTGCCACTATGAGCCATAGGACAGCCAAGACTCATGGCAGACAATCTCTGGATACTTCCATAGCTTCCAAACTTGTGCTGGGCTCAATGCAGAAGTGGGAGGCAAGTCCTCTCCCTGACCCTGTACACACTCCTGTTTGCTTATGCTTGGAGCATCGTGATGTCTTCCTTAATCAGTTCTAACATAGTTTAGCCTCCTGGAGACAGCTCTGTTAGTGCCTAGCCCAAGAACTTTGGCAGTTATCAGATTATTAATCAGACATGGCTTTGTGAAAAATTATATATATGTGTGTGTATATATATATAGTGTGTATATAATATATAAATATATATTATATATAAAATATATACTATAAAAATATATATAATAAAATAAAATATATATAAATATATTATATATTATATATAAACATATATATACACACACACACATATTTAAATCAGGGGACTGAAAAGATTAGATGGAAGCAAGGCTTTCCCAAAAATATGAGAATTAGAGGAGTAGAGAAAAGGAAGAAGAGGCTTTAAAAGGGTGTGTGTCTGTGTGTGAATGTTCTTGCTAGGCCATGGAGTGAGGTAGAGTCAGTCAGATTGTCATTAATTCATTCAGAAAATATTTATTGAGCACCTACTAGGTGCCAAGCAGTGCTTAAATCTGGAGAACCCAAGAGTGATCAACACAGGAAAAGTCCTTGTCCTCAGGGAGCTCACATTTTAGTAGGGTAGGCAGGCAGCACAGAAACCAAGAAATTGATCCACGTGATAATTTCATGTATGACAAATACTATGACAACAGAGAGGGGCTTGGGGGCCTATTTTTTTAGGTAGCTTGGTCAGGTAAGGCTGCAACGCTGAAGTTACATTTGAGCAGAAATCTAAACAAAGCGAGGGCGTTAGCCTGCAGATGTCTGGGGAAAGAATGTTCTAGGTAGCAGGAATGGCAGGTGCAAAGGCTGGAATAGAAGAAACTGGCATCCTAAAGGAACCAGCAGGGGCAAGTGTCGCTGAAGCATGGCGAGTAAGGAAGAAGTTTGGCAGGAGAAGCTGGAGCTAACCCAGGGCCAGATCATGCGGTATCTGTAAGTGACAGGAAATGATTGGAGGGAAATGACAGGACGTGATAACTCTTTTAAAAGAATCACCCTGGCTGCTGTAAGGAGACCAGTTGGAAAGATGTGGCAGCGATTCAGGCTGGAGATGAGGGTGGTTGAGCTGGGGTTGTGCAGGTGGCCTTGTCCCTGTGGACAGAGCGTGCCCTTGAACAGCAGTTGCATGTTGATCCTTTTGAATCACATCCTGGGGGTACACTTTGAGGTGCAGCTTTCTGACTCTCATGCTTGACAATGAGAATGAGATTAGCTGGAGTGGAAACAATTGACGGGTATGTGACAAAGAACATAGTGTCATTAGAGGCTCTCAGGAAAACCCTCAAATGGAAACTAAGACTGTGGCATCTCCTTGTAATTATTTTTCCTTGCCAAGGGAACAGATGGGATGACTGGATGACAAAGACTGCTCTTAAGGAACGCATGCCAAGGTGGCTCTCTCAGTTTACTTTCAGCTTCAAGGAACAGAAATCCAATCTAAACTGGCTTCCACAGTGAGGAAATCACCTCACATAACTGGAAGTGCAGGATTCAACCGGGAAGTTCAACTGGGATTCTGCTCGCTTGAATATTTTTATGTGCATCTCTTTATAGACAGAGCCCCCTAACCTGCTTGACATTTTCTTTTTTTCCTAACACTTGTCTTCTAGCATATGATGCAGTGTATTTACTTATTCTGTTTATTAGTGCTGTATTGTTTATTCTCACTAGAATTAAGCTCCATGAGTGCAGGGATCATTGTTTTGTTCACTAATGGATCCCAAGTGTCTAGAAAAGTGCCTGACACTTAATAAATGTTTGTTGAATGAAAGAGTAAAAGGGTGAAACATCTTCCCTTGGATTCCAAATGAGGAAAAAGGAGGGTCACCATGATCCTACAATTTCTCCCGTGGGGAATTCGATAAAAGGAAACTCTCCATTTATTGGAACAATTTCCTTATGGCCCCCAAAGGAACAAGACTATAAGCTGCAAACCAAACCCCTTTGTCATTTGTTCCCCAACCACTAATTGAGGAATACCAGGTTCAGGATGGTTCAAATGACCTTCAGGTTTGCCCAAGTGGTGGATGTTAGTTGGCAATGTATTTGATCAAGATTAAAGAGTGTGTGGTTCCTGGTTGGGCACGGTGGCTCACACCTGTAATCCCAGCACTTTGGGAGACCGAGGTGGGCAGATCACCTGAGGTCGGGCGTTCAAGACCAGCCTGACCAATATGGAAAAACCCCGTCTCTACTAAAAATACAAAATTAGCCGGCGTAGTGGCGCATGCCTGTAATCCTAGCTACTCTGGAGGCTGAGGCAGGAGAATCGCTTGAACCCAGGAGGCAGAGGTTGTGGTGAGCCAAGATCACGCCATTGCACTCCAGCCTGGGCAACAACAAGAGTGAAATTCCGTCTAAAAAAAAAAAAAAAAACAAAAATAGAGTGTGTGGTTCCTTTGACTGGTCTCAGCCCCTGAACTTTATGCCTTGACAACAGCATTCCTAACTCTGGCGGGCCCTACACACATGGAAAAAAGAAGCATGCAGTGCCACTCCCTTGAGACTGTGGATGTAGTTAGTTCTTTTTCTTTCAATATCTGCCTATTAACCTTACTTTACTATGTTCTGGGCACTGTGGAAGACGCTGGAGAGAGGATAATGACCAAGAGACGGTTCTGGTCCTCAAGCTTAGTGATGGGGTTCAGGGAGGCAGCCAGTTTAGCACAGGAGACAAACATATAAACAGATAATTATAATCAAACGTTATGGGTTTGGCATTAGAGGTATAGTGGGAAGAGTGATCAACTCCATGTGAGGGAAAAGGCAAAACTGCAGGGAGTGGGGGGGGGGCGTCTGTTAAGTAGGGTTCTAAAAGCTGAATAGGAGTTTGCCTGGCAAACATGGAATGGGAGTGGGCAGAGTGATACTCCAGGGAGAGAAAATAGCAGGTGGCAGTGTTACAGCTCTTTTACAATTTGTGTGGCAGGTTTCCCGGTTTTTACCAGAAAAATCTAAAGAAAAGAAAACAACAGGTACAAATATATGGATGTGGGAAGCAGCACTGTGTGTTTAACGAACTACAATTGGTTATGTATTGCTAGGGTACAAAGTGCTAGGAGGAGAAAATTGAGGCTGGAGAGGTGGGCAAGGGTCAAAGTATTCCTGCTTTGTATACTCTGCTTAGAGGTCTATGTTTGTTTTAGGTGACGCGTTTTCATCATGAGAGTGAGAAGATCAGATTTGTATTTAGAAAGATCACTCTGGCTGCCAGGGACAAGATGGATTTGAGAAGGGCAAGCTAGAGACCAGGAGATTCTAGAGAGAAAAATACTAAACCTAGGTAATATCTCACATTGACCACCAGGTGGAGCAAGTAGGCCAGGACAGCTCGGTTGCAGGCTGCTGGGGTAAGGAGGAAGGATAGGGTAGGAGAAAGCGCCAGCATGGGACTGATTCATAAGTTGGGTGTTCATAACTCTGGGAAGATCTGTAGTGAAGCACAAACAAGAGGCTACCTAAATGTCCACAAATAGAGGACCCACTAAATATCACAAAGCATTCACACACTGAATTCCCAGGCTCCAGCGAGGTAGATCTGTACGTATACACATGAAAACAAGCCCAGGTGAAAAAAGCAAGTTATAAAATACTGTGTACACTATGACCCTGTTGCGTAAATGTCTAGAAAGATGATCATAACATTAATATCAGTGGTAACTTTTGGAGAGCATTTTGGAGCTATTGAGTGTGTGTGTGTGTGTGTGTGTGTGTGTGTATTTGTCTTGGTCTGTTTGGGCTACTAGAATAAAATACCAGAGAATTAGTGACTTATAAATGCTAGAAGCTTATTTGTCACAGTTCTGGAGGCTGAGAAGTCCAAGATTTGGCAACCGGTGAGGGCAACTTCCTGGTTCATAGAGGGCACCTGCTTGTCGTGTCCTCACATAGCAGAAGGGCTGATGAGTCTCTTTTATAAGGGCACTAATCCCACTCATGAGGACTCCATCCTCTTGACCTAATTATTTCCCAAAGGTCCCAACTCCAAATATCACCTAGGGGGTTAGGAATTCAACATATGCATTTTCGGAGAACATAAGCGTTTAGTCCTTTGCAGTGTGTGTGTGTGTGTGTGTGTGTGTGTGTGTGTGTGTTGAATTTTGTCAAAATATAGTTGACATACAGTATGCTGGATATATTTAAAGTGCGCAGTTTAATACATTTTGACAAATGTATACACCTGTGAAGCCATTGCCACAATCACAATAATGAATATATCCATCACCCCCAAAGGTGTCTTTACTGCCCTTGAAAACCCTCCCTATCATCCTTTTCTGTCCTCCATCCCCAGGCAATGGCTGGTCTGCTTTCTGTCACTAACAGTTTGCATTTTCTAGAGTTGTATATAAATAGGATCATTCAGTATGTACTATTTTTGGCCTTGTGTCTTTCATTCAGCAATATTAATTTGAGGTTCATCCACATCGTTAAGGGTATAAATAATTAATTCATTTTAGTTGCTAAATAGCATTACATTGTATGGCTGTATCACAATTTGCTTATCCATTTATCTGCTGATAGACATTTGGATTGTTGAGGGTTTGGGGCTATTATGAATAATGCTTCTCTGAACATTTGTGTTCCAGTCTTTGTATTTGCACATGTTTTCATTTATCTTGTGTAAATATGTACCTAGGAGTGGAATGGCTAGGTCATATGGCAGGTATACGTTTAATTTTGTAAGAAACTGCCAAACTGTTTTCCAAAGCAGTTTTACCATTTTACATCCCAGCAGCTGTATGTGAGTATTCCAGTTTTCCTATATACTTGCCAATATCTGGCATGGTCAGACTTTTAAATTTTAGGTCTTCCAATGGGAAATTTTTATTTCTTTAATGACTGATGATGATGTACATTTTTTCATATGCTTATTTGCCATCCATAGATCTTCTTTGGTTAAGTGTCTATGCAAATTTTTGTTGGCCATTGACATTTACATTTTACTTTATACTTCCATAAAGTTATACCATTTTTACAATGACCATATGTCTCTTTTATATTTAAAAACATCAATTTAAAATATCTCAACCCAGAAGACATCAATAACTATGATTTGAACTTTAAACTTACTAGCAGTATATTATGCTAAGGTGAAGGCAAATCTTGATTATATCATTAAAAGATAAAACATTTGATTTTAACATCTGGTTTCAAATTATTAGAAATAACCTCAAAACCAATGCAATTTTTATTTCCATAGATTATTACGTTTGAGAGATATCATGAGTTTAGACTCAAATGAACCTGGCTTCAAATTCCAGCTCTTTTACTTATCAGCTGTGCAATCTTCGGCAAATTCATTTTTGAAATCATCAAGAAGCAAGGCCAAAAATAGTACACATTGAATGGTTCTATTTATATATAATTCTAGAAAATGCAAGAGCTTCTTCCATTTTCTTCTTTTAGAAATCTGACATATCATTTACTGCATAGGTTCATTTTGAGGTTTAAATTGATATTATATTTAACCAGTCAGCGCAACAACTAGCATGTAGTATGTACTCTACAAATATTAGAGCTTCTATGACAAGACAGTTTGATTGTCTTGGCAACCAAATTGCTGCATGCTCAAAATTCAAGCTAGTCGGTGAAATACAGCACAGTCACAGTATTTTGTAAAGGAACTGTTGAAACCGTTGTCAAGGCAGGCAACATCCTTTGTGATAACAGAGATCTCTCCCTTACCCCATTTATTTTTAAAGACTCTGAAAGAAAAGCTCTGGTTTGCGTTTGGTTTTGAGGAAACAAACAAACAAACAAACAAAAACAGGTACAGGAAACTTAGGTTGAAATGGACTTTTTGAGCATCTAGCACATATTGGCTTTCTTTGTAGAACCCTCAGTATCTTCTGTTGCTCAAGCCACCAAATGATCTTGCAGATGCTCATGGTACCCTGCAGGATGGTTCAGAGGTAGTACAGAGCTACTGTTTTACATGTTTCAAATTGGAGTTATTGTCAAGTTAGTGTTATTTGGGATAGTGTCATTCATAAATGCTGTATATTACATAATGCAGTGGAAGAATCATGGCAGTAACAGGGGCAGGAGGCAGAGAAATTCTAGGGGGACAGGGGTGGGTCCCCAGTGAAACCTCACCTTCAAGCCAAAAAAACAGCCTGAAACCCATGGCCCAGAGTGAGAACTTCTATTCCTGTTTGTCTGCTCTTTCCCAATTGGTTCTTTCTGAATAATGCCTTTTAACCAATCAAATGTTGCCTTTTCCAGTACTACCTATGGCCTGTCTCACCCCCATCCTGTGCCTATAAAAACCCCAGATTCAGCCACAATGACAGAGACAACCTGACTTTGGGGAAGAGACGACTTGACTTCGGGGAAGATAAGCTGATCTTCTCATCCCCTCTCCAGCTCTCTCTCTGCTGAGAGCTGTTTTTGTTGCTCAATAAAATTCTCCGCTGTCATTACCCTTCAATTGTCAGCGTGACCTCGTTTTTCTTGGATGCTAGACAAGAGCTCAGGACCCACCAAGTGCAGGTACCCAGAAAGGCGGTCACAGTGGCCCTTTGCCCTCACTGGCGGAGGGCAGCCACCCCATGAGATGGGGCCAGGGGCCGACTGAGCTGCTAACATGCCACCATCTGTCAGGCTGTGGATGGCATAATTAAAAGAGCTAATTATCCCACTAACACCCACTCTGGGGCTTTGGGGTTGCAGGCATCCCAGCCTGGGCACCACCACATTTCCCTTGGGGTGACATGCCTGGTCTGGGCACAGGCCCCGCACAGAGCTTGCTCCTGTGTTGGTGCTCAGAGTGGCTGGCTGAACCCCACACTCACTCACTCATGTGCTTCCTCCTGCAAGGGGCTGAGCGTGGTGGGCTGAGTAGACGGGGTGCCCCTTGCTTCTAGTCCAGCAAAGGAGCCGAGAAGAATCCTTCATCAGCAGCTACACCCAAAATGAAGCTTTTGAAAGGGAGACATGAGGAACACCAGCTGAACACATGGCTAAAGAAAGGGAATCAAGACAGCTGCATGTCAGGCCCTTGAATTTCTAAGGGGTCCCAATCTACAGGCTGTCCCATCCCCTCGAGCCCCATGGTTATTTGCCCCTGTCTCTATTATAGCATCAATGACCTGGCATGAGGGTTGCTTGTTCCATAAGCTGCGAGTTCCTAAGGAACTTAAGGTTTAAGTTCTTAAGGATTGTTGCTTGCGTGTTTTTCACTTTTCTATATGACTAGCATCTGGCACAAAGCAAATGCTCAATAAAGTTTATATATTTAAATATAACAGAAAAGGATAAAAAATGTTTGCTATCCACAAACAGCTGCCTTGTAAGAAGAGTATGTTCTGCATCAATAAAAAGTCTTTTTATTCAACGGGGCACCTGGGAGCATTAGGAGCTGAGTCTAGAGGTTGGGGCTTGCATGAGTGGAGAGAATTTGGAGTTCAAGTATAGCAGACCATGGGGAGGGAGGGTCAGTGGGGATCCAGTGAGACACTACATAGAGCAAAGCGGCCATAATACATCTTCAGGGCCTGGTGGCCAAAGAGTTTTATTTTGTTTCATTTCGTTTTTACAAGGATGTGTCAAAGTTCATGTTGAAGTTCTTTGAATTTCAGCAGAGTAAACCTCTCCTTGGGGCTCCAATAACTTCAGTAAATTCTGCACATTTGAATTACTTTGTAAGTGTGGGCTTTCCATAGAAACCAAAGAAGGGGTTGAGTTTTCATCTGGGTCAGAGACAGAAAGGTGAGACTTTTCATGAATGAAGTAGCTTGGTAGAGTGTTAGGAGTTGGAGGCAGAAGAGGCTATAACAAAATAAACTTAAGAAAGCAAACTCCTGGGGTATTTGGGGGAAATCTTGGGTAAGGCATTTAAACATCCCCCTAGGACATGAATTTGTAAGTTTCTACCTCATTTTATGTATGATGTAGTGAGACTGCAGCTGACATCTAGTATACAGCAGGAAGGAAAGTGGGTAAAAAAATGTAGAAAGAATACAGTGAGGGGAAGATGTCCTTCCCACTGTTGATGAAAAGAGCCAGACATCGTAAAATATTTGAAGAGGTTTATTCTGATCCAAATATGAGGCCCATGGCCCATGACACAGCCTCAGGAGATCCTGAGAATATGTGCCAAAGATGATTGGGTTACAGCTTGGTTTTATACATTTTTAGAGAGACAGAAGTTACAGGCAAAGCCATAAATCAATATATGTAAGGTATACATTGGTTGAGCCTGGAAAGGCAGGACATCTTGAAGATCTTGAAAGTGGGGTGACTTCCAGATCATAGATAGATTAAAGATTTTCTGATTGGCAATTGGTTGAAAGAATTAAACTATGCCTGAAGAGTTGAAGTTGGCATAAAGAAATGCTTGCGTTAAGATAAGGGGAGTGGTGGAAGCCAAATTCTTGTCATGTAGATGAAACCTCTAAGTAACAGGTTTCAGAAATAACAGATGATAAATGTCTCTTATTAGACCTTACAAGGTGTCAGATTCTCAAGTAAAGAACTAGTAAGGGAAGGAGATTCTCTGCAGAATGCAAATTTCTCCTACTGGAGATTGCTTCTCAGGGCCATTCCAAAATATGACAAGGAATATATTGTGGGGTAAAATACTTTAATTTCCTTCAGGGCCTGCTATCTGTCATGTGATGCTATCTATACCAGAGTCAGGTTGGAGCTGGGTATCTTGTTCCTACAAAGAGTTTGTTGAGTTTGTTGGGTATCTTGTTCCTACCAAGAGATCAGTCTTATGATCTCTGTTTTAATGTTAATGCTGGTCGGTTGGGCCTAAACTCCAAAGAGAGGAGGGTACAGCAGGCATGTCTGACTCCACCTTCTTGTCATGGCCTCAACTAGTTTTTCAGGTTTCTTTGGGATCCCCCTCGCCAACAGAGGTTCCATTCAGTCAGTTGGGAAACCCTCAGGCTTTCTGGTTATTTGATAGCCTAAATCCTATATAAAAGAAAAGAGAGCCAACAACATAGGACAATGTAATAATGAATGAAGGGAACAAACAGTAGCACAAAAGTTTAGGGAGGGGAGCAGAAGTTCTCACCTAAGAACTAGCCTTGAAGGATGGATCTACTGCTTAAGTTTATTTTTTCTTTAAGATGTAATTCTTTATATGTAAAGTCATATGTAAATTGCTTATCTATTTTTTTTCTCTTGTTGGGAGGGATGGGTGGATAGTAGGCTTTGGTTCTGAAGTCAGACAGATCAGCTGTTAAATCCTGGCTCCTCTACCTATCAGCTGTGTGATTTTAGCCAAGTTACTTAAGCTCACTGAGCCTCATTTGTAAACTGGAGATAATAAAAGTACCCAACTCATAGGGTTGTTATGAGAGTAACTTTTTTTTTTTTTTTAGAGAGGGCTTCTCACTCTATTGCCCAGGCTGATGTGCAGTAGCCATTCACTGGTGAGATCATCACGCGCTACAGCATCAAACTCCTGGCCTCAAGTGATCCCCCTGCCTCAGCCTCCGAAGTAGCTGGGATTACAGGTATGTGCCATTGTGCCCAGCTTGCTGGGAGAGTTAAACAAAATAATCTATGAAAAGTGCCTAGCATAGGACCTGGCACATAGTACATGCTCGGTAAAATAGTATCCATTTTTATGTAAGTTTATTGAACACCACTTGCAAAACATGGAGAAAAGCAGAACTGAAAACCATCAATAGTTCTACCACCCAAAGAAGAAAACCACAGTTAACATTTTTGAGTATGTTTTTCCAGTTTTCAGTCAATGCCTAGTTTGCCTTTCTTTCCTTTTTGTGTTGCCTGTCATTCTGAATACAAAATTTAAATCCTAATTTTTATTTAGATAGCATAAGAATTTTTCCATCCTATTATAACCTTTACAAAACATTTTTCATGACTGCAATGCATTACATTGAGTTAATATATTGTAATTTACTGAATCATTCTCCTATTGTTAGACCTTTGTGTGGATTCCAGTTTTTTTTTCCTTGTCTAAAAAGCTCAGTAATAAGCCAGTCTGTGCATAAATGTTTTCCTTTATTTTGTATTATTTCTTTAGAAATGATTTCCAGAAATGAAGAAGTATGGGCAATTTTAATGTTCCTAGTGTTGCCAAAATAATTCCGAAGGCACGTGGAGAAGGAGCTTTTATCTCCAATTGCTTCTCTGAGCCCCTTCTTTCTTTCCTCGTTTCCAAGTGAAGGAAGAGGAAGAGGAGGAATATGATTGACCAGAGGCCCAGGCGCTTGTTGGGTTACCTTTACCGTGGGCGGGGTCACTGGGCAGAAAGAAGTCTGGAGACGGATACAGTGTCTCCTTTCTCTGCCAATCTGTTGAGTGCATTCCCAGATGAAAACTGACCCAGAACATGGACCCTTAAAGGAAGCCTGGGCCTTTCCTTGGCTCTCTTTTCTCCCATGCAGCAAGCGGGTCTGACTCCTGCCCGGGTAGATCCTTGCTAAGCTCAGAGGCAAATGCATTTTCTGCTGAGGTCTCTTTCTCTGTGGCTTCGTCGCATACAGCTCTGATAGATGTGCACCGTGTCATCTTTCTCTGCAAAATGGCCCACCCAAGATTCAGGTTGGGGAGAAGTTGAACCTTTACGTGTCTAGCCTTGGCTGTGCAGAACAGTTTCACACACCAGAATTCTGCTTTGGGGTTTGGGGCCTAAAGCCCAGCTAACAATAAGACTCTTTCTGGGTGTCACCTCCCTTCGGGACTGCCTGGGGGAAGTTTCTTCATTTGTGGAAGCTAGTGATAATGAAAGTCTCAGGTGGGATTTAGGTGTTCTCAGGATCTCTGGCTGCATTGTCCAAAATACTCTGGATTGTCGGTGACAGAACTGCAGCCCAGTTACCTCAAGGAAAGTTGGTAAATGTTTAACAACTGGCTTGCCAGGAAAAAAAAAAAAGAAAAAAAAAAAGGCCTGATTTGTAGTGCTTAGTGTTTGCAGAGTTCCATGGGCTGGAAACTCCCATCGGTAGACTGAGAGTAAATACTTCCGCCAGGGCTGATTTCAAGCTCCCAACCATTTAACAACCAGTTTACAAAATTCCTGAACATTTAACAATAGGCTGTTGCAAGCCAGAGAATCCCACTCTAGCACACTAAATGAAAAATGTAAAAAAGAGCAAAATGATTCACTCACTTCTGCAACATGTGGGAAGAGCAGGGACACAGAACGTGACCTCAGGAAGGAAGAGAACCAGGGAAACGAAGGCCAATAGGGTTCTCTCTGCAAACCAACCTAGTTTTTCCCAACTACAGATCCACTCTCTCTGTGTTTCAAGAGACGTCATGCCAGCAGCTGCCAGAGTTACAGCCTCACCAATTCCCAACCAGAGAAGAAGGAGGGCTTCGGTGCTGGTTTGAAAAATCCCAGTGCCAGGTTGGCCAGTCTTTAATTGTGTACTCTCCCCTGGGGTCAGAGGGTAGGTGCACTGCCTGAGGATCATGGGGTCTGTCAGGAGGTGGGGAGGGAGGGTTGCTGGCCAGGAAAAAAAAACCACTAATCCCATTACAGTGACCATCTCAATGCCATCAGAACCTCGTTCCCATTTCTGCTAGTCTCCAGAGTGGCCGAATCAAGGATAGCATGAAGAAGCTGTTTCACCCGTGTTTTGGCATTATATTTTATAGTTTTCTTTTCTTTTTTTTTTTGGGATAGTCTCACTCTGTCACCCAGGCTGGAGTGCCGCGGTGAGATCATAGCTCACTATAGCCTTGAACTCCTGGGCTCAAACCGTTCTCCCACCCAGGCCTCCCAAAGTGCTGGGATTACAGGAGTTTTCTTTATTGTGTTTGATCTCAGCTAATTTCACAGGCAAAAATAATAATCTATTGATATTTTAAGTACTTCTCTCTTTCCTTTTCTTTTCTTTCCTTTTCCTTTCCTTCCTTCCTTCCTTCCTTCCTTCCTTCCTTCCTTTCTTTTTTTGATGGAGTCTCACTCTGTTGCCCAGGGTAGCGTGCAGTAGCGTGATCTCTGCTCACTGCAATGTCTGCATCCCAGGTTCAAGTGATTCTCCTGCCTTAGACTCCTGAGTAGTTGGTACTACAGGCGCGCGCCAACATGCCTGGCTAATTTTTGTATTTTTTTGCATAGAGATGGGATTTCACCATGTTGGCTAGGCTGGTCTTGAATTCCTGGCCTCAAGTGATGCGCCCACCTCAGCCTCCCAAAGTGCTGGGATTACAGGCATGAGGGAGCCATCATGTCCGGCCTATTTCCACTTCTTACGTCACAAGTGAGGTTAGCAATATGTTCCTAAATGTGAAGTAATTGTATTTCCTCTTTTGTGAATGTTTGGATCTTTTGTTCATTTACCTTATGGATAAGTTATTTTTAAATCTCTTTATTCAACAAATATTTACTCATTTGTTGTTATAGGCCAAGCATTTATAGATGCAGAAAATATAATAGTAAACAAGGCAGACAGCATTCCCATCTTTAGAGTACTTACCCTCTATTGGTATGGCCTGTTTAGAAAACAATACACTAAGTCTTGCTTGTCATACTCACAATGAATATTTTTCCTATAAGCTGTTTTTATTCTTCCATACAGTTGTTTTACATTTTTATGTGGTTGAATCTGGCCTACTTTCCCCTTTTACACAAGCTTTTTCTTCCATGCTTAGAAATTTCATTTCCTCAGCAAAATTTTAAGATATGATTCATTTTCATTATTTCTGATTTTCCTAGTCATGAAACTTTGTATGCAATTATTTAATTTATTTATAATTTATCATAGTGTGTGGGGTGAGCTGAGCGTCTACACTGGTTATTTTTTCCAAACATTGAACACTTACTGAACTGTACCTTTTTTCATTGATTTGAATAGATGACAATAGGCAGAACATTGATCAGTGGAGAGGTGAGATGAAGGTTGTTGAAGGGCAATTGGAGTTGCTCAGTTTAGGTAATTTGGTAAGGGAAATGGCAAGGAAATTTGTACATACAAGGCATTAATGCAGGCAGAGTTTGTCTGGAATAAAAGGTCCATATATTGTAGTGATTCTTAACCAAGGATGGACAAACCTGTTGACTAGGGAGCTCTAAAGACATACTCACGCCTGGGCTGTACCATTAGGAGGTTTAATGTACAGCTGGAACTCATTTATTTATCTTTTTGAAGCAGGGTCTCACTCTGACACTCAGGCTGGAGTACAGTGGCATGATTACTGTTCACTGCAGCTTCAACTTCCCAGGCTCAGGTGATTCTCCTACCTCAGCCTCCCTAGTAGCTGTGACTACAGGTGTGTGACCCACCACGCCCAGCTAATTTTTTTGTATTGCTTGTAGAGATAGGGTTTTGCCATGTTGTTCAGGCTGGTCTCGAATTCCTGGGCTCAAGTGATCCTCCTGCCTCAGACTCCCAAAGTGCTGGGATTACAGGTGTGAGCCACCACTGCTGGCCAACTCATCCGTTATTTATTTTATTATTATTATTTTTATTTTATTTATTTATTTTTAGACAGAGTCTCGCTCTGTCGCCCAGGCTGGAGCACAACTAATGTGGGAAATTGTGGCAGATAAAGCTGGTCTGGTAAGTAGGGAGCAGATTGAGAGAGATGGCAATGCCAAGCTGAATCTAGTTGTGGGTTCAGGAAGCCTCTGAGGGCACAGCTGAAAGAGCATGGACTTTGGACTCAAGCAGATAGAGGTTTTGATACTATTTTTACTGATTTCAGGCTATGTTTTCCAGTTTGCAGGTCCTCTCTCAGAGTCTTGCTTTTTTTTTCTTTCTTTTTTTCACCTCGAACAAAATTAATAATATCTACTTAATAGGCTGTGATGAGTCAATGGGAAGTCAAGTATAAAATACCTGGCTCAGCACCTTATGCGTAAATGAATTCTGCCTTCTTCCTCTTGAATGAGCCTTTGGCCTATGCCAGGCCTGCCTCATGGTTGCCTTTGGGATGAACTAATGTAAGACATTTCCGGAGAAAACATGCAAATACATGTCAAGATGATAAATGGAAAGAGATCCAAGTTGTCCTTTAATCCCAGAGGTTTCCAAAACCTTCAAAGAGGTTGTACTTTTTAGGAGAGGAACTCTTCTTCCTTAGAGAAATGGAGAGAAGCTTTGAATTTCCCAAAGGCCTTGCCTTCATAGCTTGACAAAGGCAAAACTTGGCTCCACTACAAGCCACCTCAGCTCAGTTGCAGAGATAATCCTTGCCCCTGGGCAGCTTAGCCTGGGAACCAAGGTCAGCTGTTATGAAAATAACACAGCCATAGTCATTTTTATAAAAGAAAATTCCTCATTCAAATCTGTTTACAGAGCAAAGAATCTCCTTTCTTGAAGATGGAAAATACCATTCCTTCTCAGAAGATCCACCCTCCTTAACTTTGTATCATTGATATTCATTCAGTGATTTGACAAATATTTATTGATATCACTTCTGTTTGACAACTACTTTGGAACTGGCCTCTCTCTACAGTAATAATTTTAAACCAATTTTCCACGCCTCCTTGTATTATAAATTGACACCAAATATTTATTTTGGGATTGGGTACTAATCAGCATTCCTTGGAGGTCACCCAACCAAGAGGTAATGTGACTGGAAGAAAGGGAGAAAGGTTTAAAATCAGACACACATAGTCTCAAACCTTGACTCTCGATGGGGACAAGCCATGTGACTTTAGGCTAATCGTGAAGACACTCTGACCCAGCTTTATTTTTCTCTAAAATGAGAATAATGTCTTTCTCACTCTAAAGCCAGTTTTCTCTTCTTCAGAGTGGCATTCAGTTGGGTGGAGAGGAGGAAAGAGCTCATTCATCCCAGAAGATGGGAACTGGTGAGGTACCAGAGGGACAGAAAGAGACCAACCAGCTTGCCCAATAAGCGGGGAGGGAGGTGTGTTTGGGAACAATGAGAAGTTACATTGGAACAGTGGAAGAAGAGCGCTTCTGCTTGATACACAGATCACAAAAGCACCCCTGGGTGATGGTGGGGCTTCAGCTGCAGAGGATGAACACATTGAGACAACTTGCAGCTGAACTGAAAGCCTCCTGAGAATGGAGGGTTCTTTTTTGCTCTGCTTTTACTGGACTCAGAGAAATAGATCAAGAGAGGATGGCTTTGTGTGTGTGTGTGTGTGTGTGTGTGTGTGTGTGTGTGTGTGATGGAATTTTGCTCTTGTGGCCCACGCTGGAGTGGAATGGCATGATCTCAGCTCACTGCAACCTCAGCCTCCTGGGTTCAAGTGATTCTCCAGCCTCAGCCTCCCCAGTAGCTGGGATTACAGGCTCCCACCACCACGCCTGGCTAATTTTTTGTAGTTTTAGTAGAGACGGGGTTTCACCATGTTGGCCAGGCTTGTCTCGAACTCCTGACCTCAGGTCATCCACTCGCCTCAGCCTCCCAAAGTGCTGGGATTACAGGCATGAGCCACCATGCCCTGCCGATGGCACTTTTTTCACTTGAAGAAAGAACGAGGAGACCTAGGCTTATTGAATCAAGAGGGTCTTAAGTTAGATAGTAATACTGACTTCCTCACTGTGAGAAAAGTACAGGATTATGTTACCTCACCAAGGAGTTTCCTTTCTAAGAGACTTGAAATCTCCTAGCTGGCAGAGGCTCAGAAGGAAGTTCCTTAGTGACTCTCAATCTCTTTCATGTACAGCAGGTCTTGAATAACGTCTTTTCATTCAATGTAGTATTGTTATAAAGTTGGTGAGAAAAAAAACAGTGGATTCCCAGCCGGGTCACTGTTTGTATGGAGTTTGCAGGCTCTCTCCATGTCTGCGTGGGTTTTCTCCAGGTACTTTGGTTTCCTCCCGAAGATGTGCAAGTCAGTTTCACTGGCATGTCTCAATGGTCCCAGTAAGAGTGAGTGTGGGCATCGGTGTGGGTGTGAGTGTGCCCTGTGATGGAACAGCATCCTGTCCAGGGTGGTTTCCAGTCTTGTGCCCTGAGCTGCTGGGAGAGGCTTCTGCCACCTACAACCTTGAACTGGAATAATTGGGTAAATAATTATCTTTCTTGTTTTTATTAATCTTTCTTAAATGTATGTGTAGCTCACAGGTATTTTAGTGTTTACTATGAGAAGTGTTTTGGTCTTTAGAAGTTTGGTGACACTTTTTTTTTTTTTTTTTGAGACCGAGTCTTGCTCTGTCACCCAGGCTGGAGTGCAGTGGCATGATCTCGGCTCACTGCAACCTCTGCCTCCCTGGTTCAAGCAATTCTCCTACCTTAGCTTCCCAAGTAGCGGGAACTACAGGCGTGTGCTAACACATCCAGCTAATTTTTGTATTTTCAGTAGAGATGGGGCTTCATGATGTTGGCTGGGCTGGTCTCAAACTCCTGACCTCAGGTAATCTGCCCGCCTTGGCCTCCCAAATTGCTGGGATTACAGGCTCAGATAAGCCACCACGCCTGGCCTGTTTGGTGATACTTTTGTGGCCAGAAATAGGGTGTAGAAACTTAAGTCGTGTTTATATCAATTAGCCTATGGTCAAATTGGTTTTGTTATATGTCATTTTGCTTAAAGTTGCAATTTCCAAGAACCTATGAACAGTGATAAGTGAGGACTTAAGCATACTAGATAAGTCTACTGAGTTATTGCAGTGTCACTGTGGTTGAAAGTTTCCTGGTGAGCTCTGGTTCCCTCGCTGTCAACTACCCCTCTTTTTGGCAGAATCCCTTCAGAGGTGAATCTGCATTTTAAACAGCAAGCTCCTCATTCTGGCTGCTGGGTCCTGCGTGATACTCCAAAGCCATGGAGATGCTGGGCCTGGTGCACTTGCCCTTCCCTCAAGGGATCCTGCTGGTCATGGACCTATACAATGAAGGGATCCAGGGGACTGATTGGAAGTCAGAATCCAAACACTAGACTCTCTATCATTTTGAAGGTAGAGGAATTAAACCAAAGAAATATACTACTGCATTTATATACAATTCTGGTATCACTTTAAGACCTGATGATTTTTTAGAGCAAAAAGTCCAATGTAAAGAAATAGTTTCCAATGCGGCTAAACCTCAAAGGATAACCAAGTGTTAATGGTTAGGGACACCAGCCTACACAGGGCAATGAGATTCAGTTTACTAAGCAGCTTCTGGGCTCTTACTAGGTGGCAGGTCTTGTGCTGGGTACTGGGTGATGGTGGTGGTGATGGGAGAGATACAGAGATAATAGTGATAATGACATTGATAATAACATCACATGTCCTGAGAGCTGATTACTTGCCGGGCATTGTGCTAATTTATTTGTTAATTTAATAAATAAACAGGGCAACATAAATACTTGCTGAATGAATTGTTTACTTGCACAAGCTCTCCTGGCCTCCTTTCTGTTTCTTGGATGCACCTCAGGGCCTTTGCATTTGCTCTTTTGTTCTGCCTGGAAAGCTCTTCTTCCATGTATTTGGTTGGCTGGCTCCTCACTCCTTCAGGTCTTTCCTCCAATGTCACCTTCTCAGTGAAGTCCTGACCACTTAATCTAAAATTATAACCCCTATCCCGATTCCAAACCCTTTCTGTTCCTATTTCTCCATTTCACTTTTTCCTCTTAGCACTTAGTACTACTGTATCTAGGATGCTGCCTTTAACTTTTTTTTTTTTTTTTTTGAGATGGATGGAATCTCACTCTGTTGCCTAGGCTGGAGTGCAGTGCCATGATCTCCAGAGTGCAGTGGCACAATCTTGGCTCACTGTAACCTCTGCCTCCTGGGTTCAAGCGATTCTCCTACCTCAGCCTCCCTAGTAGAGTAGCTGGGACTGCAGGTGCATGCTACCACACCTGGCTAATTTTAGTATTTTTAGTAGAGATAGGGTTTTCACCATGTTGCCCAGGCTGGCCTCGAACTCCTGCCCTCAGGTGATCCACCCCCGTCAGCTTCCCAAAGTGCTGGGATTACAGGCGTGAGCCACCACGCCCGGCCATGCTGACTTTTACTAATGTACTATTGTCTGTCTCTCTTGCTAGCCTGAGAGCTCCACGATGGTAGGGACTTTGGACTGCGTTGTTCACTTCTGTAGCCCCTTGGCCTAGGTCTGATGCTCAAATTTGCTCCATGAATTGAATAAAAGATATTATTTCTTAGTGTTAGTTATGTGCTCCACCCAACAATTAGCAGCAGGATAGTGTAGTGAACGAGGCAGACAAGGTTGTTCCCTCCAGAGTCCTATGGCTTGTTGAGGATAAGATACTGAACTAATTACACAATAATCTCCATTCTCCTGAAATAGAACATGCTGGGTGCTTTACTGATATCATGTCGCTGAAACCTTACCACAACCCTAGGATGTGGGTACTATAATCCCTAGTTTACAGATGCTATCTTTGTTTTTCTACAGTTGAAAATACCCAGATAGCCTCTGACTTACAGAGAGAATGGACTTTTTTGTTGGCACATATTGATGATAAGTGTATATATGTAACTTACCATTATAATGGCCTTTTTTGTATTTAATGCTTCCCATAAATACTGTTAATTATTCATCCTACTTTATAAATGAGAGAAGTTAGATAACTTACCAGAGCCACACACCTACTAACTCTTCTAGATGGCATCAGACCCAATCCATATCCTTAAAATTCTTCTCCATTGTAAGGAATCCAAATGATGGGGGCACTAGTTGGACAGGGAGGGGTAGTCAGGGACTATATTCTTCTAGAGAAAGAGACCATTGGGACTCACAGGTGGTAGCACTAGGGAGAAGAGCTTGAACAAAGGACAAAGGCTTGCAGGTGGCTGTAGGGCAGGGAGTGGTGGGTTGAGTAGAATCCTGGGTGGGTGATGAGGCATAGTTTCCACATCTCCAACCCTAACCACCCCCACACTCCTGGCCATTATGGTTTGATTCTAATAAGGAGATATGGCAGAGCCCTGAGCAAGGCAAGGGCAGGATGAAATAGGGCTTCTACAGCTATTTTTTCATCCTACTTATTTAGAAATCCATCGTGTCCATGCACCTCTTCTATTTTCTTGGTTAAATTAGCAACATGTGTTTATGCGTATTATCTGAACCTATCATAGAACATTGCATTTATATATAATACCCACTTCTACTAACCACTTTCAAAGCTTTGAGACTTCCCCAACATTGTGTCCACCTAAAGAGTGGGTACCCTGGGCTGGGTGTGGTGGCTCACGCCTGTAATCCCAGCACTTTGGGAGGCCAAGGCGGGCGAATCATGAGGTCAGGAGTTTGAGACCAGCCTGGCCAACATGGTGAAACCCCATCTCTATTAGAAATACAAAAATTAGTCAGATGTAGTGGCGCATGCCTGTAATCCCAGCTACTCAGGAGGCTGAGGCAGGAGAATTGCTTGAACCCGGGAAGTGGAGGTTGAAGTGAGCTGAGATCGCCCCACTGCACTCCAGCCTGGGTGACAGAGAGAGACGCCATCTCAAAAAACAAACAAACAACAACAAACAAACAAAAAAAGAACCCTGACAATGCAGGATGCTGAGAATCAGAACTCTAGCATTCTCATAATTTTTTTATTTTTAATTTTTGTGGGTGCATAGTAGGCATATATATTTATGGGATATATGAGATATTTTGATACAGGCATAAAATATGTCATAATCACATCAGGGTAAATGGGGTATCCATCACCTCAAGCACTTATCCTTTGTGTTACAAGCAATCCAATCACACTCTTTTAGTTATTTTACAATGTATAATTAAATTTTTATTGACCATAGTTACCCTATTGTGCTATCAAATACTAGGTTTTATTCATTCTTTTGAACTATTTTTTGGTACCCATTTGATGTAGTGTGGATATTTGTTCCTGCTCAAATCTCATGTTGAAATGTAATCCACAATGTTGGAGGCGGGATCTTGCGTGAGGTGTTTTGGGTCATGGGGTGCAGATCCCTCATGTCTTGGTGCTGTCCTTGCAGTAGCAAGTGAGTACTCATAAGGTCTGGTTGTTTACATGTGTGGCATCTCCCCACGACTGTCTCTTGCTCCTGCTCCTGCTTTGTGAGACGCCTGCTCCTCCTTCAGCTTCTGCCATGGTCGTAAGCTTCCTGAGGCCTCCCTAGAAGCAGATGCCAGCACTATGCTTCCTGTGTGGCCTGCAGAACCATAAGCCAATTAAACCTCTTTTCCTATAAATTACCCAGTCTCAGGTATTTCTTCATAGCAATGTAAGAACGGACTAACATACCATTAACCATCTCCACTTCCCCCTTACTCACCCACCCACAATTCCACTACCCTTCCCAGCCTCTAGTAACCATGTATCTCCACGAGTTCAATAGTTTTAATTTTTAGCTCCCACAAGTAAGTGAGAAAATGCAAAGTTTGCCTTTCTCTGCCTGGCTTATTTTACTTAACATAATGACCTCTGGTTCTATCCATGTTGTTGCAAATGACAAGATCACATTCCTTTTTATGTCTAAATAGTACTCCATTGTGTATAACTAACACATTTTCTTTGTCCATTCATCTCTTGATGGGCTTTAAGTTGCTTCCAAATCTTAGCTACTGTGAACAGTGCTGCAACACACATGGGAGTGCAGATATCTCTTTGACATACTGATTGCCTTTCTTTTGGGTGTATACCCAGTAGTAGGATTGCTGGATCATATGGTATCTCTATTTTTAGTTTTTTGAGGAACCTCCAAACTGTCCTCCATAGGGTTGTACTAATTTCCATTTCCGTCAATGGTGTATAAGGCTTCCCTTTTCCCCACATCCTTGCCAGCCTTTGCTATTGCCTGTCTCTTGGATGGAAGCCATTTTAACCAGGGTGAGATGCTATCTCATTATAGTTTTGATTGGCATTTCTCTAATGATCAATGATGTTGAGCATCTTTTCATATACCTGTTTGCCATTTGTATGTCTCCTTTTGCAAAATGTCTATTCAGATCTTTTGCCCATTTTAAAATCAGATTATTCGATTTTTTCCTAAAGAGTTGTTCGAGCTCCTCATATATTCTGGTTATTAATCTCTTGTCAGATTGATAGTTTAGAAATATTTTCCCCAATTCTAGGGTTGTCTCCTCACTTTAGTGATTGTTTCCTTTGCTGTGCAGAAGCTTTTAAACTTGATGTGATCCCATTTGTTCATTTTTGCTTTGATTGCCTATGCTTGTGGGGTATTACTCAAGAAATGTTTTCCCAGTCCATTGTCCTGGAGAGTTTCCTCAATGTTTTATTATAGTAGTTTCATAGTTTGAGGTCTTAGATTTAAGTCTTTAATCCCTTTTGATTTGATTTTTATATATGGTGAGAGAGAGGGATCTAGTTTCATTCTTCTGCATATGGATATTCAGTTTTCCCAGCACCATTTATTGAAGAGGCTGTCCTTTCCCCATTGTGTGTTCTTGGCACCTTTGTCAAAAATTTGTTCACTGTAGATGTATGGATTTGTTTCTGGGTTCTGTATTCTGTTTCATTGGTCTATGTGTCTGTTTTTATGCAAGTACCACACTATTTTGTTAACTATAGTTCTGTAGTGTAATTTGAAGTCAGGTAATGTGATTCCTCCACTTTTGTTCTTTTTGCTCAGGATAGCTTTGGCTATTCTGGGTCTTTTGTGGTTCCATATAAATTTCAGGATTTTGTTTTCTATTTCTGTGAATAATGTCATTAGTAGTTTGACAGGGATTGCACTGAATCTGTAAATTGCTTTGGCTGGTATGGAGATTTTATCAATATTTATTCTTCCAATCCAGGAACATGGAATATCTATCCATTTTGTGTGTATGTCCTCCTCAATTTCTTTCACCAATATTTTATAGTTTTCACAGTAGAAATCTTGGTTAATTACTAGGTATTTAGTTTTATTCATAGCTATTGTAAATGGGATTGCTTTCTCAATTTCTTTTTCAGATTGCTCGCTGTTGGCATGTAGAAATGCTATTTATTTTTATATGTTGATTTTATTTTATGCTTTTGTTTGTTTTGTTTTGTTTGTTTGTTTGTTTTGAGACAGAGTCTCGCTCTGTTGCCCAGGCTGGAGTGCAGTGGACAGTCTTGGCTCACTGCAACCTCTGCCTCACAGGTTCAAGCAATTCTTCCTGCCTCAGCCTCCCCAGTAGCTGGGATTACAGGCACCCTCCACCGTGCCTGGCTAATTTTTGCATTTTTTAGTAGAGAGGTGGTTTCACCATGTTGGCCAGGCTGGTCTTGAACTCCTGACCTCAGGTGATCGGCCCACCTTGGCCTCCCAAAGTGCTGGGATTACAGGCATGAGCCACTGTGCCATAATATTGATTTTGTATCCTGCAACTTTACTGAATTCGTTTATCAGTTCTAACATTTTTTGGTGGAGTCTTTACGTTTTTTCAAATATAAGATCATATCATCTGCAAATAAAGATAATTTTGAATTTTTCCCTTCCAGTTTAGATGCCCTTTATTTCTTTATCTTGTCTGATTGCTCTAGCTAGGACTTCCAGTACTATGTTGAATAACAGCGGTAAAAGTAAGCATCCTTGTTTCGTTCCAGATCTTAGAGGAAAGGCTTTCAGTTTTTCCCTGTTCAGTATGATACTAGCTGTGGGCCTATGGCGTGTAACTTTTATTATGTTGAGGTATGTTCCCTCTATACCCAATTTTTTGAGGGTTTTTTTTTATCATGAAGGGATGTTGAATTTTATCAAATGATTTTTTGGCATCAATTGAAAGAGTCATATAGTTATTATCCTTCATTCTGTTGATTTGATGTATCACATTGATTGATTTTTGTATGCTGAACCATCCTTGCATCCCTATGATAAATCCCACTTGGTCATGATGAATGATCTTTTTAATGTGTTGTCGAATTTGATTTGCTAGTATTTTGTTGAGGATTTTTACATTAATGTTCATCAGAGATATTAACCTGTAGTTTTAGTTTTTTTTTTTTTTAATATGTCTTTGGTTTTGGACTGAGGGTAATACTGGCCTTGTAAAATGAGTTCAGAAGTATTTTTTCCATCTCTCTTTTTGGAATAATTTGAGTAGGATTGGTATTAGTTCTTTAAGTGTTTGGTAAAATTCAGCAGTGAAGCCATTAGGTCTCAGGCTTTTCTTTGGAGACTTTTTATTATGGCTTTGATCCTGTTACTTGTTATTGGTCTGTTCAGGTTTTGGATTTCTTCATGGTTCAATTTTGGTAGGTTGAACATGTCTGAGAATTTATTCATTTCTTCTAGGTTTTCCAATTTATTGGCATATAGTTGCTCACAGTTGCTTCTAATAATTATTTGAATTTCTGCAGCATTGGTTGTAAGGTCTCATTTTTCATCTGTGATTTTATTTATTTGGGTTTTCTCTCTTTTTATCTTACTCTGGCTAAAGATTTGCTAATTCTGTTCATCTTTTCAAAAAAACCAACTTTTCATTTTGTTCATCTTTTGTATTGCTTTCTTCGTTTCAATTTCATTTATTTCTGCTCTTACCAGTATTATTTTTTTTCCTCCACTAACTTTAGGTTTAGTCTTCTTGCTGCTCTAGTTCTTTAAGATGCATTGTTAGGTTGTTTATTTGAAGGTTGTCTTCTATTTTGATGGAGGTACTTATGATAATAAACTTCTCGCTTAGTACTGCTTTCACTGTATCCCATAGGTTTTGGTACGTTGTGTTTCCATTATCACTTGTTTCAAGAAATTTTTAAGTTTCCATCTTAATCTCTTCATTGACCCACTGGTCATTCAGGAGCATGTTGTTTAATTTTAATGTGTTTGTATAGTTTCCAAAATTTCTCTTGTTATCGACTTCTAGTTTTATTCCATTGTGGTCAGAGAAGATATTTGATATTATTTCATTTTTAAAAATGTTTTAAGACTACTTTTGTGGCCTAACATGTGGCCTGTCTTTGAGAAAGATTCATGTGCTGAGGAATAGAATATGTATTCTGTGGCCTTTGGATGAAATGTTCTGTAAATATTTGTTAGATCCATTTGGTGTATAGTGCAGATTAAGTCCAATGTTTCTTTGTTAATTTTCTGTCCGGATGACCTGTTTGATGCTGAAAATGGGGCGTTGAAGTCTCCAGCTATTATTGTATTGAGGTCTCTCTCTCTCTCTTTAGCTCTAATAATATTTGTTTTGTATATCTGGGTGCTCCAGTGTTGGGTGCATATATAGTTACAGTTGTTATATCCTCTTGCTGAATTGACCCTTTTATCATTATATAACGAACTTCTTTGTCTGTTTTTATAGCTTTTGCCTTGAAATCTATTTTGTCTGATGTAAGTATTGCTGCTCCTGCTTTTTTTGGTTTCCACTGGCATACAATAATTTTTTCAACCCTTTATTTTCAGTCTATATGTGTCTTCATAGGTGAAGGGTGTTTCTTATAGGCAATAGATTGTTTTTTTAAATCCATTCAGCTACTGTATGTCTTTTGATTGGACAGTTTAGTCTATTTACATTCAATGCTATCATTGATAAGTAAAAACTTATTCCTGTCATTCATTTCTAGTTGTGTTGTGGTCTTTTCTTCATTCTTTCCTGTCTTCTCTTTAGTGAAGCTGATTTTATCTGGTGGTATCTTTTAATTTCTTTTTGTGTGTGTGTGTATCCATTGTATATTTTTAGATTTGAGGTTTCCATAAGGTGTGCAAAAAATATCTCATTATTTTAAACTGATGACAACTTAACACTGATTGCATAAACAAACAAGCAAAAAAAACCCTAAAAGCTCTATGCTTTAATTTTTTCTCCCCACTTTTTAACTTTTTGTTGTTTGAATTATACCTTATTGTACTATGTCTTGAAAAGTTGTAGTTATTTTTGATTGATTCATTTACTTACGATATGAATTTCCACCTCATAATTACAGTGTTGTAATATTCTTTGTTTTTCCATGACCTGACTATAACCAATGAGTTTTGTATCTTCAGATGATTTCTTTTTATTTTTTTTATTTTTTTTATTTTATTTATTTTATTTATTTTTTTTTTTTTGAGACAGAGTCTCGCTCTGTCGCCCAGGCCGGACTGCGGACTGCAGTGGCGCAATCTCGGCTCACTGCAAGCTCCGCTTCCGGGGTTCACGCCATTCTCCTGCCTCAGCCTCCCGAGTAGCTGGGACTACAGGCGCCCGCCACCGCGCCCGGCTAATTTTTTGTATTTTTAGTAGAGACGGGGTTTCACCTTGTTAGCCAGGATGGTCTCGATCTCCTGACCTCATGATCCACCCGCCTCGGCCTCCCAAAGTGCTGGGATTACAGGCGTGAGCCACCGCGCCCGCCCTCTTCAGATGATTTCTTATTGCTCATTAGCATCCTTTTCTTTCAGATTGAATAACTATTTATAGCATGTCTTGTAGGACAGGCCTGGTATTGATGAAATCCCTCAGCTTTTGTTTGTCTGGGAAACTATTTCTTCTTCATGTTTGAGGGATATTTTCACAGGATATATTATACTAGGATAAAAGTTTTTTCCTTCAGCACTTTAAATATGTCATGCCACCCTCCGGTTTCCACTGAAAAGTCTGCTGCCAGACATATTGCAACTCCATTGTATGTTATTTGTTTACTTTCTCTTGCTGATTTTAAGATCCTTTCTTTATCCTTGACCTTTGGGAGTTCGATTATTAAATGCCTTGAGGTAGTCTTATTTGGGTTAAATCTGCTTGCTGTTCTATAACCTTCTTGTACTTGAATATTGATATCTTTCTCTAGGTTGGGGAAGTTCTCGTTATTATCCCTTTGAATACACTTTCTACCCCTGTCTCTCTCTCTACTTCCTCTTTGAGGCCTATACTTCTGAGATTTGCCCCTTTGAGGCTATAGTCTAGATCTTGTTGGCATGTTTCATTCCTTTTTATTCTTTTTTCTTTTGTCTTCTCTGGCTGTATCTTTTCAAATAGGCTATCTTCAAGCTCACTAATTCTTTCTTCCACTTGATCAATTCTGCCATTAAGAGACTCTGATGCAGTCTTCAGTATGTCAATTGTATTTTTCAACTCCAAAATTTCTGTTTGAGGCTTTTTAATTATTTTAATTTCTTTGTTAAGTTTATCTTATAGGAGTCAGAATTCCTTCTCTGGTTATTTTGAATTTCTTTGAGTTTCCTCAAAACGGCTATTTTGAATTCTCTCTGTGAAAGGTTTCACACTTCTATCTTTCCAGGGTTGGCCCCTGGTGCCTAATTTAGTATATTTTGTGAGGTCAGTAATGCTTTCCTGGATTGTCTTGATGCTTGTAAATATTTGTCAGTGTGGGCCGGGTGCAGTGGCTTATGCCTGTAATCCCAGCACTTTGGGAGGCCGAGACGGGCGGATCACCTTAGGTGGGGAGTTCGAGACCAGCCTGACCAACATGCAGAAACCCCGTCTCTACTAAAAATACAAAATTAGCTGGGCATGGTGGCACATGCCAGTAATCCCAGCTATTCAGGAGGCTGAGGCGAGAATCACTTGAACCTGGGAGGTGGAGGTTGCGGTGAGCTGAGATCGTGCCATTGCACTTCAGCCTAGGCAAGAAGAGCGAAACTCTGTCTCAAAAAAAAAAAAAAAAAAGTTTGTCAGTGTGTGGGCATTGAAGAGTTAGGTATTTATTGTAGTCTTTGCAGCCTGAGCTTGTTTGTACCCATCCTTCTTGGGAAGGCTTTCCAGGTATTCAAAGGGATCTGGGTCTTGCAATCTAAGTTTTTGGTCACTGCAGCCAAATCTGCATTACGGGGCACCCCAAGCCCAGTATTACTGTAATTCTTGCAGACTCATAGAGGTACCACTTTGGTGGTCTTAGATAAGATCCAGAAGAATTCTTTGAATTACTAGTTCTCTTCCATTACTTTCTCCCAAGGAAATAGATTCTGTTTCCCTCTGTGCTGAGCTGCCTGGAGCTGGAGTAAGGGTGACACAAGCATCCCCGTGGCCACCACCACTGAGACTGTGCTGGGTCAGACCTGAAACCAGCACAGTGCCAAGGTCCCCTGGGGCTCAGACAGGTCCAGAGATGCTGTCCAGGAGCCAGAGCCTGGAGTTGGAAACCCTAGAAATCTACCTGGTGTGCTCTATTGTTTTGTCACTAAGCTGACACCAAAACCTCAAGACAAAGTCCTTCCCACTCTTCTTTCCCTTTTCCCCAGGCAGAGAAGTCTCTCCCCATGTCCACCACCACCACAGATCCATGGGGATTACTGCAGGGCACCAATGTTGTTCACTTAAGGCCCAAGGGCTCTTCAGTCAGCTTGTGGTGAATGTTGCCAGGCATGCAACTCACCCTTCAGGGCAGTGGGATCCCCTCTGGCTCAGAGTAGGTCCAGAAATGCTGTCCAAGAGCCAAGGCCTGGACTTGGGGACCCCAAGAACCTGGTTGGTGCTCTTCCCCACTATGGCTAAGCTAGTACCTAAACTACAAGACAAAGTCCCATTTATTCTTCCCTCTTCTTTTCTCAAGTAGAAGGCACCTCTTCTCATAGCCACCACAACTATGAATATGATGGGTCACTCCGGAAGCCAGCATGTCCCTGAGTCTCACCCAAGGCCCATGGTGTGTACTACTTGGTTACTGCTGCTGATTATTCAGGGTCCAAGGGATCTGTAGTCGGCAGGTGATGAATCCTGCCAGGATGAGTCCTTTCCTTCAAGGCAGCAGGTTCCCTTCTGGCCCAGAGTGTGTTATTTGGAGCTAGAGCCTGAAATGATGGCCTCATGACTCTGCCCGGTGTCCTATCCTACTGTGGCTGAGCTGGTATCCACGTTGAAAAACAAAGTCCTCTTTACTTTATCCTCTTCTCTCCTCAAGCAGAAGGAAGCTGTCTCTTTTGGAGCTGCAAGCTGTGCTGCCTGGGGTTTGGGGAGGGGTGATACAAGCACTCCTTTAGCTGCCCCAGCTGGTGTCTTACTAGGTCACGTTTCCCCAAAGTCCACTATCTCTAAGCCCAACACAGCACTAGGACTTGTCTAGGAGTTGCAGTCCTTGTGGCCTAGACTGCTTTTCAAGTTTATTTTGAACCCTACATCACTTGGGCCAATAGTCACAAAGCTTGCTGGAACTCAGATTCTGACCACTGAGATGGGTGAGTCCCCTCTGGCTGGGGCTTGTCTATATGCTCCCTCCATGGGTGTCAACTGATTTCTGCCCAGTGTTGGCAGCACTGTGTTCCAATGCAAAGTTCCCTAATTGCTGTCCTGTCCCTCCCTCAAGTGCACAGATTCTCTCTCCTCACCACGAGGGCACTGCCAGGGAATAGGGAGAGGTGGAGTCAACAATTCAAGACTGACTTTCCTACCTTCTTCAGTGCCTCTTTCAGTAATATGAAGTTAAAACCAGGTACTGTGAGTGCTCACCTTAGTTTTGGTTCCTATGAAGGTGCTGTTTTGGGTAGATAGTTGCCAGATTTGGTGTTCCTGTGGGGAAGACAATCAGTGGAGGCCTCTGTTCCACCATCTTGCTCCACCTCCTCCAGAAGCCTAGCATTCTAAGTCATGTACTGTCATATCTACCCATTCACCAGTTATGGGCTGAATTGTATACCCCCAAATTCCTTATGATGAAGCCCTCTGGTACCTAATAATGTGACTGCATTTGGAGATAGTATCATTAAAGATAGTATCAATCCATCCATCCATCCATCCATCCATCCATCCATCCATCCGTCCATCCATCCATTTAAACATCTATCCATTCATCTATCATATATTGAGTGCTTATGCAATATATCTGGGCAACAATCTAGGCAAAGTGCCTCATATTGGGATAAAAAAGGAACAGATCGGTCTCTGCCCTGAAAGTTCTAGTGTAGATGACAGTAAGTAAACAGCAGCAAACACAATTACAATACATTGTGATAAGTGCCATGACCCATCTGGGAGCTGGGGATGTACCAGGATGGGACACCTTATCCAGGTTGGGGGTAAAGGCAGGAAAAGGGTCAAGGAAACTGAGTTCCAAAGAGAATGTGGCAAATTAGGGTAATTGCAGGAAGGGTCAGTCTGGCTAAATGTATAGATAAAGGGCTAAGTTAAAATTAGGTCTTTATGGTGAACCCTAATCCAATTTGACTGTTATCCTTATGAGAAGAGGAAATTTGGACATACAGAGAGACAGCAGAGATGCATGTGCAGAGGAGAAAGACCATGTGAGAACACAGTGAGAAGGTGGAAGCCAAGGACAGAGGCCTTAGAAGCAACCATGCCTGCTGATAGATATCTCAATTTTTCACTTCTAGACTCTAGAACTGTGAGAAAATAAATTTCTGTTGTGTAAGCCACCCAGCCTGTGGTATTTTGTTATGGGAGTGCTAGCAAACTAACATATAATCCATCCATCCATCCATCCATCCATCCATCCATCCATCCATCCACATCCATCCATCCATCCATCCATCATGAGTGCCTATGCAATACATCTAGTCAACAATCTAGGCAAAGTGTTGGGATAAAAAAGGAACAGATCAGTCACTGCTCTGCAAGTTCTAGTGTGGATGACAGCAAGTAAACAGGCAATTAAAATACATTGTGGTAAGTGTCATGACCCATCTGGGAGCTGGGGATATACCAGGAAGGGACACCTTATCCAGGTTGGGGGTGAAGGTAGGAAAAGGGTCAAAGAAGCTGAGTTCCTAAGAGAATATGGCAAATTAGGGCAAGAGCACGAAAGCTCAGTCTGGCTAAATGTATAATAGGAAGGGACTAGGGGAGAAATGAGGCTAGAGAGAGAAGGATTGAGGAAGGGTTTTTTTTTCAATGTCATGTTAAGGCAGTGTTCCTCGTAATTTTTTTTCTGCCTATAGCACACCTAAGGGATGATGCATGTCCGTCAACAGCGTGGTGAGAGGGAACAGTTGCAGAGGTGAAATACCAGTGTCAGGTTGAGATACGGCCCTGCCTTCCCCTTCACAGTTTGAGATTCATGATGCTTAGTAAGAATGTGGATTTTATCTGAAGGCTGAATGATATTGGCTTAGTCACTTCATCATACTAGGCCTTCTGTTCTTATCTCTTATCTGTTCGTATGCTAGTTGAGAGTATGGCCTTTAGCATTAGCTGCCTGGATTCTACTCTGTCCCCTACCATTCTCAAGCTGGGTCACCTTGGATAAGCAGTCCACCCTCATCAGCAAACTGGATCAATACTACTGTGGTGCCTACATCAAAGATTCGCTGAGGATGAAAGGAGGTAACGTGTGTAAAGCTCCTGGCATAGTGTTTGGCATACAGTAATGATCAGTAAATGTTAAAGACCACAAAGGCATGTGTCATTGCAGCTCCCCTGGAGCTGAACGGTGTTAGTGATCAAATTCTCACTGTCATTGTAGTAATCATTGTCTTCATCATCATCGTCCTTGCCATCCCATCATCCTTCTCATATTGCCATTGTCATCAGCACAACCATCCCCACTATCACCATTGTCATCATCACCATCACCATTTCCATAATAATCACCATCATCCTCCTCATCATCATCATATCGAAGCTCTCACAGGTCATTCCTCACTGGGTTCCTTGCTTCCAGTCTTCTTCCTTGTGGTTGTCTTATGAAAAAGAAGGCCCTACCTAGACTTTTATGATGTGATATTCATAACATTTATTGGGCTCCTACTATACATCAGACATTTTTCTGGGCACAAAGGATATAGGGGTGAGCTAAATAAAATTCTCACTTGTGGAATTAGGTTAATGAGAAGTGACAGACATATCCTCTGTCTCTTCTCATTAACCTAATTCCACAAGTGAGAATTTACAATACTACAAGGATTGACATTAATTTTTTTTGACATACTACATAGTTCCTTGTAGAATTTGACATACTACAAGGAACTATGTCGTACGTCAAAGTAAAATTAATACTGGAGAGAAAAATAAAGCAGGGAAAGAAGTTTCTAGGGTTGGGCAGTTGTCATTTTTATTTGGGATGGTTAAAGAAGGCTCATCTAGAGGTGACATTTGAATTGAGGAAGGGAAGGAGGCCCCATGTGGATACCTGGTGGGGCAAAGGCCAGGAACAAAATTATAAAGGCCCCCAGGTAGCAACATGCCTGGCATGTGAGGAGCAAAAAGGAGGCTAGTGTGGCTAGATGAAAGCGGGGAGTAACAGTGGATGAGATCAGAGACACAGCAGGGGGCAGAACATGGGGACCAGGTCATTGTAAAAACTCTGGCCTTTACTCTCACTGACTTGGAAAGTCATCAGAGGGTTTTGGAAAGAGGTGTAACATGATCTGACTTATATTCTAATGGAGTCACTCTGGCTTTTGTGCTGAAAACACAAGACAGGGCCACAAGTACTTAAGCAGAGAGGCCAGTCTTTAGCTTATTTCAGTAACGCAAGCGTGAGCTGCTGGTGGCTGGAATCAATGGAATAGCTGTGGAGGTCATGAGAAATGGGAGATGCTGGATATATTTTGGAGATAAAGCCAGCAGGATTTGCTAATATATTGCACTGAATATGGAACAGGAGTGAGAGAAAGAGACAAGACAAGGATGATTCCTGAGCAGCTGAACAGATGGAACTGGCATGTGCTGGGATGTGGAAGACTGTGAGCAGATGTGGAGGAGAAAATCAATTTTATGCTCATATTATGCCTGTAAAGTAGGTACTATGGTTATCTTCCATAACAACTGGGACTCACTAAGGTGAAGTATTTTGCTCAAGGTCACGTAAGTGGCAAGAACCAAGATTTGAACTAGCTCTCCCTGATTCTACAGAATATAACCCTATAACAAAGCCAAGTTCACAGAAACTCTGGTCTTGGCTTCCTTAGACCCAGGTTCCAACCAACCTCTCAGCTGCAAGGGCTTTACCATTGACCATCAAGGGTTATACTGATGGCTCCCACTCAAACTAAACAAGGTCCCTCTTTTCTACAGGAGTGAAACTTGTGCACAGGAAGGCTTCCCTTCCTCCAGAGAGAACACTGGAGGCCACTCACCTTCCAGACCACCAAATTTAACATCACTCATGCCAGCTGGAGGAGGCCCCAGATCCCTCTGGCCAGTGAAGTTTTGGTTGGTGAGTGAAATTCGAACTCATTAACTTGAAAATGAATGAGCTTCAGTGACTGTTAAGGCACCTCGGACTGAGATGTCTGATTTCCATTCCAACTCTGGGTGCGAAGCTTTCTCCATCCTTAGCCACCCAGTGATCACTATTTACCCATTTCAGCACTGGCTGGGCCTGCTAGGATTGTAAGCAGCTAAATGGTGCCTAACAGCACGGGCTCTGGTCAGTCCACCTGGGTTCAAATCCTGGTTCTATCACTTAATAGCTGCAGGAACTAGGACAGGTTTCTTAACTGTTCTATGCTTCTCTTCTGTTTTATCATCTGTAAAACGTGGAGAAGAGTAAGTCCTTCATAGGGTTGTTGTGAAGTTTAAAAGATATAATGGGTGCACCACAATCTCAGAAATCACCACTAAAGAACTTAGTGATAACCAAACACCACCTGTTACCCAAAAACCTATGGAAATAAAAAATAAAAAATATATGCAGAGTGCTTAGTACAATGACCACACATAAGCAAGACCCAACAAAAGTTTGCTATTAATTTTAATATTATTTTATTAGGCTTTTATTTTGTGCCGGGAGCAGTTGCTCACGCCTGTAATGCCAGCACTTTGGAAGGCTGATGCAGGAGGATCACATGAGGCCAGGAGTTCAAGACCAGCCTGGCTAACATGGTGTAACCCCATCTCTATTAAAAATACAAAAAATTGAGCCGGGTGTGGTGGCACAGGCCTGTAATCTCAGCTACTCAGGAGGCTGAGGCAGGAGAATCACTTGAACCCAGAAGGCAGAGGTTGCAGTGAGCTGAGATCGTGCCATTGCACTCCAGCCTGGGTGACAGAGCGAGACCCTGTCTCCAAAAAGAAAACAAAAAACAAAAAACCCCAAAAAGACTTTATTTTGTGCTCATTGTAGTGGTCATCATTCTTGTCGAGACTTCACTGCTTTGTGTATAGCATCAAACTGTGCCCCACAGAAAGGGATACAAGTAAATAATTGTTTAGCACCCTGTAGTTTACAAAATATTTTCATGGGCATTATCAACTGATACCACCTGAGGATATGGATGTGTTAGCCAAAATTTAAAGGAGGGTGTAGCGTTAGCTCATATCATACAGTCAATTTAATGAAGTGGCATCAAAATGTAAAACCATTTCATGTTCACAATATGAACAGTAGGCCTTCCTTATCCCGTCCCCCATGCCATCTCTGGGTCTTACCCATCCCTCAAGTTCACATTAGAAGGGCAGGGATGCTACTGAGCACTTATCTTAGGACTGCAAAAACAAGTAGAAATGTGTTTATGCATTCATTTATTGATTGCGACAGAGCAAGACCATCCCTACTATCACCATTGTCATCATCACCATCACCATTTCTATCATAATCACCACCATCATCCTCCTCCTCCTCATCATGTCCAGTGTAAGCTGGAGTGTAGTGGCGTGATCTCGGCTTACTGCAACCTCCGCCTCCTGGATTCAAGCGATTCTCCTGCTTCTGCCTCCCGAGTAGCTGGAATTACAGGTGTGTGCCACCACACCCAGCTAATGTTTTGTATTTTTAGTAGAGGCGGGGTTTCTCCATGTTGGCCAGGCTGATCTCGAACTCCTGACCTCAGGTGATCCACCTCTCTCAGCGTCCCGAAGTGCTGGAATTACAGGTGTGAGCCACTGTGCTTGGTCTATTTTTAAAGTAGTATCAAAATGTGCCCACATGAAAATGTCACATACTCATTCCTCAACCAAGAGGTGCCCCAGCTGGGCCCTTCCTCTTCTGCATGGACTTACAATATCTGGAGGTAGGCAGCTCCTGAGGATGTGCACCCCTGAGGCTGGGAAAGGTGGTCCTAGCTCTCCAGAGTCAAACTATAAAGAATGGCCCCCATCCCTAACACGTACTCAATTTGCAGGGCATCCAGGCTCATGCCTTGGCCACTGGGGGCCTTGCCAACCTGGAACAGACAAGAGGCAATCAACATTAACAGAGGCTTTCTATTTAGGCATTCTAACCAACATGCAAAAAGCCAAGAGGGCTGCAGGCTTACAAAGCTTGACCTTATAATTTATGGTGCATGTGGTATGAGGGAGTTCTGAGGCATTTTTACACAAGCTGGATGAAAGGATGAGATGTCTCCAGCTCCCCCTCTTCTCCGCCCACATTCCTGACCATCCAACACACTTTAGCAAGGAAAAGGGATAGAGGAAACAAAACTAGGAGGAAAAGCAGAAGAGAAACTCCTCTAGATTCATGCTGTGCTCAGAAACTGGGGTAGGAGAATGGAAGTCTCCAGGAAGAGCTGTTGATCCCTTCCTGCTCTGGAAGATGCACTTCTATGACTGCCCACCAGCCTCCTCCTCTGGGTGTAACCGAACACCATGGTGGAGCCACACTTCAGAGAAACACACTGCTTGCTTTTAACGTTAAACACATCCTAGCCTGTGGTTTGTGAGCCACATATGGTCCTGGGAGCCCCACGAAATAATGATGAAAGAAAATCGTTGAAATCTGGACACAGAAGCTCTCTGAAGCTATACTTTTCCTCAGTGACTCTGCAAATTGTATTAGCTGTCCAATATTCACTGAGCATTGCCATATGCCCAGTATCATATGGTGTCTCTTGTCTAATCCGCATAACAGCAAGGTTGTTCTTTTTTTTTGGGTGGAGTGCAATGGTGAACAGGGCTCACTGCAGCCTTGACTTTCCAGGCCCAAGTGATCCTCTCACCTCAGCTCCCCAAGTAGCTGGGACTACAGTCACACTCCACCATGCCTGGATAATTTTTTTTTGTATTTTTTGTAGGGACAGGGTTTTGCCTTGTTGCCCAGGCTTGTTTTGAACTCTTGGGCTCAAGCAGTCCATCTGCCTCGGCCTCCCCAAGTACTGGGATTATAGGTGTGAGCCACCACACCTGGCCTAGTGAGGTAGCAATTACTCCTGTCTTATAGCTGAAGATACTGAGGTTCAGAGAGGTCACACTCCAAAGTCAGTCATGGAGCTGAATTTGAACCCAAGTCAGTCTATTCTATAGCCTGTGTCTTAACCATTGTATGTACTATCTCCCAGAGGAAAAGAATGAGAGGGAAATGCTGAAAATATTAACAGTCCCATCGTCCTACTCTCTATTCATTCATTCAGTGCTCAGTAGAGGTAAAAATTGAGAAACCGTCCATTCTCATATCTGGCCTACAGTCTGCTTTTTTTTTTTTCCTGAGACAGGGTCTTGCTCTGTTGCCCAGGCTGGAGTACAGTGGTGCCATCATAGCTCACTATAACCTTGAACTCCCAGGCTCAAGCGATCCTCCTGTCTCAGCCTCCTGAGTGCCACCACATCCAGCTAAATTTTTTTTGGTGGAGTCAGGGTCTTGCTGTTATCTAGGCTGGTCTTGAACTCCTGGCCTCAAGTGATCTTCCTGCCTTGGCCTCCCATAGCGTTGGGATTACAGGTGTGAGGCACTGTACTTGGCCTGGATCAATTTTTAAAAATTTAAATATCATTTAATTATTTTTGATAAGGATCAGATGACTATTTCTCTAAGAAACGGATTAATAATAAGACAGGTCCTTAAAGATGCACCTTACAGAAAGGGTGACCCTGAAATCTAGAGGAGTTTAGGGATACTTCTCAAGGTCACACACTTTGGTAGCACTAAAGGAGTAGGGCTCTTGCTTTCAAGGCCAGATCTTGGCAGCAAGCTGCTTTACCAGTTATCACTGCCTCTGCCCCTAACATGGAGAACTGCTTGAAGGGGGATAACCTCTTTTTGCGCGCTAGAGATTTTAACAACACAACCCGAACTCAGCTGAATAGTTTTTAAACAAGGTTCCTGTGATGAGTGTCTTCTGATTTCTTCTGCTGTCTCCCCGCGCCACAGGTCAGAGACCTGTGCCCTGTTGAACCTAGAGGCTCCTACAATAGCTCCTGGTATTTAGCTGAAGTAGGGTGTTCCTCTCTGTCTGGGGCAGATGGTTGTATTTCTAGTCCAGAACCTGCTATAATTTACTCTGTCCTCCCACACTAATAGCGATTCTTCTATCTGCCAGCTTGGCTTCTATAGCCTTCTGCAATCTGGACCCGCTCCACCCAGTTCATCTCTTTCTTCTCTACATGTAGAACACACCCTCATGGCCAACAGGTGTCCTGGGCTCACCCCATTTCCGCCACAGAAATATCCTCCCTGCTCTCCTCATATGCAAATCATTCTTCAAGGCACTGCTCAAGGTCTTTCTGCCCCCAAAGCCTGCCCATGTACAGGCCAATGGTTTGCTTTCCAAATCTCTTTACATTTATGTTCCCAATTTACCTAAGTTAGCCCTCAACAGGTTTCTGTATATATCTCCAAGTGTAGTGCAGGCTCCTTGAGGGCAGGCACACAAGTGTTCATTCATTCACTGGAGGCTTTTAGCAACACCTTATAAAGCGAGAAAGAAGGAGAAATATAAACTATGGTTGCTTCCAGTCCTCAGGGAGGGGAGACATACCTGGCACACAGTGGGCCCTCAACAAAGGTTTGCTATATTGAACTAACATATATGCCTCTCGTTGCAATTACTTGCTAAGTCCCATGAGAGGTATCAAATGGTGTTATAGGGAAAGCATCATCAAAGAGGTGGCATTTGAACCCTATAGGCTTTAAGGGCAGGGCATGGTTTTGTCTTTGTTTACAGAACTGGGAGGAGGTTACAGACAGAAGAAACAGCATTCCTACTACACACAGTGCCAGGTGCACACAGTGCCAGGCACACATCACTCACCAGAAACTGGGGAAAGCAGTGGAATTGAGTGAGTTCTGTCCCTGCCCCGGCACCAATTAGACTGAGTGAGTGGGCAAGTTGCTTAACTTCCCTGGGCCCCCGTTTCCTTCCCATTCTGAAGTGATTAAGCTGCACAGACTTCAGAAAGAAGCAGACTGAGTGAGGTTCGAATGATGACTATATGTGACCTTGAGCCAATCCGAAGCCGGCTCGCTCAGTCTCAATTTCCTTCCTATAAAATGGGTAAAATAATTTCTACCTCACAGGGCTTTTGTGAGATTTCGAGAACATATGTGAGTCGCTAACCACACAGCCTGGCAATACCAGATTTCCTTTTACAAAAGTAGGGGTGACAACGCTGATCTGCCTCTTTCTGTGTGGCTGCTGCTGCCTCCGCAGCACCCATCCCAGAGGCTGTCAGGAGTAGGGGCCGTGGACAAACTTCATGACCCCGAAAGAGAAAACAGAGCTGAAGGGGCTTCGGGGGGAAAAAGTAAAGAGCTGGCCACAGCAGGCTAACTTGGCTAACGGGGACACTTGGTGAATGCGTCCCCTTGAACAGACTTACCACAGTCGAGAATCTTTGCTAACTCGCATCAACCATGCCTCCCAAGCTGGCTGGATTTTGGACAGCCTTTTTTGTCTCCGCCTTCAAACCCAAGGCAAAGGACAAGGCCCAACCCCATGGCGGGCTGGGAGAGTGAAAGCAGGGGGAGTCCCCCAATTCCCAGCGGAAAGGAAGGGCGATCTGTTCCCACCCGCTGACTCCCACTCCCGGGGCCAGGGCTCCTTGGGCGCCCCCCTTCATTTCTCTCCTCTCCGCACAGGTCGGGAAGGGAGGGGGTCGCGCTTGGCCCGCGGCGCAGGTTCACCCCGGCTTTCGTCCCTCCGACCCCGCCTGGCCGCCCATCCCCGACCCCCGTGGACCCTGCTCGGCCGCCCCGGCTGGGGTCGATCTGGCCCTCCGCCCCCAGCCTGCGTGGAACCCGCCGGGCCGCCAGCCCCACCTCGGCCGCGTCCCCTCCCCTCCGCTCCGCTCTTCTCCCCTCCCCTCGCGGCCACCTCGGTGCCCACCCCGGCCTCCGCAGACCCCGCCGGGACCCCGCCCCGCGCCCAGCCACCCCCGCGCCGGCTTCCCGGCCCCCGTAGACCCCGCCCGGCCCTCCCTCTCCGGGGTCGTGGCGGCGGGGAGGAGGGGCCGCCGGGCCGGCGTGCGTGGCAAGCTCTCCCGGCTCGGCTCGCTCGGCCTCCCTTACCGGGAGGCGGGGTCGGCGCCGCGGCGGCGGAGGCAGGCCCCCTCCTCCCGCCTCCTCGGCCCGGC